>NT_167249.2:3754881-4063073 GCF_000001405.40 Homo sapiens | reverse complement strand
CTTTACATAAATTCTCTCTCACTCCTTCTAACATCCTGTGTGTAGATATCATGATTTTCTTTTACACAATTATACTTGTGATATGGATATTCTGTTACATACCTGCCCTAGCTGGTGACTGCCACAGCTTAATTGGAATCTAGTTTATCAAATTCAAAAGCTTGTGCTCTTTCCATGAATAAATGTTTCTTTCTAGGACTCGGAGGTGTAGGTCCTTTCTAACATAAAAGTGAGTGAACCTCACATGGCATTCGGAAGGGTAAATCCAGGCATGGGAAGGGAGGTATTTTACCGAGGGACCAAGAGAATACGCATATCAGAACGAGGACAGGCTTAATTTCTGGACCCGTCTCATCATTCCCTTGAACTCACAGGTTTATGTGGATAATTTTATCTCTGAGGTTTCCAGGAGCTCAATGGAAAATGGGATTTCATGCGAGAGCGCCCTGATTCCCTCTAAGTGCAGAGGTCTATGTAAAATCAGCCCGACTGCCTCTTCCCTCGGTTCACAGGCTCCGGCAGGGACAGGGCTTTCCGCCCTTTCCTGCCTGCAGGAAGGCGGATTCCCGAAGCCCCCAGAGAGGGCGGGCAGGGCTGGGCAGAGCCGCCGGGCGGATCACAAGTCTGGAGCGCCAGGCACGGGCGGGCGGGAACTGGAGGTCGCGCGGGCGGTTCCACAGCTCCGGGCCGGGTCAGGGCGGCGGCTGCGGGGGCGGCCGGGCTGGGGCCGGGCCGGGGCCTGACTGACCGGCCGGTGATTCCCCGCAGAGGATTTCGTGTACCAGTTTAAGGGCATGTGCTACTTCACCAACGGGACCGAGCGCGTGCGGGGTGTGACCAGATACATCTATAACCGAGAGGAGTACGCGCGCTTCGACAGCGACGTGGGGGTGTATCGGGCGGTGACGCCGCTGGGGCCGCCTGCCGCCGAGTACTGGAACAGCCAGAAGGAAGTCCTGGAGAGGACCCGGGCGGAGTTGGACACGGTGTGCAGACACAACTACCAGTTGGAGCTCCGCACGACCTTGCAGCGGCGAGGTGAGCGTCGTCGCCCGTCTGCGAGGCCCATCCTTGGCAGGGGCCCAGAGTCTCTGCGCCAGGAGGGGCGAAGGGGGCGCGGCCTCTGGAACCTGAGCCTTGTTCGTTCCACCCCGGCTGACAGGAGGAGGCGGTGGGGGTGCTGGGGGCTGGTGCATCGGAGGGGCAGGGACCTAGGGCAGAGCAGGGGGACAGGCAGAGTTGGTCAAGCTGCCTAGTTTCGCCCCATCCTCCCCGTCCGTCGGCCTCGCCCTCTGCTCTGCACGTTCTTGCCTCGTGCCTTATGCGTTTGCCTCCTCGTGCCTTACCTTTACTAAGCAGTTCTCTCTGCCCCCAATTTCCGCCCTCTTCCCCTGCCCGCCCGCCCGGCTAGCACTGCCGCACCCGGCAAGGTCCACCTACACAGCTCATGCAGTGGGAAGCTTCAGACTTGGCCTGATGGAGTTAGGGCTGCCCCACAACTGCGCGCAGGGCATCCAGCAATTACAGTTGTCAAATAAGATATTTTGACTTTTGACTTCAAATTATTATTCATCGTAATTCTGTTTTCTTAAATGGCTCTCATTCATGGCGGAGCTCTTTGAGATGAGAGTGTTTTAATCATTGCATGCCTGGTATCTGACACATTGACTGGCATGTGGTATGAGCTCAATGATCTTCTGTTAAATTAATGAATAAATGTGCTCAGCTGCCAATCCACTTAGGCTCAAGGGAAAGCAGAGGATAAATAGAGCCTTAAAAATGGACTTTTATTAATTATTTTCTGTCATTTTGCTTAATTCTTTAAAGTAAACTCTTATTGACTTGGATCTTAATAGAGTTTGTGAATACAAAGTCTGAGGAAAAAAGTGTTTGCTAAAAATAAAAACAACACTTGAATGATGTTTGTAAGGCAGTTTTAATTTCTTAGAAAAGCTGAACAAATGGCACAATGCAAAGAGCAGAAGTTTTGGAATAAATAGATTGAAGCAATTAAATTATTGGATAAAAATAGTTTCAGGTTGCTTTTGGCTTAGGTTCTCCCCTCCCCCCATCACTATCCACTTCAGGAATAAACATTCTGAAAGTCAATTTTACCCATTTAGTGAGCACTTATTTCTAGACAGTTACCTTATCAAATACCGTCTATGTTACGTCATTTAATCTCACAGTTGCCTGTGCATTAGAGATTAGCATCACCACTTTATATATCCTAATATTAGTACATGACAAACACTTTAAGTAATCAGCCCACAAGTACTCACCAAGACCTTAAGCCTCCCAAAGTACACAATATTCTTTATGTTCTTCACTACACATCTATAGAGTCAAAGGGACATAAAGCCTTGTTAAAGCCAGTTTTGACTAGAAGCAGCAATGAGTCTCTTCCTGTTTGATCTCCATGTTAATGGGACAAAATGATACTTTCAAGGCATTGAAAATTTATGATTAATCAATCCCTAGTCTGACTCCAGTGTTACCTATGCAGATTCACAAAACTTTTAGTTTACTTTAAACTCCCTTGCCTTCTTTTGACTCACATCGTAGTGCCAGCAAGTACTTACATTTTTGCTATTTTGGTTCTATTTCCATAAAATTTATTTTATCATCTTTTCTCATAAGTTTGTGCCCTCTATTTTACTCCCAGTCTGTGTAAGATGAACAAATCTTATAAGGCCACATAGCTGACTGTGATTTCAGGTGGACTCCAGGAAGGAGAACCAAAGAAAAGTTCAAGTCCAAGCAGAAACCGTGATTCCTTCCGGATGATGGCTCAAGAGTGCCTTTTAATTGGGGTGCAACCTGCTGACCTCAGCAAATCTCAGCTATATTTATATGTTCACATTACAGGCTCATTAACCTAGGCTGATCTCTGCAAGGATCTCAGAATATTTTCTACAGATAACATACATGATAATATCTGATTTCAGGACAAAAAAGTAATTCTCAATAGCAAGGGAATGGAGTAGGGTAGACAGCTAGTAATTAAACTCACTTGTATGTTAAAAATAAATTAAGGAAAAAAAGAAAATGAGAGAACATATTACTAAATAAAGAAAGCATACATTAAATATTTACTATAGTTTCACACTAAGAGAATAAAGGAAATGCAATAAAGTGGCCTGAAAGATAAAGGATGAGACGTGTAAAGAGACAGGGAAAGATGTGTCATTTTTTTACTATGAGCAGCAGTCTGAGAAGATAAAGGAATCGAGTTATGGGCAAACATGATGTTTGATCAGTGTTATTTGTTTTGAAGGCCTGCCTACTTTTGTTTCAAATATTACAGACTTTTGAAATCACATTCTTTTTGTTTTTTGCTGTCTGTTACTAGATCGCACATTCTGTAAAGGCAGGGACCATGGTATGTTGTTTATCTTTGGATTCTCAGTGATTGTCATATTTATATTTGTTGAATGAATCTTAATCCAAGACTTGGACTCCAGGTATCTTTCCACTCTGGTTCCAAGGAGGGACCATTCCCAATGGTAGACGTGCTGTGTGGTCTCACATCTCACTCCTGTCTTTTCCTGTCTGTTACTGCCCTCAGTGGAGCCCACAGTGACCATCTCCCCATCCAGGACAGAGGCCCTCAACCACCACAACCTGCTGGTCTGCTCAGTGACAGATTTCTATCCAGCCCAGATCAAAGTCCGGTGGTTTCGGAATGACCAGGAGGAGACAACTGGCGTTGTGTCCACCCCCCTTATTAGGAACGGTGACTGGACCTTCCAGATCCTGGTGATGCTGGAAATGACTCCCCAGCGTGGAGACGTCTACACCTGCCACGTGGAGCACCCCAGCCTCCAGAACCCCATCATCGTGGAGTGGCGTAAGGGGATATTGAGTTTCTGTTACTATGGGCCCCACAAGACAAAGGGCAGAGCTCCTTCTGACCCATTCCTTCCCATCTCTTATCCCTGATGTCACTACTGAGCTGGGGATCACAGGAGACTAGAGCACCTCTTGCTCCATGGCAAGTGCATCAGAAGAATCCTGATCTCATCACCTTTCCAGATGCTAGGGAAATTATTCTACGTACTGTTTCTCCAGATCCCAGTCCTGATAGCTCGGAGGGACTTATTATTAGGGCTGGTGACTGGGATCTTAGGGTTTAAGGTATGGATGAGTTCCTGAGGAGTGGAGATCTGCTTCCCCGCTCTCTCACCTACTCACTATACCGAAGGACCTATTGGCTGGCTTTCCCCTCCCTTAGGGGTGGTCTGAATGGAGGACTAGGTTCCTTTGACACTTTCACCTCCTGCATCTCAGACTGGACTTCAGCTCCTCAGCAGGGATGCTATGGGGTGTAGGGACAAACGCTGACACTCAGGCTCTGCTTCTTAGGGGCTCAGTCTGAATCTGCCCAGAGCAAGATGCTGAGTGGCATTGGAGGCTTCGTGCTGGGGCTGATCTTCCTCGGGCTGGGCCTTATTATCCATCACAGGAGTCAGAAAGGTGAGGAACCCCAAGGGAAAAGGGGAAGATGGGCTGTGACCCAGACCCTCTGTTCAGGGAGGTCCTGTCTCTAGATGTGGCTCTTTCCTCCTGACCCTGAGAGGAAGAAAACTGAGCTGGAGGTGGGAGGAGACAGGACAAGATTGGAGGAGGCATTGGAATCTGATTTTACTAGTTGAAAGGTAGCCCTGTCACACAGGTGACTGATAGAGCTTATTCCAGGATATACTTACCATTCATCATCTCATTGGCTCCTTTCCAAAAGCTTCCTCCATTAAGAGGGTCAGAGCCTTGGCCTCCTTGCCTTCTAGTGACAATTTTCTTTGTTTTAGGGGATTTTAAATTAGGGTACTTAAGGCCTTGAAGAACATGAGTGGTAAGAGAATATAACTCTAATTAAGTCACATGTGTCATTTTCCTTTGGGGTGAAAGAGTGGCTGTTTGTGTAATGAGACCTTTCTCTGCATAACTTCCTTTTGTAAGACCTCAAGGGCCTCCACCAGCAGGTGATATTTCAGCCATGAGCCAGTGTGGGGGGGCACAGGTGTAAGAGGGAAGAGCATGAGCTGAATGCACCTGACCACAATGGTCTCTGTTCATGGTATATTTGCTGCTATGAGGATCAAGACTTAGGGTCGAAGTTTGCCAGTTTCTAGGAATCTCCAGAGGTTGTTCCCCAGAACCAAGCCTTAACTTTGGTGGTATCTTCTTGTGAAATGTGAAGCCAGAACCACAGCTTAAATGTTAGACAAGAGGATGATGCCCACTTTGTGCCACATGTTGGTGGCTACTGCCTGTAGGCATTTTCCAGTGACTGAAAGAGGCTGCTAGTGGTAGGGATGAGGTATCATCCAATTTTCTAAAAAGATTGAACCCTTCATATTCCCCAGAAGAGTAACAGCTGTTCCGCCACTTCCCACATATCTGCATCAAGCTGAAGTTCTGTGTCCTCACGAGCTGATTTCACCTTTGCACAGATCTTGCGGGAGGTGACAATAATACATTCTGGACCTCAGCTTTCTCTGTCTGAAGCTGCAGGGGGCCCCTGAGGGGTGGGGGAGATTGCAGGCCCACCAGCGTACCCTGTGCTGATCATCCCTCTTCTCTCTTCTTCAGGGCTCCTGCACTGACTCCTGAGACTATTTTAACTGGGATTGGTTATCACTTTTCTGTAACGCCTGCTTGTCCCTGCCCAGAATTCCCAGCTGCCTGTGTCAGCCTGTCCCCCTGAGATCAGAGTCCTACAGTGGCTGTCACGCAGCCACCAGGTCATCTCCTTTCATCCCCACCTCGAGGCTGATGGCTGTGACCCTGCTTCCTGCACTTACCCAGAGCCTCTGCCTGTGCACGGCCAGCTGCGTCTACTGAGGCCCCAAGGGGTTTCTGTTTCTATTCTCTCCTCAGACTGCTCAAGAGAAGCACATGAAAACCATTACCTGACTTTAGAGCTTTTTTACATAATTAAACATGATCCTGAGTTATCTGTATTCTCAACTTCCTTAATTGAGCAGAGGCAGGAAATCACTGCAGAATGAAGGAACATACCTTGAGGTGACCCAGCCAACCTGTGCCCAGAAGGAGGGTTGTACCTTGAAAAGACACTGAAAGAATTTGGGGTGCAAAGTCAGGGTGGGCAGAGGAGGTAGAAGATCAACTCAGTTGTTGCATCATTCATGGTTCTTTCATATTGATGCTCAGTGCAGTGGCCTGAGAATATCCCAGCCTCTCTTCTGGTTTGGTGAGTGCTATATAAGTAAGCATGGTGGAATTGTTTGGGGGCAGATATAGTGACCCTTGGTCACTGGTGTTTCAAACATTCTGGCAAGTCACATCAATCAAGAATAATTTTTACTTTTAAGAAAGCATAACCAGCAATAAAAGTACTATTTTTGATTCTAAATGATAGAAACCCAAATATATTTCGTTCATGGTGCAAAGGAAGCCTAGAGTCAAGTTGATTTCAGAAGTGACTAGTTCCAGATACTCAACGAGATCTTCACCTCTCTCTTTCTGTTACATCTCTATCTGTGAATCTGCCTCTCTTTCTCTGTATCTCTTTGTCCCTGTATAGTTCTTTCTGCGTGTCTCTCTGCATTTTTTTCCGTGCCCCCTTGTTGTCTTTCACTACATTGTTGCCTTTCTTTCTATTTTTCTAATCCATTGTCACTGTTTATCTGCATTTTTTCTGTCTCCGTGTTTCTTTTTGCATCTATTTTTCTGCATTTCTCTTCCTTATCACTTCATATCTTATCTCATCTCTCTCTCTTGCTGTGTGTGTGTGTGTGTGTGTGTGTGTGTGTCTGTTTGTCTGTCTCTGTTAATATATGTTTCTAGAATGTCTACCAGAGTTTTAACAACTTTAGGAAAGATTCTGATTGGCCAAGCCTGGGTAACATGCACACCTCTCAAACACATTGTCCTGTGCACGGGATGCTGACAGCCAGCATTGTGTCCATCGCTCTTATTAGGAAGGAGGACTGGATTTTCCAGATCCTTGTGGTCCTGGAAATGACTTCCAGTGTGCAGATGTCTACACCAGCCATGTGGAGCACCTCAGCCTCCACAGCCTCCTCACAGTGGAGGGGTGTAAGGGGCAGTTTGTTTCTTGTGGAGCCCACAGGACAAATGGCAGAGCTCCCTCTGGTTCTAGGGTCCCTCATTGGGGGTACCTGTTCATAGTCATTCCACTCCTTGTCTGAGCTCCCTTTGTCATAGACGTTGTAACCTGTTGATTCCTGATGACACTCTTTTCCCGGTTATGAGGGAGGTAACTACACACTGTGGCCCCTTTGATGTGGGCCCAGCCCTGAAGCTGGTCTACATCTCAGTCTCTGAGTTTCATCATGAAGCCAGAGTCTGGGAGCTTCTGCGAGGTTATGTAAGGCCATGACCCTGAAAGCAGGCATCCCATCTTCCTTTCTCCCTCACCCACACACTGGGCGTGAGGAGTCTTTGGCAGGCTCTTCCTTCTTATGGATGAGGTCAGAGTGGAGAACTAGGTCTCCTTGGGACGTTCATCTCCTGTACTCCAGGCTGTCATGCAGGTCCTCAGACAGGGACACTGGCGCACAAAGAGGCACCAACACTTGAGATTCTGCTCCCCAGGGTTATGGTCTGAATTTTCCCCAAGTAGAATGCTGAATGGAGTCAAAAGTTTTGTGCCGATTTTGTCCTCTTCCTCAGGGTGGGCACTGTCATTCACCATAGGGATCAAAAGGGAGTAACACTTTTGGGGAAATGGGGAAGGCATGTGCTGGGTTGTCCAGCGTGTCCTCAGTCTCTGTGTGTAGCTCCTGGCTTTTGACCCTGCAAAGGGAAGAGGCAGGGCTAGGGATTGAACAAGACTCAAAGTTTAGGGGAACATCGAGATCTGATTTTTCTAGTTGAAGCATAAGCCCTATAATCGGGGTGGGTGATAGATTATATTCTAGGACATTCTTACAGTTCAACATTGTCACACTGAGCACACATGCTGGAAGATTCTTTATTAACGAGAGGGTCAAAATCGTCTTCTCTTTCTTCCATTGACAGTTTCATAGAAACAACTATGTTTTGCACCCAGATTTCATTGGATAGTATAATCTTTAATGGATAATTAATTAAAATAATAAGTACATCGTCTATAAATAAGTTTGCTAACACAAAGAACTGAGTCTTACTCAGCATATAACTTGGAGGAAAGCGTGTGGGTGTTCTAGAGGACAACCTACCAGTCTTGAGCATTTGTCCTTACCTTAGATAATAACAGTATAACTTTTGGAGACAGTGATGCTCGCCAGTATTCCAAAGCTCCTGTACATTTCTCAGTCTTTTCTGCTGTTAGGTTGGGGACATTTGACTAACAGTAACCAATGGAACTTGCAAGTAGGTACATGGTGGTGTATGAGATGCTGGAAACTCCATAATCTGAGTCATTTGAATAACTGTGGAATTAAGTCTCCTTATTGAGTTAAGCCACTGAGATCTACTTTTTACTGTGGGTTAAGATCTACTTTTTACTGTGGGTTAAGATCTTATTGCAACATAACCTTGCCCTTCCTGATTATCATGAAATGTTTAACTTAAGGAAGAAGAGAGTCCTTAAGTTAATAGGGTGAATCAACTGAGTTAATGGAAGTTAAGAGATGAGTTTTTAAAACAAATTAAAAAAATAAAAAGAAAACTTTATTTGAACAAGAAAAAGTTAAGGATGTTACACTTCAAAAGAATTTTGAACTCATTAATTATTTTTAATTGACAAATCACTGTGGATTTACAGGGTACTGTGTGATTTTTTTGATACATGTGATTAAACCAGGCTAATTAACATATCCATCACTTCACTTTTTGGTGGTATGAATATTTAAAATCTCTCTCTGCAATTTTCAAATATACAATACAGTTGGCCCTCTATATCTGTGGGTTTCACATCCTCTCATTCATTCAACTGTGGGTTGAAAATATTTAGAAAAAAATGAAAACTAACAATATAACTATAAAAATAATTCCAATTCAAAAACAATACAGTATAACAACTATTTTCATAGCATTTACATTACATTGGGTATTCTAAGTATAATCTGGAGATGATTTAAAGCATACAGGAGGATAGGCTTAGTTTATATGCAAAAACTAAGACATTTTTAATAAGGGACCTGAGCATTCTCAGATTTTGGTATACAGAGAGGATACTGGAACAAATCCCTCGTGGATGCCGAGGGACGACTGTACATTATTATTAACCGTAGTCACCATGCTGTACAATCGATCTTCAGTACTTATTCCTCCTGCCTAACTGAAACTTTGTACTTTTTTTCTGAAACGGGGTCTAGGTCTGGCTGGGGTGCAGTGGTACGATCACAGCTCACTGCAGCCTTCACTTCCCGGGCTCAATCCATCCTCCCACCTCAGTCTCTGGAGTAGCCGGGACTACTGGCATGTGTGACCATGCCTGGCTAGTTTTTGTATTTTTTGTAAAGATAGGGTTTCACCATGCTGCCCAGCTGGTCTTGAACTCCTGTGCTCAACCAATCTACCTGCCTCAGCCTCCCAAAGTGGTGGGATTATAGGCATGAGCCACCACACCCTGCCCTTCTTTGTACCTTTTGACCAACATCTTCTCATTCCTCCTTGTCCCCCTCCCTGCTACCCCCACTCCCCGACCTGCCATGATTTTGACTTTTTTAGATTCCACAGGTAAGTGAGGTCATGCAGTATTTGTCTTTCTGTGCCTGGCTTATTTCACTTAACATAATGTCTTCCAGGTTCATCCATGTTGTAAAAAATGTAAAAGATTTCCTTCTTTTACAAGGCTGAATAGTATTCCATTGTGTATATGGACCACAGTTTCCTTATACACTCATCTGCTGATTGAGACTTAGGTTGTTAACATCTCCTGGCCATTGTGAGTAGTGCTGCGATGAACATGGGAGTACAGATACCTCTTTGATACACTGATTTCATTTTCTTTGCAGATGTACCCAGCAGTGGAATTGCTGGATGATGTGGTAGTTCTATTTTTATTTTTTAAATAGATAATGAATTTATAAAAAAACATTTATTTGGGTGGGGCGCCGTGGCTCATACCTGTAATCCCAGTACTTTGGAAGGCCGAGGTGGGCGGATCACTAGGTCAGGAGTTCAAGACAAACCTGGCCAACATAGTGAAACCCCGTCTCTACTAAAAATACAAAAATTAGCCGGGCATGGTGGCATTCTCCTGTAGTCCCAGCTATTTGGGAGGCTGAGGTGGGAGAATTGCTCGAACCCAGGAGGCGGAGGTTGCAGTGAACCGAGACCACACCATTTCACTCCAGCCTGGGTGACAGAGCGAGACTGCAAAATAAAACTATATATATATTTTGTTTGTTTGTTTGTTTTCTTCTACATGAATATATACGTATTCCCAGGAACTAGAACACCGTTTCTGTTGTGGATGCTGTTCTGTTCTACCTAAACTCCTCCCTTTGGGACTGAAGGATTTATTCTCTCACTGCTGGGAATGTTGCTGGCTGACAGCCCTTAGCTGTCAGTCATCCCCCAGAATTGCTTTAGGTGATGAAAGCAACCTCATCAGATTTTACTCCACTTCCCAGGAAGAACCCACCTATAATGACTGGTCAGTGTTGGGGTATAAATGTCCTAAACCCTTTCCCTAAATGAAGCCAAATCTGAAGGGATCCTACAGCTTCAGAACTCCCTGGGGGTTAGGATGAAGACTTTTTGACTGAATGATAGTCCAATTTCTAAAACCCTGCTTTAATTCATGAGCCATCTTACATAATTCTTTTGGTTACAAATGTAATTTAAATGTAGTGATCTTTGTGATTTCTTCCTTAACTATGGGCAATTTCTCTTTTCTGCTTCTTGGGAGATGAAGTTATTGGCATTGATACCCTTCCTTTCCCCTCCCCTTTATGCTTCCACTTGCCAAAATGAGATACAGGCACCCTTTTTTCAATATTGTCAAAGCTGACAATTTTGACATTCTGCTGTAACAATAAGCATACTTGGGCTTTGCTCGTAGCTTAATTCTAAAAATTGAAAAAAATAGTTTATCATTTTCTAAATATCACTCATGTATCAGACGTTCTTTGCTTGCCAAGGAACTGCTGTAATAGGATCCCTTTTCAGTGAGGTCCTGGGTTAAATTCAGTTTTCTGGATTCTTTACCTTCCCATTTCCTGATTAACAGTTTTACTTTACTAAGTAATATCCTTAGTCAACTTCTAATAAAACTATGTGTGGTAGGTACAATTTTTGCCTTTTCATATTTCTTGACTTAGTTTTCCAACCTTCCTATTAAATTTTCCAATTGTTTATAGCATTCTATTATTACTCTTACAGATTAAGAATTCTAATTAGAAAGACTTTAAACTTGTTTGCTGTTACATGAGCTTTCCATATTAAATCTGTGATAATTTTCATGTTATTTTATTCTCATCTTCTCTTTCGTGTTGTAAGAGTTTCTCAAACATTTGCTCTGCCTGCCTCAACCTTGTCCCTTACCTACTGTATACCATCTTATTTCATCTCAAGATACACTTCTTCGAGTCACCTCTAATCTCCCCCAAATTATACCTGGTTCCTGTGCAACACTCTCTCACTTTACCTTGTTCTCTTTTCCTTTATAAATTATTCAGAGTTTGTAATTATATGTTTGTGGAATTATGTAATATATGTATATTTCTTCCCACTAGAGTGTAAGTTCTATGAAGACAATGAATGTATCTCTTTTCACATTATTTTAATGATACGTATAACAAAGTATGGTACTTATTGCTATAATGGTACTCAAAGACCATTTTTGCAGTTTTGATGAATTAAGGAATATATAAACAAGTCTGGGGGCTTAGTACAGCCAATAATAAAGGAAAAAGTACTTTGCTTTCCTTTGCTATTATTAGTTCTTGCATACACATTCTTTAGAGTTGCATTTTTGAGAGGTTCCTATAGTCTTAGGCAGGATTTGGATACTTAGGATTTCCCAACTGTGATAAAAATGAGAAAAGCCTAAAAACTAACATAACTTCAAACAGAATGTTTCTCTGCCTATGTTTATGGGACTTTCCTGGAATGCATTTTTTAAAAAACTTTGTATTACAGAAAACTTCAACAGTGTTAGAGAGAAGAGTGCCATGTTTTAACAGCCAAGCTTTAACAATGATCAATTCATGGGCAATTTTGTAAACCCACCCAATTAATCATACATGCACACTGGGTTATTCTGAAGATACTTTCAGATACCATACTTCATTCATAATTATTTTATTATGAAAATCTAAAGTATAATGACTTTTTAGAAACATAACAGCAATGCTATTACCACACTAAAATTAGCTATTTCCTTAATACAGTCGGTGTCAATTTTTCTGATTGCCTCATATCAATATGGTTCATATATTTCTTCAGCCTTTTAAAAATGTATAGCTTCTCTTCTCTTCCCTTCCCTTCTCTTCTCTTCTCTTCTCTTCTTTCTCTCTCTCTGTCTGTCTTTGAATTGTTGCTGAAAAAATTGAGTTATCTAGTGGAAGTTCCCATATTCTGGATCTTGTTGGTTTCATCCCTGTGGTGTCATTCGCTATGGGATTTGTTAGTTGGACTCCAGAAAATAACAATAACACTAATTGTTAACACCTACTGACTACTTACTATGTGCCAGTACAGACTGTAAGTAAAATAAAATGTTTAATTCTTCAAATCCCTAGTTTGTCTGTGGCAAGTACAAACCTGAAATATTTCATGTGATTTTTAAAATTTTGTAAAATTTATTTATTTATTTATTTATTTTTAGAGGTGGGGTCTTGCTCTGTTGCCTAGGCTGGAGCGAGCACAGTGGCACAATCCTAGCCCTCTGAAGCCCTGAACTCCTGGGTTCGCTCCTCTCGCCTCAGCCTCCAGAGTAGCTGGGATTACAGGCGCGCCACCATGCGCTAATTTATTTTTATGTTGTAGAGATGGGGTCTTGTTTTGTTGCCCAGGCAGCTGTTGAACTCCTGGCTTCAAGCAATCCTCCTCCATTGGCCTCCAAACTGTTAAGATCACAGGCACGAGCCTCTGTGACCCACTAATTTTGTAAATTTTAAATAATGTGATATTAAATATTAATGAAGTCACACTTTATGTATATAATCTGAAATAATTCAAATAACTGAAATAATTTTTAAGTATCGCATGATTTAAAATCATGCAGGTTGATCTGTAACCCCATTTATAGTAATGTCAATAATGACCCTACTTTTTTAGCTGATTAAAAAAATTTACTCTTATTTTTTAGAATTAGTTTTAATTCTGCTATTTTAACATTACATAAATACTTTTTGAATACAACCTTTTAATAAAATGCACTATCATTAAATTTGCTTTCCACAGTACTTCTTGAGGAATGAGTCTGAGTTGGGCAGCATTTGTAGATTTCTGTATGACTAGTCATTTTGCCATTCAGTATACCCCTTATATTACACATACACACACACACACACAAGCACACAAATGCACACAACTCCAATATGCTGGATTCTTGCCTTATGAATCATTGAAATTTATATGAAATTTATTTGAAACCCTATTGCTAAAAATTTCTTAGCACATTTGCGCATTTTAATGTGACTTTTTCATACTAAAAGTTTTATTTTATATATTTGGGATCATAATTGGTTACCTTTTTGTCTCCTTTTTAAAAACAGACTTTATTGAATCTATAAATTACCTTGGGCAGTATGGCCATTTTCACGATATTGATTCTTCCTACCCATGAGCATGGAATGTTCTTCCATTGGTTTGTATCCTCTTTTATTTCATTGAGGAGTGGTTTGTAGTTTTCCTTGAAGAGGTCCTTCACATCCCTTGTAAGTTGGATTCCTAGGTATTTTATTCTCTTTGAAGCAATTGTGAATGGGAGTTCACTCATGATTTGGCTCTCTGTTTGTCTGTTATTGGTGTATAAGAATGCTTGTGATTTTTGTACATTGATTTTGTATCCTGAGACTTTGCTGAAGTTGCTTATCAGCAAGCTACCAATGACTTTCTTCACAAAATTGGAAAAAACTACTTTAAAGTTCATATGGAACCAAAATAGAGCCTGCATTGCCAAGTCAGTCCTAAGCCAAAAGAACAAAGCTGGAGGCATCATGCTACCTGACTTCAAACTATACTACAAGGCTACAGTAACCAAAACAGCATGGTACTGGTACCAAAACAGAGATATAGACCAATGGAACAGAACAGAGCCCTCAGAAATAATGCTGCATATCTACAACTATCTGATCTTTGACAAACCTGACAAAAACACGAAATGGGGAAAGGATTCCCTATTTAATAAATGGTGCTGGGAAAACTGGCTAGCCATATGTAGAAAGCTGAAACTGGATCCCTTCCTTACACCTTATACAAAAATTAATTCAAGATGGATTAAAGACTTAAATGTTAGACCTAAAACCATAAAAACCCTAGAAGAAAACCTAGGCAATACCATTCAGGACATAGGCATGGGCAAGGACTTCATGTCTAAAACACCAAAAGCAATGGCAACAAAAGCCAAAATTGACAAATGGGATCTAATTAAACTAAAGAGCTTCTGCACAGCAAAAGAAACTACCATCAAAGTGAACAGACAACCTACAGAATGGGAGAAAATTTTTGCAATCTACTCATCTGACAAAGGGCTGATATCCAGAATCTACAATGAACTCAAACAAATTTACAAGAAAAAAGCAAACAACCCCATCAAAAACTGGGCAAAGGATATGAACAGACACTTCTCAAAAGAAGACATTTATGCAGCCAAAAAACACATGAAAAAATGCTCATCACCACTGGCCATCAGAGAAATGCAAATCAAAAGCACAATGAGATACCATCTCACACCAGTTAGAATGGCAATCATTAAAAAGTCAGGAAACAACAGGTGCTGGAGAGGATGTGGAGAAATAGGAATACTTTTACACTGTTGATTGGACTGTAAACTAGTTCAACCATTGTGGAAGTCAGTGTGGCGATTCCTCAGGGATCTAGAACTAGAAATACCATTTGACCCAGCCATCCCATTACTGGGTATATACCCAAAGGATTATAAATCATGCTGCTATAAAGACACATGCACATGTATGTTTATTTTGGCACTATTCACAAATGCAAAGACTTGGAACCAACCCAAATGTCCAACAATGATAGACTGGATGAAGAAAATGTGGCACATACACACCATGGAATACTATGCAGCCATAAAAAATGATGAGTTCATGTCCTTTGTAGGGACATGGATGAAGCTGGAAACCATCATTCACAGCAAACTATCCCAAGGACAAAAAACCAAACACCACATGTTCTCATTCATAGGTGGGAATTGAACAATGAGAACACGTGGACACAGGAAGGGGAACATCACACACCGGGGCCTGTTGTGGGGTGGGGGGAGGGGAGAGGGATAGCATTAGGAGATATACCTAATGTAAATGACGAGTTAATGGGTGCAGCACACCAACATGGCACATGTATACATGTGTAACAAACCTGCACGTTGTGCACATGTACCCGAAAACTTAAAGTATAATAAAAAAAATAGACTTTATTTTAAAGCAGTTGCTAGTTCACAGAAAAACTGAGCAGAAGCTGCAGAGATATCCCAAAGGTCCCCAACCCCCTGGGCCATGGACCAGTACCAGCTGGTGGCCTGTTAGAAACTGGACCATGCAGTGGACGAGGTAGCATTACCAACTGAGCCCCGCCTTCCGTCAGATCAGTGGTGGCATTAGATTCTCATAGGAGCGCGAACCCTATTGTTAACTGTGCATGCAAAAGATCTAGGTTGCATGTTCCTTATGAGAACCTTGCTAATGCTTTTTGATCTGAGGTGGAACAGTTTCACAGTTTCATCCCCAAATCATACCCACATTCCCCCCACTATCTGTGAAAAAATTGTCTTCCATAAAACTGGTCCCTGGTGCCAAAAACGTTGGGGACGGCTGCCAGATACATTCTGCTCCCACACATGCATAGCCTCCCCCATTAGCAACATTTCCCTCCAGAGTGGTACATTTGCTATAATTTATGAACTTACATTGGCACATCATTATCACCCAAAGTCCATGGTTTACATTGTCTCACTCTTGGTGTTGTACATTCTGTGGATTTGGGCAAATGCATAATGACATTTTTCAACATTGTGGTATCAAATAGAGTAGTTTCATTGCCCTAAAAATGCTCTGTGCTCTGTGATGGACATTTTTTTGATGATCACTTGTTCAGACTCCCTTGCTTACTGATTCCTAGTCTGCATTTTAAATTATTTTCTCCTTGAACTTTCTTCACCTCCTCCCCAAAGTAAACATGCATAAACATCTGTTGCATATGAAATACTTTGAATAAAGACTTATAGGCCACAAGGAGGGAATATATCCCTTCTTAAAGAGTTGAAAACCAAAGTGAAATATTACGATTTCTCATCCTAAGAGTTCTCTTAGCAATTGATCTCAGCCTCTCTCATTTTGGAGAAAACAATATCCTGCAATGATCATATGAAAAGAAATTCACCCATAGTTCTACATACATTTGAATCTCCTAAATCATTAAGGGGCTGAGAAAAACAAAAGTACTTTTCATATAACGTGATCCATTCTTTTAAATAAATTAATTATAAATATAACCACAATGTTTTCTTGTGTATTTATGTACTATATGTAAGGCATTGACTATATATCAAGATTATTCAAATTCCATCAATAGCTCTGCAAGGAAAGTATTATTACTCCTCCATTGTGGAAGAGAAAAATAAGGCCAGAAATGTTAGATACTTTACCCATTTATAAAGTTTAAAATACTAGCTTCAAAGTACTGAATCCTTGATTTGGATTTAGGGTTCTTTGCACCAAACTATACTGTATCAATTAATGTGTTAATATTTTGTCTTTTTTCTCCAATTAAAATTTAAACTCACTGATGCAGGTAGCATGGATAGAAATACCCTCACAGATTTCATAGCTGTTTAGAGCCATGGGGTCACTGCTGACCATTTCCTCTGGGAGAGTTTCTGCTAGGAAATGGCCAATCCAGTGGAGGACACAGCACCCACAGCTGCTGCTACATTGTCTCAACTGTGTTGTTCCTCCTAGGGTTTCTCTCATAAGCTAGTGCTTTCCTTAGCCAGGAGGGGTGAGGGGAAAGGGCTGGGGATTTCTGAAGATACTGGCATTGTTTTGTATCGGCATGTTTCCTAGAAACATCCTGCCATATCCACTATACTGTCTGCTTCATGCAAGGGTGGCACAGGGAAAGCTACGTGGTTATCTAGCAAAGCTTCATTCAGGAGGTGAGGCAGACTGCGCCTCTATTCAGGGCTCCTAGATATGTCTGTGGCTTCTACTCCTATCCCTTTTCCCATTGTCACTAACCCTATGTGAGGAATAAGTATTTGTTCCTTTTCAGATACCCACATTACTGTCTTTTTCTAATGTTTTTCTGACTTCCATTTCTTTTCCTACCTAAAGAATTTTTATTCCCTAAAGGCGAGGAGGGGAGAGGAAGGCTTCTACTGTCATCATTCTTTACAAATGCAAAGTTTTGAGAATAAATTTTTACTTTTGATATTTTTGTGATTCAAAGTTCCTTTATCCTAATTTATTTCTCCATCATACTTTTAAAAGCCATATTGAAATTAGTACAAACTTATTTTTTGGTTTTAAAATTTTTGCTATAACAATTCTGAGCAAAGGGCAGAGAGTATCCATTAACTTCATTGTTGCCTGAATTGAGGGATGGGCGGCAGTGCCAAGGGTGAGAACACAAAGAAGAAAGAAATATTAATGTCAGCTAAGAAATCAACATATTATCAGGCTATATTGTACTTGGTTGCTTCTGTGTTACTGGATATGAAATATGATCTGGGAAATGAGATGAAATTGGCTTGAAACATGAGAGTGTCACAATTCTTAGCCATAGGTTCAGTCAGCCCCGGATGAAAGATAGAAAAATTTGACATAGATCTCTTAAAGGGAATTTATTGCTTCCATGGAGATTTTAGATCGATGTTACTGAGGAATTAGGTAGCTGGGCGGCTTACCCCAGGCATCTCTTAGTAGGTAACACCTGAGAAAAGAAAAAAAAATCAGGAGGTCAGGGAAAGAATTCAAAGGCATTTGTGAGCTCTGAGGGGATACAGAAGCTTAAGAAAAAAAAAGCAGAGAAAAGGTAAGAGGAGAAACATTTGCAGGAGAAAAAGGGTATGATAAATCGGGCCAGAGAATAGTGCTAGGTCATGTAGCAAGTCCACTCTTCCGCTGCTGTAGATGGTGATGCACCTGCAACAGGACAGACATGAGATCGATGGGTCCAAGGGGGCTCCTGTGTCATCATCATGCCACTTCCCAATTCCCCTACAACTTTCAACCACATTCATGTCCACAGCCTCCTCCCACTTTCCTTCCTGCAGCTTCAGCTCTAACAAATCTCAATCTTACCTTCCTTTTCAGGATGGGATTCACAAGGGCCCTTGGTGTCTGGAAGCACCAACTGAACGCAGGCCTCGGATGATCAAGACGGTCCCCACCACAATGCCCACGAGGCCCACAGACAACCCCAGGGCGCAGACCACAGTCTCTGTGAGCTCTGACATAGGTGTTGGAATCTCAGGCTCTGTGGAAGTGAAGTTGTTGAGGTCAGAATGCAGAGTTTGCTCATGTGCATGTGTGTGGGATGGGATGGGGTAGAGGGTTGGCTCTGCAAAGACTCAAGGCCCCCAGCTTAGGGAGGAGAGTGAAGTCTGTTATTAGAAACCCATGAAGTGGCAGGCCTGCTCCCACCCTGTGGAGTGTACTTTCTTTTTTAATAAATCTGTGCTTTTGTTGCTTAATTCTTTCAAAAAAAAGACAAAAGAAACTCATGAAGTGTGGAAAACAAGTTTTGGGATATAGAGTAAAAGGCAGGAAGTTCTGAACTTGACAGACAAGAAAGCATCAAAAAATGGTGAAACTCATCCTTACCCCAGTGTTTCAGAAGAGGCTCATCCAGGCCCCAGTGCTCCACCTTGCAGTCATAAATCTCATCAGCAGAAGGGAGGAAGGTGAGGTAACTGATCTTGAAGAAGGAATGATCACTCTTGGAGAGGAAGCTGGTCTCAGAAACACCTTCTGTGACTGAGTGCCCATTGCTCAGCCAGGTGATGTTGACCACAGGAGGAAAGATGTTGTCCACAAGACAGATGAGGGTGTTGGGCTGACCCAGTGTCACGGGAGACTTGGAAAACACTGTGACCTCAGGAACCTCTATGGTGAGGAAACAGCACTGGTGTAAAGTGTGAATAGCTCTGCCCTGAGCTTCTTCTGCATTACATCCTGGAAGAGTCTTCCTACCAGCATTTCCTCTCCTGCTGGTCAAAGAGGCCTTATTTACCTCTTTGGGTAAGCAACGACACATTGTAACGACACATTTGGGAGCAACGACACATTGCCTCTGCTTTACTCCTGTGCCCTTCTCTCTGTGGGCATGTTTAATAAAGTAGAAGGTTGATGAGACCTCTCCTAGAAGGATTTAATGAATGCATAATGGAAAGACCCTTGTATTACATTGGAATATGTGATTTTAGAGATGAGAAATGATAAAATTTCAGCAATTGCCATGAGAAGATCTGGGGACCTCTTGGAAAGAAAATAATGAAACTTGGTATAAAGGGATAAATCAGTAAAGAAAGGCAGAATGGTGGACACATACCATTGGTAGCAGCGGTAGAGTTGGAGCGTTTAATCACGATGTTCAAGTTATGTTTTAGCACAGCGATGTTTGTCAGTGCAAATTGCGGGTCAAATCTTCTAAATCTGCGGAACAGAGGCAACTGCCAGACAGTCTCCTTCCTCTCCAGGTCCACATAGAACTCCTCGTCTCCATCAAATTCATGGCTGTACTGCCCAGAGGGACCATAAGACTGGTACAAGTTTACACCGTAAGAGGCAACATGGTCAGCTGATGAGTGAAGATGACAAGCAGGAAGGCAGAGAACAGGGGAATAAAGAACCTTAATACACAAAATGATGGAAGAAACTGACTTTCAGATATTATGGGCTTTGTCTTTGGCAAAGTCTGTGGACATTTCCAGCCCCTGCTTCCTCCCCTCTTCGTGTTGATAGTTGTCCGGTTAAAAGTGCACTTTCTTTCCCACTACGGTGTGTGCTACACAAGGGCAGAATATCGCGTGTCCAATTTTCACTATTTCCTGAGTGCCTGGCACATCATAGACTTGTGATTAAATAATGTAAATGAACAAAAGAAGGAATGAATGAGTTATCAGAGTACTTAACTTTCTTAGTCATAGATTAACTTCCCTCTGCTTCCTAAGGTTTATCTTTCACTTAATTCTTTCATCAGTTAATAACAAATTGATTATACTTCCTTTCCTCTCAGGACTGGCTCAGAACAGGACATTCTACACAGAGATCTTTCTTTTTTTAGAAAAAGGAAAAGCATGCAGGATCTTATTAATTTAAAATAATTTCTGCTAACAATGGTAGGGTATAAGAAAGAGTATAACAAGAAGGGTAATAACATTACAAAATATATGATAAGTAAATAATGCTTCCTTCTAAGGTCTCTGTTTTGTTAATAGTAATGGTCCTTAGAGGAGAGTAACTGATTTCTTCTGAAATGAAAAAGTGGAAGCTCTACTAGTTTTTGGATTTCTGTCATTCCCCCCACCTTTTTTTTTCCTCTGAAGGAGGTTACTAAATGTCTGCAGTGTTCTGACTCAACATTTGTATTCACCCTTTTTCCTTTAATGGGCAGTGTGCTTCTCTGAGGATGCCAGAGCAGAATGGCAGCCATGCAGTATGACTCCAGCCAAATGAGCCAAACTGAACATTCTGCTCAAGACATGTGTAAGCCTTTTACCATCGTATCTTTCCTTCCTTCCCCACTTTCTGAGCATCCACAAGTATCAGACATAGCAGGGGATGTGTAAAACACCGATCAGGCATGGTCTACCATTAAGGAACAAACTGAATAGTGGGAGAGTCAGGTAGGTAAGGGAGCAGATACAATGTACTGTAGTAAGTTCTGCGAGGAGGATATTGACAGCCTTACAGTCCAACATCTTTCACAAGTATCTGCCAAGCAAACCAAACTACATTATCCTTTCATGTTCCTGGTCTTTGCAGTGGTCTGTTGTTTTTCTCCCTGAAATGAAATTAACTTTTAGGACTTCCTGGAGAAATCATAAAATCAATCCTTGAGGTTTCTGCTTAAGTTAACAACTTTGTAGCTAAGTCCTCTCATCAACATGTTTTTGACCACGTTATGACCTCCATCTCCTCCATCTCAACATCTGGCCATCCAAGTTTGTCTGTTCCTCTTCCAGCTCACCTTCTTCCCTATCCAGTATGACCACCCTGGATGGTCTTAACAGGCCACCAACAAAACCTCCTTATCCTTGCAATAAACCTTGACTCTTTGTTCAAACATAAATATATATGGAATATATGCAATCCTTCTTTTCATCTGGTTATCCTGCTGGCCCAGCTGGAACCAAGTCACTTGTATAGTTTCAGCCTCTGCTGAGTCCACTGCCTGCTCAGCAATGGCCTTCTGCTTTCTTTCATCCCATACTGTTTCCATCACTAGTCTGAGCACCCTTTGCAGAGGAGACAGCATGACTTTTCATCTTTGAATCCTTAAAACTTAGCTCACTGGGTGCTCAAACATGTGTATTGAATGACAGTTGTTATATTTGAGGACCACATAGATTTTGGGGAAGACTGACAGGCACATAGTTAGCAGAACCACACGAAGGCCAGGATCAGCCATGATCAGGGTTGCGTTCTGACATGTGAGCCCCAAGCACTCTTGCTTGTGTGGACGCCTTCCTCCATAAAAATATGGAAAACTATATTTTATGACTGAATTGGTATAAAGACAATATAATCTAGGCTGAATTAAAAGTTAAAACATTTTCTTAGGCTCTACAATTTCATTTTTTTATAATTTTAAAAGGAGTTAAAACATTCTCATGTGGCTTTACAGTCTGGAGGGTCCCCTGCACTGCCCACATTGTGCCTAATGGATGAGCTGAGCCTGACCAGGGCACTCTGGTGTGAGGTTGAAGAAAGGAAATTTGGAACAAAGAAGCCAAGCGCTCTGGAGGAGCGGGTGAAACTTCCACTGCTGAACAAAATCAGAATGGGAGCAGCCATGGTTAATAAGGTTGTGAAAGTTTAGAGTACCTTCCAGTTCACTTCCCCTTTTAACTATCTGACTTTTCAACTTTTGTTTTACAAACTCACTGTCCATCTCTATAAAGGAGCAGGGAGTCAGAGATGGATCCTGAAAGGGAAGAGGGAGAAAGGAATGCATGAAGAGAGGTGGGAAGAGATGGACGACAAAGGCAGAGGAGACAAAGAGACCAAATAATTAATCTGTGCTTCCTTCCTTCCGTTTTCTTTCTTTCTTTCTTTTTTCCTTCCTCCCTTCCCTTTCTCCTTCCTTCCTTCCTTCTTTCCTTCTTTCCTTCCTTTCTCTCTTTCTTTCCTCTTTCTTTTTGAGACAGAGTCTCTCTCTGTTGCCCTGGCTGGAGTGTAGTGGTGCCATCATGGCTCACTGCAGCTTCCACCTCCTGGACTCAAGTGCTCCTCCCACTGCAGCCTTCTGAGTAGCTGGCACCACAGGCATGCACCACCACACCTGGCTAATTTTTATTTTATTTTTTGGTAGAGATGAGGTCTTGCTATGTTGCCCAGGCTGGTCTCAAACTCCCAGGCTCAAATGATCCTCCTGCTTCGGCCTCCCAAAGTGCTGGGATTACAGGCATGAGCCACCATGTCTGGCCCACTTTTCTTTTTATAGGACTTTATTAGATGAGGTGAAGAACAGGTAATTTGGGTTGATAATTTGAGAATAAAATGATTTAATTTACCAATTTTTTCTACTTCTCAATTTTAAACTAAAAGGATCCCTTATTTTGCTAAAGAAAAATGTGAAGCTATACCTGTAATAGAAATATGTAAAAACAATTGACATCCATGTTTTCACTATTTACAAAGCTTAGCTACATGCCCATTTTATTTGATTATTTGTGAGGTGACACATATGAGGCAGCTGAGAGTAAGTGAGGACCATGTGGTAAAATGATTGTTGAAGGCATTCAGCCTGCTGGACTCCTTTACCCACTCCCCACCTGTGCCAGTTCCCATGTGGAAATGTGAGTAAGTCTGAGAGAAAGAAACGGGCAACTTTTTTAATATCTATAGAGTATATAATTGATGGAACGACCCCAAGATCTACTACAGGAGACATACGAAAAGCTTCAAAAGTTGTTCAGGGAAATTTGAGAATGACACTTCATACATTTTTAATAATAAAAAATTATCCACTGATGGAAACTTCACTAATTTTTGAGGCAATCATGACGGAACGACATAGAGACCTCCAGGCTGTTGTCACTGAATATAATATAAACAGAATAGCATCCTTAGTGAACACAAAAGCATACATAACAAAAAGAGTAGGTTGGGGCTCTGGTTTCCTGAAGGAGGAACAGCTATAATTTTTAATTCTCTTAATACTGAAAGGGGTCTTAGGAAATCTCTACAATTTCTCTGCAAATCGCTTTCTCTCTTTTCCTTCAATTTACTGTTTTTCAGCTCCAGAGAACATTCCTCACTCATGCACTCACCCACAATGTCTTCACCTCCACAAGGGCTCATCACGGTGGTCAGGGCGAGGGCCCCCAGCATCAGAGCTTTGTTTAGGATCATCCTCTTCCCAAGGCAGCCTCAGCAGTTGCTGTTCTGAGCTGTAGAGCAATTGTGAGGGCCTCAAGACAAGGAAATCTGAAGACACCCAAACCAAACCCTGCCAGGTCAGGTTTTGGCCAATTAGAAAAATCCCCCATGGTGACATCTCAGTTACTAGCTGAAGAGTTTGTATTAAGAGCCCTGGAAGGAGACAGGGCAATCCCCTTGTTGTGATGCAGCCTCTACTCAGAGTGGACTTGAGGAATTGTTCTATGAACAGAGGGAGGACACTAAATTGGAATCTTCTCTGGTGTGTGCATGTCTGCCATTCGCAAGAGGGATGGGCATTTTTCTTTTTTTTTCTTTTTCTTTTCTTTTTCTTTTCTTTTCGAGACGTAGTCTCACTCTGTCACCCAGGCTGAGGTACAATGGCATGGTCTCGGCTCACTGCAACCTTTGCCTCCCAGGTTCAAGCGATTCTCCTGCCTCACCCTCCCGAGTAGCTGGGACTGCAGGCGGCTGCCACCATGCCCGGCTAATTTCTGTATTTTTAGTAGAGACAGAGTTTCACTATGTTGGCCACGCTGGTCTTGAACTCCTGACCTCATGATCTGCCTGCCTCAGCCTCCCAAAGTGCTTGGATTACAGGCATGAGCCACCGTGCCTGGCCAGGGGAGGGCATTTCTGAGCAGCCTCATGGATAGATGAGGTCATCAGTTATATGGCATCCTTCAGGATTTTCTGGGTTACAACCTCCAGGAATTTTTCCCTGAGTTGATTTCCCTCCCTGGCAGTCCCCATCCCGTGCCCTTTCTCTGGCTTCTGTATGTGGGTTAGCTGTTTTTCTTTTTGCTTCCATAGTGCGTGTGGAATTCTCCAAATGTTAAGTTGACCCCACCTACCTAGGGATCTCTGCTGGTGGTAGCCAAGCAATACCTTTGCCTTTTCTACTTGTATAAATCCAGCTGGGTAAGTTCTTCTCAAGCACTCAAAAGATCCAAGTGGTTTTGGCCAGGGCAATAAAAAGGGGTTATAATGTCAGATGGTGCTGTCTATAGTAACTGTATGAGACTTTATACAGTTTTTCTTTGCATTGAGTAATCCTTACATTCTGTGTTTTGGTGCTTCTTGAGTATGTTTAAAGGAAATTTGGGGACATTGATTACATTTAAAATTTGGCTGGCTCAATTACTCTAAGAACTTTTTTTAAAAAAATTAAGAATATGAAGTCAAAAGTTGAGGGTAGAATAAGAAGAATTGCACTGACTTAGAAAAATGGTTTTCTTTTCTTAAACTACCAGATCTTTTAAAACTTGTTATCCTACCCCATTAAAATTCCAAATATTTGCAAGGGACTAGAGATTGAGCTAAAGTTAGTCCTTAGAGGGAAACTTATTATATTTTTTCAGATGCATCTATTTTCTGTATGTGATAGAAACCATAAGTTAATGGAGCTTCTATTTAGAAACACTCTGTCCTTGATAAATGGCCTTCTGAGATTCTCAGCACTATGTTTTACCTCCCACTGGCAGAGACTGTAAAAAAAAAAGTGAAACAAAAAAAAAATGTCCTGACACCTGAGAGCTGTCTGGATGGAATTAACGAAGGCTTGGGGTTGCTAGCAGCTAGCCTGGCACTCCCAGGTGGTTTTGGTTCTCCTGTTGGAGATAAAGGATTTCATAGAACATCAGAATCAGACAGGTACTCTGTGAGCACAGTGGATTGAGACAGAACACCTGAATGCTCAGTCATCATGTCTGAACCCAGACAAAACATGAATATTGTCCAAACCACAAAAATGACCAGGCACATCTCTCTCTTGGGAGTGATTACTGCTTCTTTACCAACCACGTCTGTAGCCTCAGGATAGTCTTCTGTCCCTCTAGGTAGGATTTATGAAGCTACCCAATCATAACATTGCCACCCCAACCCTCCACTTTCTGTCAGAATCCAATTAAAAGCAAAATCCCTCTTTCTTAAATCCTCCCCAAAATCACCTAAAACAAGCACAAACCTTACAACTGATTAATGGTCAATTTTATGTGTCAGCTAGACTGTGATCCCCAGTTATTCAGTCAAACACTAATAATCTAGATGTTGCTGTGAAGATATTTTGTAGATGTCATTGAAGTTCATAATCAGTTGACTTTAAGAATTTATCCTAGGAAAACTGGGTGAGCTTAATCTAAGCTGTTGAAAAGCCTTAAGAGCAGAGCTGAGGTTTCTCTGAGGAAACAGAAATTCCACTCTGGACAGTGTGTCAGCCTGTGCTGAGAGTTCCAGCCTGCCCTTCCTGATAACTACCTCCCAGAGGATCTCTGACTTGCCTAGCCCACCCCCACAGATGCAAAAATTAATTCCTTGCATCATTCTCTTAATATATGTATTCTCGTGGTTCTACTTCTTTGGTTCCAACAATCTCTTACTGAGGGGCTGCATGATTCTCATGGTGAGTTTTATCCATCATTGCAATAAACAATAAAGCTGACTTGTTCATTGCTTGTATGCTCCTGCTGGTCTTTGGCTGGAGGCATTGAGGTACCTCATTAGGCAGTTGTGAGAAATGTACATACACTGCACTTGGAATGAAAAATTCCTGGACTCTTTACATATACTTGTCATATTTTAATATCGTTCTCATTTTCCGAGGAGGACATTAAAGCCCAGAGAGTTGAAGGACTTTTCCCAGGGTCACGCAGCTGATAAGCAGCACAGATGTGATGCTATGGGGCAAGCCATGAGTCCTTGTGAGGAGTGATGGGTGAGAGTCTCCTTCTGTGCGAATTCAGAATCCAGTGCCTTAACATGATTAGGAGAGATATTTGACCCTATAGGTGGCTTTATTCTTTCTAGCTCCTGCCATTGTGGATGAAGAGGGTTTTTGAGGTCCCCTTTGAGATGTGCTCCCTTTGCCACTCAATATCCTTCTGGCTGTGTAGCAAATAACATGTTTTTATCTTTTTTCCTGTATCCAGACTTACCTGCTTTGTATCTCATGGAAATTCCTTAGGACTTTGGCAAATGAGCAAAATGTTTTGGGATGGTAGTCCAGAATTTCACCTATTAAAATTACAGTTTAAATAACTCAACTCCAGTTAAGAAGTTAGGGTGTTAAATGTAGGATTACAATTGTATCTTGGATGGGAAGTTGAGGGTGCCGTTTCAGACCTCACATCCTGTGGGGTGAAGGGAAAGTCCAAGCAAGGCAAAGTCATTGAAGAGATAATAGACGCCATTTCTTTTTTTCTTTTTTTGAGACAGTCTTGCTCTGTCGCCCAGGCTGGAGTGCAGTGGCGTAATCTCGGCTCACTGCAAGTAGCTGGGACTACAGGCGCCTGCCACCACGCCCGGCTAATTTTTTGTATTTTTAGTAGAGATGGGGTTTCACTGTGTTAACCAGGATGGTCTCGATCTCCTGACCTCGTGATCTGCCTGCCTTGGCCTCCCAAAGTGCTGGAATTACAGGCGTGAGGCCACGACTGGCCCAATAGATGCCATTTCTATCTTTAACCTAGTTTTGTCTCTTTCCTCTTCCTGCTTCATCCGGCCATAACACAGTGAACGTTGTTCCAGTTGCTTCTGTCTTCAGGTCATAATTTTAATGTAAGGTAAAGTAATAAGTAAATGAGACTCAGAAGAACAGCATACCATTTTAACAAGAGCTAATTTGTTACCTTTGTCTAGTAGAAAGAGAAAAGGCCCTCTTCATAAATTAATAGTGGGAATAAAATTTGGAGTTCAAAATAGTACTTTGTCCAACAATTTTCTCAGAAAGCACTTATTGACATGCCATTGATTCCATGACTAAAATAACAATGGGATGTGCCATTATAATTGACATCATTAAGAGCCCTCTAAGAAATTAGGTAGAATTTATGTTAGTTCTAATAAACAGTTATAACATTCTCTAAGACTGTATATTTTCAAATTGCTTTAGTCTGACTTTATGCACTGGTGAAGTTTTACTCTGAAGGCCAAGACTTCTGTCTTGCAGTAGTTAAAGCTGCTTCACAATAATAAGAGAGTCTAGAGTAGCAAAGTAAAAAGAATACAGATTTTGTAATAAGATAAATATGTATTCCATGCTGCTTTTCATTTTATCAGCTGCATCACCTTGGGCAAGCTACTCAAAACACCTGAGCCTTAAGGTTATTTTCTATAAAACAGAAGGAAAATTATTGGATGATAGTTAATATGGTAAAATGAAATGATAGATAAGTACAATTATAAAGTTAAATACAATCCAGTGTCTGACACATAGCAACTATTCCCAAGTGGTAACTCCTATATAAAGACAAATATTAATAATGATAATGATAATAACATCATGCTTTGGGCTGGGAAAGCCTATCAATTTTTCCTCATTCATTTAACCTTCTCCCTGTAGCACTCCAGGCATGTGGGAGCCTGTGAGCCACAGAAGCACTAAGACATTGCTGAAAAACAAAATTTTTTTGAAGACTCTTGTATCTGTCAGATTTTTTTATGTAACAAAGTACTCCAAAACTTAATGACTTCAAATAATTGTTTAGTGTCTCCTCATGATTCTGTAAGACAGGAAATTGTGCTCAACCCACCTGAGTGGTTTTTATATACTGGGCAGGTTCAGCTTTTCTCAGGTGGGCTCCCTCACATCTCTGTAGCATCAATAGGTTTGGCAGGGATAGGAGGCCTCTCTCAATCCATGTGGGCTCATTATCCGGCAGGCGGGCTGAGGCTTATCACAGGTGCTGGAAAGCTCTCCTGTGCAAGATAGAAACAGTAGGTGTCTTGAGCTGAAACTTAAAACTCACAACATCACTTCCATTACATTCTGTTATTCAAAGCAAGTCATAGTACTAGCTCACATCAAGAGGTGGATTAATAGATTGCATTTCTTGACAGAATGGGCTACAAAGAATTTGTAGCTATTTTTGCAACTTATCATAAATATCCTCTGGCTTTTGACAATATGTAAATGAATTTGGTGTGCAAGCATTGGAGAGCCCCCATATTTGAAATAAATTCCACCCACTCACCTACCAGTCAAGATCTTATCTTTACTAATCTGCACTAAAAACACAGTGAAGCTTTCTCAAGGGAGACTTGAACTAAGAACTGTTGAATTCCAGTATGAATAAGGTGCTACAATTTATTCTTATAAAAACTTTATGGAGTTTTAGAAATGAAAATACAGAATTGTGAAGAATTGTAAGTAATCTCTTATGACTGCCAAGCTCATATTCTGATACAAAGTCCTGTATGCTGATATCCAGTCACGTGGCCTCTCACAATCATAAAATTAATGAAGCAGAGGAAACTTATAAAAACAATTGTTATTTAATATCATTTCCACCAATTCTTTATCAGCAACAACTCCTATGTGTGTGAACTAGTTGTTTTAAATAACTCACTTGAATAAACTGCACAATAAAAAATAATATGAGGAGGCCAGGCGCGGTGGCTCACGACTGTAATCCCAGCACTTTGGGAGGCAGAAGCAGGCGGATCACGAGGTCAGGAGATCAAGACCATCCTCGCTAACACAGTGAAACCCCATCTCTACTAAAAATACAAAAACAAAATTAGCCAGGCGTGATGGCGGGCGCCTGTAGTCCCAGCTACTCAAGAGGCTGAGGCAGGAGAATGGTGTAAACCTGGGAGACAGAGCTTGCAGTGAGCCGAAATCGTGCCACTGCACTCCAGCCTGGGTGACAGAGTGAGACTTCGTCTCAAAATAATAATAATAATAATAATAATATGAGGAAAGATTGCTTTGTAATGCTATTCTACTGAAAAACATGCAAAATTACCTCCATGTCCAGATCTACCTTCTCCATAGCTCCAGAGTATTCTACAGCTAAACCTAAGAGGTTATTTCATGAAGACTTTGCAGAGACTATGGTATGTAATCAATAAATACTTGTTGACTTGGACTGAAATTCTTAATCATCTGAATCAGTTTACAGAGCTGACTGTCTGGAGACTGATATTCCTCATGTCCAGCAGTGATTGATTCTCCTCCCAGGAACTCCCCAGTCCTAATGTACATATTGTAAACATTCTTTGTATAGATCTTTTAATTTACTTACTTAATTTTAGAGATGGAGTCTCACTGTGTTGCTCAGGCTGGCCTCAAACTCCCAGGCCCCACCTCAGTCTTCCAAGTAGCTGGGACTACAGGGGCACACCACCCCACCCGGCTATACAGATACCTTTCCTTAGCATTAATCATTAAACAAATGACAAATAATTTTTAATAAAAGCTTTAAAAGCAAGTGCTGCCCAAAGCAATTTATAGATTCAATGCTATTCCTATTAAAAAATACCATTGAGATTCTTCACAGAACTAGATAGAGCCTGAACAGTCAAGGCAATCCTAACCAAAAAGAACAAAGCTGGAGGCATCACACTACCTGACTTCAAACTACACTACAGGGCTACAGTAACCAGAACAGCATGGTACTGGTACAAGAACAGACACATAGAGCAATGGAGCAGAATAGAGAACCCACCAGAAATAAGACCTCATACCTACAACTATCTGATCTTCAACAAGCCTGAGGAAAACAAGCAATGGGGAAAGGATTTCCTATTCAATAAATGGTGCTGGGAGAACTGGCTAGCCATATGCAGAAGGTTGAAACTGGAACTCTTCCTTACACCATATACAAAAATTAACTTAAGATGTATTAAAGACTTAAATGTAAAACGCAAAACTATAAAAACCCTGGAAGACAACTTAGGCAATACTACCCAGGACATAGGCATCGGCAAAAGTAATTGCAACAAAAGCAAAAATTGACAAATGGGATCTAATTAAACTAAAGAGCTTCTGCACAGCAAAAGAAACTATCAGCAGAGTGGACAGACAACATACAGAATGGGAGAAAAGTTTTGTAAACTATGCATCCAACAAAGGTCTGATATCCAGCATCTATAAGAAACTTAAACAAATGTACAAGAAAAAAACGAACAACTCCATAAAAAAGTGGGCAAAGGGCATGAACGGACACTTCTCAAAAGAAGACATACATGTAGCCAACAGTCATATGAAAAACAGCTCAACATCACTGATCATTAGAGAAATGCAAATCAAGACCACAATGACCATCCCACACCAGTCAGAATGGCTATTATTAAAAAGTCAAAAACTAACAGATGCTGATGAGGTTGTGGAGAAAAAGGAACGTTTATACACTGTGGGCGGGAGTGTAAATTAGTTCAACCATTGTGGAAGACAGTGTGGCAATACCTCAAAGACCCAAAGGCAGACATGTCATTTGACCCAGCAATCCAATTACTGGCTATATACCCAAAGGAATGTAAATTGTTCTATTATAAAGATACGTGTACACGTATGCTCATTGTAGCACTATTCACAATAGCAAAGACATGGAATCAACCTAAATACCCATCAATGATAGACTGGATAAAGAAAATTTGGTACATATACACCGTGGAATACTACGCAGCCATAAAAAAGAATGAGATCGGCCGGCACGGTGGCTCACGCCTGTAATCGCAGCACTTTGGGAGGCCGAGGCGGGCAGATTATGAGGTCAGGAGATCAAGACCATCCTGGCTAACACGGTGAAACCCTGTCTCTACTAAAAATACAAAACATTAGCCAGGCATGATGGCTACTCGGGAGACTGAGGCAGGAGAATGGTGTGAACCCAGGAGGCGGAGCTTGCAGTGAGCCGAGATCGTGCCACTGCACTCCAGCCTGGCCGACAGAGAGAGACTCTGTCTCAAAAAAAAGAAAAAAGAATGAGATCATGTTCTTTGCAGGGACATGGATGGAACTAGAGACCACTATCCTTAGCAGACTAATACAGGAACAGAAAACCAAATACCGCATGTTCTCACTTATGAGTGGGAGCGAAATTATAATAACACATACATGGACACATAGAGGGGAACCACACACACTAGGACCTATTGAAGAGTGGAGGGTGGGAGGAGGGAGAGGATCAGGAAAAATTACCATTGGTTACTAAGCTTAATACCTGGGTGATGAAATAATCTATAAAACAAACCCCTATGACACATATTTACATGTTTATGTAACAGACCTGAACATGTACCCTTGAACTCAAAAGTTTAAAAAATGCTCTAAAATGAGGTTTCTCAACCTGAGAACTATTAATATTTTGAGCCAGAGGATAATGTTTTTTTTTGTGGGAGGCTGTCATGTGTGTTATAGGACTTTTAACAGCACCCCTGGCCTCTACCCAATACATGCTGGTAGCAGCCTCCCCATTAGTGACAACAAAAACTATCTCCAGACATTGTCAAATGTCACTTGAGGGGAAAATTGCCCCCATTTAAGAATCATTGCTTTATAAGGTAACAGACTCTCTAAAATAAAAATAGTAGCAATGTATTGTGTGTTTATGGAATATGAGAAAGAAATTATATGACAATTGCACAATGAATAAGAGAGAAATCTGGAGTATGCTAATCTAAGGTAGATTTGAAGATAGATTATTCATATATGTAAAATTCTAGGGCAACAACTAATCCAAAAGAAAGCAAAAAATGATTATAAAAATAAATATTTCATAGAATTAATAGAAATATCTAGTAAAAATAATTCAACCATATTAATAAGTACATTAAATATAATTGGTCCAGACAGACCAATTAAATGATAGAGAAGAACAGATTGAATAAAAATGGAATATTGAACTATAACCTATCAGCAACCCATTTTAAATATAAAGACATACCTTCATTAAAAGTAAAAAGAAGGGAAATATATACCATGCAAAAGAAATCAAAAGAAATTCAGAATGATTATGTCAATACTAGACAAAGCAGAAATTGGAGCGAGAAATGTTAATAGGGATAAAGACAGACATCACTTAATGATAAAGGGTTATTTCTCTAAAGAGACATAACAATCTTAAGTGCATATGCACCTAAAAACAGAGCTTCAAAATACAGGAGACAAAGTTGACATAAAAGAAAGGAGAAATAGAAAAATCCAAAATTATCATTGGAGATTTTATACTCATTTCTTAATATTTCATAGAAAAAATAAGCAGAAAGTCAGTAAAGATATAGAATAACTGAACAATGCTATCAAGTAACTTGACTAAGTTACATTTACAGAACACTCCACCCAACAGCAGGAAAGTACATAATTTGAAACTGTATTAATTCTATCTACTATATTTCTCTCTCTGTGAACACCATGTTCTTCTCCACTTACTCATCTCTTGTGGTCTCAAAGAAGTTTTATAACATTTTCTTTGATGATTCTTTATATTCCTTGTTAAATACTTTTCATATTATTTTGCTCTTGCTAATGGATACTTTTTTCCTTCCTCCATCACTAAATATTTTTTCTTACAGTCTTCATGGCTTAGTCTGCCAGAGACAGATGATGCTGCTTCCCACCGGGTTCTGATTTGCTGAAGAGGAAAATATTTAATGTCTTATTTTGCTTTCACTTAAACCCAGCTTCTGCAAGGGCCAATGGTCACCAAAACCTGACTAGAAGGGAGTGAGGCTGTGGAGATTGGGGATTGGGGTGAGGAATTGTAAATAACACATGATACATGGGTGTCCTTTCAGCGCCCTCTGTCTGGAAAATTAACTAACCAGAGAAGTGAAGGGTTCAACAGTCAGATTAAAGAACAGGTAGGCCGGGCGCGGTGGCTCATGCCTGTAATCCCAGCACTTTGGGAGGCCAAGGTGGGTGGATCACCTGAGGTCAGGAGTTCAAGACCAGCCTGACCAACATGGTGAAACCCCATCTCTACTAAAAGTACAAAATGAGCTGAGTGTAGTGGCACATGCCTGTAATCCTAGCTACTTGGGAGGCTGAGGCAGGAGAATTGCTTGAACCTGGGAGGTGGAGGTTGCAGTGAGCCAAGATCGCACCACTGTGCTCCAGCCTGGGCAACAAGAGCGAAACTCTGTCTCAAAAAGGAAAAAAAAGAAAAAAGAAAAAAGAAAAAAAAAGAAAAAGGAAAGAACAGGCATTACCCTGTGCTTTGTGCTTTGAGTCACTATCAAGTGACTTAAACCAAGGATGGCTCATGCCCACAGGTCTACAGGGAAAGAGTAACTGTAAATAGCAGCATCTTAATGTGTTTGCACTTGTGAAAAGGTAGAGGATGCTTCATTTCTTTAGTCCACACAGTCTCCAGTGAGTTTCATGATGTGCCAGTTGAATCTTATGATCTAGGCACTGTTTACTAAATTGACAATGAACCTCCAAATCAACTATGAGTTTGGCTTACTGGTATGAACCTGATGTTTGTAGTTTTAAAGTCAGCCAAAAATCCTGGGATGTGTACATTGTGGGAAAAAAATCAGAATTAAAGTGAAGGAATGGACTTGGTTGTTTCCCCAGATGTGTGAGAATAGGTTAATTTCCTGGAGGTAGTTAAAATAAAACCAAAAGGACAAATTGCCTGTTCCTCTCATATTCCTTCCATCATCCTTATTCCCACCCAATATAAAGAAAGCCAGGCCTCTTTTTGCTTTTGACTCTGAAACTTTCTCTTCAGATATACTGGATGTTTATCAGCCAGGCTGGTAAGAAAATGTCGACAAATTGCCATGTTACCTCCCAGTCATGATGATGATAATAATTGATAGTAATGATGATAATAGTGCCTGATATGTATTGAGTACTTACCACATGCCAGATGTTCTTCTAATTGCTTTTACCATACTCGTATTAACTGACTTAACTTTTAGAATGATACCATTAAGTAGGTATATTATTATATCTCCCTCCCCCATTTTACCAATTAGGAAATTGTAGCATGGAAGGGTTGGATACCTGACTAAAGCTATACCAATAGTAAGAAACGGAGCCAGAATTCAAACCCATGCAGTCTAACTTCAGAATGATACCATAGAGAGAGGGCAATTGTGCTACACTGTAGCCCAGAAGGGAATTTATGCCACAGCTCCTATCACAGACAAGGGACCATTTGTCAAGCCACGACTTAATTCTTCTAAAGAAGTAATTGCATGTGGATCTGGCCACTTACACATCCAATTGTCTTCATCTAGAGGTGTTTCTCCAGGGCAAGCCCTGAGGTGGAAATTTGCATTAATGAAGCTGATTAAGACCTCCTCTGCAGATGCTTTATGGACAGAAATGGGCCCTTCCTCTTCTCTTTGTTTCTCATACTTGACTGTGGCTCTGCACCCCCAGGAGATTGGTTCCAGGACCCCAGCTGATACCAAAATCTGTGGATGCTCAGTCTCTTCTATAACATGCTTTAATAGGCCAGGCGCTGTGGCTCATGCCTGTAATCCCAGCACTTTGGGAGGCTGAGGCGGGCGGATCACGAGGTCAGGAGATCGAGACCGAGACCGTCCTGACTAACACGGTGAAACCCCGTCTCTACTAAAAATACAAAAAATTAGCCAGGCGTGGTGGTGGGTGCCTGTAGTCCCAGCTACTCAGGAGGCTGAGGCAGGAGAATGGCGTGAACCCGGGAGGCAGAGCTTGCAGCGAGCCGAGATCACGCCACTGCACTCCAGCCTGGGCGACAGAGTGAGACTCCATCTCAAAAAAAAAAAAAAAATGCTGTAATAACCCATATCCGTGGTTTTAAATCCATGGTAGGTTGAATCCACAGATGTGGAACTTTGGATAGGTAAAGTCGACTGTATTTGATTTATGCACAGATAAACACTCTTGGTCAAGTCCAGCATAATTCATCTACAGGTGCTTTAAATAGTGAATGCACTTTGAAGTCTTCATGGTCAGCTGAACAATCTGAAATTTTACTGTCAGACTTACTTAGAAATCTTACAGATTCAAACATGTTAAGGCTAATAAAATTTTGCAGCTTTGTCAAAAACCATAGAAATGTTCCTGAGCTTAGACCAGGCTACATGGCACCGAAGAGTCAGGGCTTGCTCCCAACCCCAGAAGAGGGGGACCAGAAATTTCCAGTCTGGGAGGGTCCCACACAAAAGTTGCTCTAAAACTACAGACTGGAGTTTTTTTCTGAGTTTTTCCTTCTTCAGGGAAAAGAGTGTGAACCTGCGTAGTGCTCTTCTATCTCTGCTCACCTGAGTACCACAGGGTTCATGGGTTTCAAGTTTAAGACATTAGATTTAGGGAAGATTCACATCTTTCTTCTTCTGTTTATTTGTGAGGTATGGTGAGGTCATTGTTTTACTTCCATGAGGACAGTGGATAAAAAAGAACCCTTTGGAGGGAAGGGAGAGGTAGAGATGAGTAAAGTTATGTAAAAGAATTGAAAAGTAGACCTGAGAGCGCAATTGAGAACAGAAACTTTGTGGCTATGATCCCAGGGGGCCATGAAGACCTGCAGGAGAGGAAAAAAGACACTACAGGGACAGTACAGGCGAAGTTCTACACAATGCTCCATATTAAAATGTTCCATACAAATTTCCCTGAGCAGAGGTTTTTCAAGGCCACTCGCCTTAGACCTGCAGGCCCTATTAAGACTGTTGGGAGGAGAAAAATGTAGTAGTTCTTCTATCATCTAATACTAGTCTTCTGAGTGTCATTAAGATCCTTCCTGTTTTTATAAATATAAATATCACAGTATAGATACATTTACAGAATTGTAATATTAGTCTTTGTAGTTTTTTTTTTTTACTTAATCTGTGGATAATTTCCCACAGATCAGACAATCTTCTACATCACTAAACAGTTTCTTACAATCTTATCTTTAGTGGCTATAAAAACATCACCATACACTTGAAATAGTATTTATTTAAACATTTTCTTAAAAAAACTTGGGGACACTTCAGGAGATTAATTGAAAGATTATATGGGGAATAGTTAACCCCACCTCTTTTCCACTCTGACCTCTGCCACATAGGTGGCTGGCATCTATCCCTCAAACAAAATACATGAAGTTTCCTCTCAGAAGAAATTGAATGGGCCCAGAGAAAATAATTCCATGCTATGGCCCTCATGGTCCCCCAGTGAAGGAATCAGACCCTGAAACATTAGCCCCAAATTCCATCTGATTTCTTCAAACTCATGACCATTTTTCAGTCGCTCTTACATGTAAAATAATATGAAGAAACAGAAAACATTTTAAGAGAGCAATAAGGATAAACAAAAAGAAAAAACTTAAAACAGATTAGAAATTCAAGACAGCTCTAAATATATACACAAAACAAAGCCAAACAAAATTTTACTTATTATTTTCACAAACATTGGAGAAGGTAGTCCCTTTGTAAAACAAATAAAATTGCTATTAATCTTTTCTCCATAGGTAAAACAACAAAAACACTTTGAAAATTAACAATATAGCCATAATATTTATGACATTCTTTTTTAAATAACCCAAACACACATAAATAAAGATAAAGCATTTGCTATGCAAGCAAATCCAGCTTCAAGACAAGCCACAGCCCCTACCCACCATGCAGAATTCTGGGCCTAAGCTCCTTCTGCATAGATTGATGTAGAAATTACACTACCATAGATGCAAAACAAGGCCTGTCTAAAATCAGATTGTGGTTGCTGAGGAGGAAGTGGGAATGGGGAGTGACTGTTTAATGGGTACGAGGTCTCCCTTGGAGGTGATGAAAATGTTACGGAACTACATAGAAGTGATGGTTGTACAACATGGTGAATGCACTAAATGCTACTGAGTTGTGCACCTTAAAATGGGTTAATTTTGTTATGTGAATTTTACCTCAACAAACAAAAAGATTGCCTAACTCAGGCCCACGCCTTTATATAATATGCTATATAATACACTCTACTACTCTTTAAAACATCAACAATACAGGACAGTATACTTATCCTAGACTTTCAGAACATATATTCTTTTTTAAAATCTCATGAAGATTTTGAATAAAAATAGTTTTAATTCTATAGATTATATCTCCATCCAACTTCATGATTCATTTATAGTTTGTTTTCTCTCCAGTAAAGTACATTTTTTACTCTCTGTTGAGTCTATATATTTCTTACAAAACTTATTCTTTAATATTTTCTATTATTCCTAATGCTAATGAAGTTCTCCCTGCCACTAACCTTGGGTATGCCTTCTTGACAGTTTAGTCTGCCAGAGACAAATGATGCTGACTTCTCTACTTTGCCTTATTAGATAAAAAGAAAAGTATGTAATGATAATATCAAGGTTTCATGTTAATGTGGTTTATGCAAAGATTTATGTCATCATCCTTCCCCTTCAACCACAACCCTGTTCTAATAACCACATCCTGTGACCAAACAGCTCTTCCTTTCCTACAAGCATCAAACTTATTATTAGTTACTCTTAGGTTCTCGATGTGAATTTTAGATAGTGACATATCCTTTGGCCAACACTTGAACAATCTTCACACAAGATGTGAAGAACATGACAACAAACTGTCTGTAACTGAGGGTGTCAAAGAACATAGTTAAGGACTCCTGGCTGTGATGGCCGTTTTCAGTAAGACATTATTCTACAGGACACTTTCTGGAGTATGAATTCAACATATTAGAAACTACATTGTGGAGGTTTCCCCTGAAGAAAAAACAGTTGATGGGAAACCCATGACAATAAGGGTCTGAAATTGTGTGGTATGACAGTGAGGGTAGGTGCACAGCTCTGGGCCAGCCACACAGAGTTAGGGCCACTGTCTCAACATCTGAAAGAGACTGGGCTTGAACAGTGAGGACTACATTAACCAGGGAGCTGGATCTGCATTGCTCATACTTGAACAGAGATTGGAACCCAGCCAACTGTGAGTGAGTGTGGAAGAGCCCCCTGCTGGAGGCAAATGCCTGGAGCCCTGAGCATATGCTGGGCCATGAGGAAGAGCACAAGTATATTCTCTGGAACAGGGCTCTTCAGGGCCCGGGCTAAGTCAGCCAGCGCCCTCCTCCTCACCCCACCCAATGGTAAATCTGATAAATCAGTGCTAGTTTGCTTTGTATGATAGAATTTACTAAATGTGATGGCTGATATTTTGAGCCAGGGTGGCAAATGCAGCTACTGACTCAAGAGCAATGTTTAGTGGTAACTTGGGTATGAGAATAGGATTGTGAATTGTTATGCAACTTTACCAGTGACAGATGTGTCTCCTACCCATTGGCATATATGTTCTAGTCTAGTGCTGAGAAAGATACACAAAATATTAAGGCTTTTACAGCAAGATTGGTACCACAAAATGCTCATTTTTAGCTCTCGTGGATTTTCTGTCTTGTAGTTTGTTGTATCTTTCTCGCTCTTGCTGAGGCATCACCAAGTCAACTTGTAAATTCTGTAATCACTTTCTTTCAGTAGATTTCTTATATCTAAATTTTAATTAAGACTAGGAATCCTTTTTGACACTTGGACACTGAAAGGAAGCATCTCTCAATTTCCTCCTTTACTCACGCATCTTCTTATCAACTGGGGAATCTGGGGGTCACAAGACTGAAGTAGTAGGTGGGGCTCAGACACCAGATCAAATTAACTAAAACAGGGATGGGGCAGAAGCACCTCTCCATAAGACATGCCTACCAGTTTGCCATGTCAGTTTACCATTGCCATGGCAACACCCAGAGGTTACCACTTCTTTCCATGGCAATAATGACCCACTGGGGTCATTGAAGTGGTAATTGGAGTTACCATCTATAAATTAAGGGGTGGATTATGCAGAAATTTCTACCCTATTTCTAGAAACTTCTGCATAGTCCACCTCTTAATTTGTATATAATTAAAAGTGGGTATAAATATGACTGCAGAACTGCCTCTGAGCTACTATTCTGGGCACACTGTCTATGGGGTAACCCTGCTCTTCAAGGAGTAGCTTAGTTCCATAAAATTTGCTGTCTAACACCACTGTCTCATCCTTGGAATCTTTCCCTAGTGAAGCCAAGAACACTCTTGGGCAAAGCCCCAATTTTGAGGTTTGCTGGCCCTGCATCAAGACCACCCTTGCAATGGAAAAATGTATCTGCTAGTTATCTCAGTACTGAGGGCTTCTTAATGTGGGAGTCCTCACTTTGGGGAAAATGAAGAATTTGACTGGTTTCGGGGGGTTGGTCAAGGGAGATCTGCTGCAGTCTATTAAGTGATTCTGTGAAAGACAATGATATCTTACTCCACTTTGAGCATTTGATCTGAATGCCCCCTTCACATGAAGCCTCTGTGGATCCATAACCAAGGGTGCAGGAATTTTGCTTCTGAGAAACTTTCCCATGATAGAATTCTAGTTATTTCTGTTTTTCTTTCTGTTTGCTACTATGACCTACACCTCTGTTAACATCCCTGTGCATGCTTCCTTGTCCACATACCTAATGTTTCTTTAGAACAAATGCCTAAGACTAGAAGTTCTATGCACTATATTTGTGTTTACAACTTTATTATAACTAGCTGTATAAATTTCAACCCCCACTAGAAGTGTTTAATTGTTCACACTAATGAATTTTCTTGCCAATAAATTATTGTCAGACTTCATTTTGCCCATCTCTTGAGAATTAAATGATATTTCCTAATGATTTGAAATGTGTTTATCTGATTACTAATAAGGGTAGAAATCTTTTCACATTATGTATTGACCTGCTGTGCTTCCTTTTCATAAGCTAGCTCTCATCCCTGGAGTGGCACTGAATTTCTTATTATTTTTATAAATATAAAAATATCATATGTAAAGATAGATATAAGCTTATAAGACTTAAATTTTAGTTTTTACAATTTAATTTTCCTATATTATATGTATTAAAAATAACTTCTTCCAATTTTTGTCATATTTTTAAAGTATATTTTGATTACATTTTTAAAAATATGTATTAAAGTATATTTATTAAAATTTTTACTTTTTTTGTTATTTCATCCTTGTTAAGAAATACTTCCCTACTTCAGTTCATAAAATAATCTAAATTTTCTATTTAAAAAATTTAAAAATTACCTTTCCTTTGGCTAAATATTCTGTAATGGGATTGCTGGATGATATGATAGCTCTATTTTTAGTTTTTTGAGAAACCTCCATACAGTTTCCCATAATGGCTGTACTAATTTACATTCCTACTAATGGTGTATAAAAGTTCCCTTTTACCCTCCTCCTTACCAGCATTTTTTTTTTTTTTTTGCCTTTTTGATAGTAGGCATTCCAACTGGGATAAGATGATAGTTCATCATGGTTCCTGTTCACATTTGATTAGTCTGAATTGAATTGATTTTTGTGGATACTGTGTTGTATGAATCCAACGTTGAGTTTTCTGTCTGGATAACAAATTCTCTCAGGATGACTTACTGCACTATTTCATAAGTAAATTCCAATGCCAACTCCAACATAAATATGATTTTACATATGAGTGAGTTGGTTCTGGGCCTGCTGTTTCTGTTCATTTGTCTATAGGTCTATCCATGCATCAATACAATTCTCCTATTTATACTTAAGTCTGATAATAAATTGAGGACTAGCTGGGCAAAATCTTACCAACCTGTTTCTTTCTATGTATAACTAGTAAAGAAACCAAACTGTTTATTTGCATGTGTAACTAACTTGTAGGCTAGTCTTAAACAATTGCTTTTCTATAATTATTTATAATCAGCATAGTGATTGCACAATATTATGTTAGGATTTTGAGTAGAACTGCATTGGCTCTATAGATTAACTCAGAGAAAAATTGTGTTTATTTTTTGGATATTTTATTCATGAATATAGTATATATTTCCATTTACGTAGGTATCTCTAATTATTATTATTATTTTTTGACAGAATCTCACTGTCTGGAGGCTGGAGTACAGTGGCACGATCTGGACTCACTGCAACCTCCGACTCCCAGGTTCCAGCAAGTCTTGTGTCTCACTCACCTGAGTAGCTGGGATTACACGTTCACACCATCATGCCCGGCTAATTTTTGTAATTTTAGTAGAGACAAGGTTTCACTATGTTGGCCAGGCTGGTCTTGAACTCCTGGCCTCAAGTGATCCACCGCCTTGGCCTCCCGAAGTGCTGGGATTACAGGCATGAGCCACCATGCCCAGTCTCTAATGTCTTTTAATGAAGTGTTAAATTAAATTAAACTACCTAAAATTACCAACAATCATCTGTTTTTGATCAAAAACAATTTTGATCAATTTCATTTAGTTCAATGTAAAACCCTGATGTAACAGATCTCTATAACTTGTTAGATTTATAGATAGCATACCTAACTTTAATTTTAATGTTATTCAATTATTTGTTGATATAAGACTTGCTTAACATATTGTGTAGGTTAAAATGTTGAGATTCAGAGAGACCATTAAAATTGCCCAAAGTCAGACATCCAGGATATAGCAGAGTAAAATTTAAACTAAGTTCTGCCTAATTCCAAAGCCCTGGTACCCTTCTTTTGCAACCATTTATATTACGTGATAAGTTGACTTATCTACATGTGATTGAGCTTATCGACAAACGGGCGAGGAAGTATACATTTGCATCTTGACTGAAGACAATGCTAGTCTTGGCCAGACAAGAATTAAGAGGCAGTCTCTATCATTAGAGAATTCCAGCTTCTAAATTTCCAGATGCAATTCCTTGTGTTTGAATTAATCTCTAGAAATTTGTACCTGAAAAAGCACACATGAGAATGAGGTAATATAGGAAGCAGTGGTTATTTTTGTTTGTTCGTTTGTTTGTTTTTTGAGATGGAGTCTTGCTCTGTCACCCAGGCTGGAGTGCAGTGGCGCGATCTCGGCTCACTGCAAGCTCCACCTCCCAGGTTCATGCCATTATCCTGCCTCAGCCTCCCGAGTAGCTGGGACTACAGGCGCCCGCCACCACGCCTGGCTAATTTTTTGTATGTTTAGTAAAGACAGGGTTTCACTGTGTTAGCCAGGATGGTCTCAATCTCCTGACATTATGATCCACCCACCTCGGCCTTCCAAAGTACTGGGATTACAGTTGTGAGCCACCACGCCTGGCCAGTTATTGTTTTTATATAATTCATTTGTTAGTTGTAACTTAGGACTGAAGAAGAGCGAGACCAGGAACAAATAAATGTGTTGGAGGTAAGTGTAATATGAAAACACTAGAGAATGTAGGGTCAGTGTAGAGTTGTAGAGAAACGCCCCTCTGTGTTGAATTCAACTCAATTTGTTTAAAGACACAAGAAATATTTTTTGAATCAAGGCCATTTTCTAGGCATGGTGGGAGATGCAGACTTGTGGAAAACAGGCTTAAACTTAAGGGGCTTATGGTCTAATGGAACACAAAAGAAGCACCTATTTATAATGCTAAGTAGTAGGTGGTTTCTTAGAAAAAAAATAATGTACATTTGGAGAATAATGCGTACTTTCAAGGGAAATGTTACAATTAAATATACTTTGAAAATGTCTTTGGATTTTAAAAGGCAGAGATGATGAGGAAGAAGCATGGCATAGACCTACCAAAATCTTTTTTTGAAATATAGTTTAAACTTTATTCTACATTTCTTTCTTCTGCTAGGTCAAACCTATGGTTAAGCCTCTCTAGTGAATTTTTATTTCAATTATTGTACTTTTCAACTCCATAATTTCTATTTGGTTCCTTTTTATTATACTATTGTCTAAATATTTGTGTCCCCTGCCCCCAGATTTATATTTTGAAGCTCAATTCCCATTTTCTAGTGTGTGGTATTAAGAGGTGGGGTCTTTGGGAGGTGATTAGGTTATGAGGGTAGAGTCCTCATTAATGGAATTAGTACTCTTGTAAAAGAAGGTGAGGGAGCTTATTCACCACTTCCACTGTATGAAAACAGAAAAATGATGAGTTCATGCCCTTTGTAGGGACATGGATGAAGCTGGAAACCATCATTCTCAGCAAACTATCGCAAGCACAAAAAACCAAACACCGCATGTTGTCACTCATAGGTGGGAATTGAACAATGAGAACACATGGACACAGGAAGGGGAACATCACACACAGGGGACTGTTGTGGGGTGGGGTGAGGGGGGAGGGATAGCATTTGGAGATATACCTAATGTTAAATGACGAGTTACTGGGTGCAGCACACCAACACGGCATATGTATACATATGTAACTAACCTGCACATTGTGCATATGTACCCTAAAACTTAAAGTATAATAATAAAAAAAAAAAAAGGAAAACACAGGTGGAAGGCACTGTCTGGGAAACAGACAGTAAGCCCTTGCCAAACACTGAATCTGCTTGTTCTTCGATCTTGGATTTCCTAGCCTCCAGAACTGAGAGGAATACATTTCTGTTGTTTATAAATTACCTAGTCTAAGGCATTTTGTTATAGCAGCTGAACGGACTAAGACAACTAACTATTATCGCTATTGTTGTAACGCCAAAGGTTCTTGCCTTAGCCAAGCCAAAGAATTGGTGTGGCGGCTGCCTGCCGCGAGTGATAGAGACACGGACCAATAGAGAGAAAAAGCTGTAGGCTTTATTGAGCAGAGTGAAAGTACAAAGCTTCCACAGTGTGGAAGGGGTCCCGAACGGGTAGCCACTGCTGGTTTTGGGTAATTGCCTTTTAAACTCTTTAAGGGGGGAAATACATGCGGTGGGAACATGTTACCAGAGTGAGAAACAAAGGCAGTAAATTATTTTGTTCCATGTCTTAGATCTTGAGGAAAACCGGAATTGCAACCTAGGTTTTATTTACTTTATGACCTTGTAGAGGCATAGCAAAAGAGACAGGATCTTACCAGGACTTTATAAAGTATGTTCACAAGGAACTGGAATTGGGAAGTTAGATAAGGTTTGCTGGTCACAGAAAAACGGACAGTTAACATTCCTTTCATCTTTAGTTTTGGGGAGGGGGAAGGGAGAGAGGGAGAGAGACACAGGGAAACTTACAGCAAAATTTTCGCTGTTTATAGCTTTCTTGGGGAAGAAAACACATACACAAATCCTGGTGTTAGGAATATTTTAAGCATATATCTTCACTGTTATTCATCCAGGACCGAAGTAAGTCCTGATGCAGGAAATGAGTGAGTTTCACAGCTTTCTGAGCCCCTACTCGACCCAGGAAGCCCAGCTGCACCTCCTCTTATTGTTATTCTCTCTTTGGTGCAACATTGCCATCACACCTTCCTTCACTTCTTTAGTCATCCTTTCCTTTAGGTCTATGAATGTAATGGATAATGTTATGTGTCAACTTGAGTTGGCTGAGGGATGCCCAGATAGCTGGTAAAACATTGTTTCTGAGTGTGACTGTGAGGGTGTTTCCAGAATATTTTAGTATTCGAATCAGAAGACTGAATAAAGAAGATATCCCTCACCAATATGGGTGGGCATCATTCAGTCCATTGAGGACCCAAATAGAACAAAGAGGTGGAGGAGGGGTGAATTCTCTTTCTCTTTGAGCTGGGACATACATCTACTTCTACCCCTGGACACCAGAGCTCCTTCTTCCCCTCCTCCTGCCATGACTCCAGCCCATGTCCTGGTTTTCAGGCCTTTGGCCTCAGACTGGGAGTTGTACCATTGGCTCCCTTGATCCTCAACCCTTCTGACTCTCACTGAATTACACCACCTGCTTTCCTGGGTCTCCTACTTGCAGATGGCATATTGTGGCACTTCGTGGCGTCCATAATTGAGCGAGTCAATCACCATACATATCTTTTTGTCTCTGTTTCTCTGGAGAATCCTGACTAAAACATTGAATATATTTAAACATATGTATAGTGGCTACTTTAAATATTTTTCTGTTAAATTTGTTCTCTCAAGCAATTTTTTCTGCCTTCTATTTTTCTGGTGTATTGGTCATACTTTCTTGTTTCTTTGCATAGCTCATAATTTTTATTGAAAAATGAACATTTTAGGAACTATATTATAGCAACTCTGGGTACTACCCCCACACTGTGCTTGTTATTCTTATTTGCTTGTTTGTTTATGTGATTAACAAAGATTGTCTGGATTATTTTAATAAAGTCTATCTTCATCTCCTCATCCCACAGTGTTAAACTTTTGATGTTACCTCAAGGAGGCCCAGCTTTGAGTATATCCAGGGTTACCCTGGAATGACAGTGGTCCTGTAGGACTCTTTTTCACTCTTTTCCTCATCAACCAAGCCACTGAAGTCCATTAATTACCACTCTTTTCAGTAATGCCCTGGGACAAAATTCCTCTACAAGGTAGTCCAATAAAATAGTGAGTCCTTCTACGAAATAGTTTCTGAGGTCAGTGTTTGATATTTGTTCTACTTCAGGAGAGCTCCTCCCACCTATTTTATTCTGTAGTTCTCTTCTGTAAACTAAGCAGCCTACAGTCTAAGCTGTACCTGCATTAGATGCACAAATCTCCCAACTGCTTTTCACCACAACCTCTACTATAATTGAGAGTGCCCTTAGGTTTAAACTTCTCCATGCTCTATTCCAAATGGAGTCACTTCCTTTGGGAATACATTAGGATATCTATTCTATTTTATATAGAATAGATATAAAATATATTCTATGTTCCTAAAATATATTCCTAATATATTGCCTTTCCTCCCAGGCAAACTCTCTAAGTCAGGGCTCTGGAGCTGGGTGTAACTGTGGCAAGCTTCTCTCTGAGTGACTCCTCAATTCTAGGAGCTGAGCACTGAGTAGGGGGTGTGGCCAGCAGCCTGCTCTCCTATTGGCTTGCTTCTCCTGGAGTGGAGCCATTCCTTCATGAGTTAAGTAAAGGGTTATTAGGGCCCCAGGAGTCTTAGCATACCACACCCAAGGCAGATTCTCCATTCCACAACTGGGAGTTGGGCAGAAGAAGGGTCCTCTCACTTCTCAACTGCACTTGTCTGGGACATAGTCTCAGCAACAGGTAGCTGTGGGCAGGATGAGGGATTCCGAATTCCTGCCCTTCCTAGAAATAAAGCCCTCTCATATGGAGCTGTGGGGAGAGGGAGGCCTGTGCTCTGGGCTGTAGCAGTCTAGAGTGGAGTCTATGCCTCACTGACCTCACTGAGCTGGCATGCAGGAGAGAGGGAGGGTATAGTCTTGGTTCAAACACCACAGACTCTTGCTTTTCTTGCCAATTTTCAGAGATTTTCTTGAACAGATGTCTCATTATTGCTGTTTGTCCTTAAGAGGCTCGTCAGAGGCTTTAATTTTTTAAAAATCAGTTGCATTGGAGAGTGGATCCCATAGTGATTATCTCACAATGAAGAAATGACAGATTAATTTGTCTCTATTAATTTTGTAGACTTCCAATCTTTCCTTATTGGGCAGGTGTTACTAGTATTATAAGAAAAGTAGTGTGTTAATTTTTATTTTTTTAAACAAAAAAGAATATGACTCACTATACTTTTTTTTCACTTGGATTTTGGAAGTCCTGTACCTGCTCCAACAACCAGTAGCCCCACTGAAAGATAGCTGGGTATTGACACCAATGAGGCAGTGTTGCAGTTAAAATATTCTCTTGTACTTGAGAATTCACCGAGAAAGTATTGACCAATCCCTACTTACATTGCATGTATATGGAGGTTTCCTTTTGGACCAAGACTTGACTCATAAAGTAGACCTCTTTTAAATGAATACTGATTTTTTTTTCCAACAATGAAAATGGCAGATCACTTGGTTATTCCTCTCCTCCCTTGACGTGAATTTCTATATTCTAGGGAGATTTATAGGACGCTTCAATAAACCCTACTTAGGTCTATAACTTCCTGCATGAGGTGTGACACACTTTTCCAACTACTGGTTCATACAAAAGACAAGGAGTTTCAACTTTTTCACCCTTACTTACGAATTGGCAAGCACAGAATATTAGGAAGTTGTGCATTGGAAGCACGGGGACCATGCCAGGCTTTCAGCAAAGTATTCCCATGGAGTTACCAAGGGGGTGACAAATAATTGTAGCTATGTGGCCAGTTTTTCAGGAAGTGAGTTGGAAAGTTCATGAGTATATAATGATGAAAAACTAAGCTACAATATTTCTTGCCTAATTCGTGAGACTTATATTTCTTAGTCAAAGAGTGAAGATCCCATTCCATAATTCTATGTTAAGTGCAAATGGTACTATTAATGTATTGGCTAATTGAATTTCACTAAGCATAATTACCCCCAAAATGGTTTCAACAAATAATGTTTTTATCTTGCCTCTAAGGAGTACTTGAAAAAGAATCCACAAAGGACTGTTTTTATTAGTTAACATTGTTTAGTCATATTGGGGAATTATTTTTCTTTAGGAAAATTAAAATATTTTATCTTTATTTTTGTTAAAGTCAGTTTCAGAAAATTATTTTCTCCTTTTTGTAATTTTAGTTTTCTTTTGGACAACACAGATTTGAATTGCATGGGTCCTCTTATGGTTTGATTTTTTAAAATAAATATATTTGAAATTTTTTTGAGATATATGACAGTTTGCAAAAGCCCACAGACGAATCATATAGCCTAGAAATATTGAAAACTTTGTTAAAGTTAGGTATGTCATGAACTCATAAAACATATGTAGATACTAGTCTGTTTTTATAATTCACTACCATAAAATATACACAAATCTGTTATAAAAAATTAAAACTTATGAAAAGTTATGCACTTACAGACCATACATAATGCCATTCACAGTGGAGAGACATGTAAACAAACATAAAGATACAGTATTGAGTCACAACTGCATTGAATAGCTATAATACATAGGACATTACTGTAATAACTTCATAGCCTCCTTCTGTTGCTGCTGTGGTAAGTCGGAGTGTTGCAAGTATGTGCGTAAAATGCCTCCTGATGCTAATCATCATAAATTGTGTATTGCAGTAAAAAGTGATCTCTTATGGTTCTCGTATATTTTTCATGTTTAGCGTTATGTTGTAAACCTTGAATAACATCATGGGATCTATACAAAGTGCCACTAGTGATGCTGAAGTGCTCCCAAGGAGCAGAGAAAAGTCCTGGCATTACAGGAAAAAGTTGAATTATTTGATATATACCATAGAGTGAGGTCTGCAGCTGCAGTTCTTCATGATTTTAGACACATGGTTTGTCTTGTAAACCAGCTCATGTAAACTTACAGTATCGATAAACACAGTACAGTACTGTAAATTTATTTTATTTATTATTTTCTTAATATTTCCTTTTTGCTAGCTCATTTTATTATAAGAATATAGTATATAATAAATATAACATACAAATATGTATGACTAAACTGTTTATGTTATTGGTAAAACCTCTGGTCAACAGTAGGCTATTGGTAGTCTTTAGGGAGTCAAAAGTTATATGAAGATTTTTGACTGTGTTGGGCATTGGTGTCCCTAACCCCCGCATTAAGTTGTCGACAAAAAGAGTCAAACTCTGTAAAATATTTGAAGAGATTTATTTTGAGCCAAATATGAGTGACCAGTGGCCTCTGGCACAGTTCTAGAAGATCCTGAGAACATGTGCCCAAGGTGGTTGGGCTACAGCTTGGTTTTATAAATTTTAGGGAGACATAAGACATCAATCAATACATGTAAGATGTACATTGGTTTGGTCCAGAAAGGAGACAACTTGAAGTAGGGGCTTCCAGGACACAGGTGGATTCAAAGATTTTCTGGTTGGCTATTGTTTGAGAATTTATCTAAAGATGTGGATTCAGTAGAAGGAAGTGTCTAGGTTAAGATAAGAGGTTGTGAAGACTAAGGTTGTTATTCATCATGCAGTTGAAGCCTCCAAGTAGTAGACTTCAGACAGACTAGATTGTAAATGTTTCTTATCAAACTTAAAAAGGTGCCAGATGGGCCAGGCGTGGTGGCTTACGCCTGTAATCCCAACACTTTGGGAGGCCGAGGCAGTGGATCACCTGAGGTCAGGAGTTCAAGACCAGCCTGGCCAACAAGGTGAAACCCCATCTCTACTAAAATTACAAAATTAGCCGGGCATGGTGTTGAGCGCCTGTAATTCCAGCTACTAGGGAGGCTGAGGCAGGAGAATCGTTTAGAACACAGGAGGCAGCAGAGGTTGCAGTGAGCCGAGATTGAGCCACTGCACTCCAGCCTGGGAGACAGAGTGAGACTCTGTCTCAAAAAAAAAAAAAGAAAGTGCCAGATGCTTAGATAATTCTCTCCTGGATCAAGGGAAAGACCTGGAAAGGAAAGAAGATTTTCTACAGAATGTAGATTTTCCCCACAAGAGACAGCTTTGCAGGGCCATTTCAAAATATGTCAAATAAATATATTTTGTGATAAAATACTTTGATTTCTTTCAGGGCATGCTATCTGTCACGTTGGTATCTTATTGCTACAAAGAGTCTGGTCAGTCTTAAGGTCTTTGTTCTAGTGTTAATGAGGGTCAAATGTGCCTCGATTCTAGAGGGAGGAAGGTATAATGATGCAAGTCTAACCTCCCCTTCCCATTGTGACCTGAACTAGTGTTTCAAGTTTACTTTAAAATGTCCTTGGCCAAGCAGAAGGGCCCATTTAGTTGGTTGAAGGGCTTAAATTTTATTTTTGGTTTACAGGGTGAACTGTATTTTCAGTTACTGAAATGACTAATGACAGTGAAATAAAAATGAAATGTTTTTTATTATTTATCATGGTCCAGGAATGAGTTAAGTATTAACCTGAGAGATTATGCAATTCAACCCTTTAATTTTAGTGATGAAGAAACAGACACTCAAAAGAGAAAATTACTTGACCAAGGTGTGGGTTGGGTGCCAGAATTCCAACCTCATGACCATGAATACCGTGTTTTTATTCCCATTCTACCATGTAACTATATTCACTAACTGAGCCCCAAGGAGCTCTGATAAAGTAAAATATGACTTTTTATGAGAGGGGTATTGGAATTTTACTTTAGATACCCTGCTGATCTCAAGTAAACTAATAATTTTAATTCCTGGGCTTTGAGTTTAGGCAGAACGGGATTTTAATCCTCATAATTATCTCTTAAATCACTACAATTTCTTAAAATCACTCTTTAAAATCACGAATTCTTAGTGATCTCTTAAAATTGCTAATTCTTAGTAACTTACTCATGTATTTATTAATTTTACAAATATCTATTGAGTGCTGGGAACTGAACATTCAGCAGTTAACAAAAATAATGATTAATTGAGATAATACACCCGGAAGTACTACTTTGCTAGAACAAAATAATCAGTACATAATAATGTGACTTTCCCTCAAATTGTCCTATGACAATCAGCAGGTGGGATCATGGGCTTCTTCACCATTTCCATCTCGTTCACCACAGGTGCTCATGCATCACTAGCAGGGAGAATCCAGCGTCATAGTCATGCCCTTCTCTTTTAAAACTCACCAGGGACTTCCCACAGAGGCATGAAAAATATCAGGTAACCTCTTCTCCCCCACCAACACTAAATCCTAAGAGTCTCAGTCTTTACTCTGCTTCACAACTACAAAATATGGTATCTTGTCTCCACATGGAGTATCTTATTTCTTTCCGTGAAACTACATCGTAGCCATTCTTCTCACCACTTATGAGTCATCCTGCTCCTTCCCTGCCTCCTCCCCAAGACGTGAGATCAGATCAGACCTTCTTAGCAGACATATCTGCTGGAGACAAGTGATGCTGCCTCATTCTCTATTCCTATTGGTTGAAGAAACATGCCTGTGACAGGTTGGGGATTTCCAGGAATGCTTTTCTTTCTTGAAATGCCTAGTGCAAGAAGCTGGAATGCCTTCCCCAAAACGAAGTAACCTGAACTGAGACTGATGAGGCAGATTCTAGGTTTGAGAACTGTCTGTGGGTACTGCCTCTGAAAAGAGATGTATTCCTTCTAAAACGACTCATCTTTCTCTCTTTATCAAGTGATATTTCCTAGCATGATTATAAGAATATTAGTGCTCAGTAAATCCGACCTCTTCATTCTAACCATTACTTCCTAGTCTTGTAACTACACTGGGATTTCCAAAATAATTTCCTGGTTGATTTCCCTTCCATCTGTAGCCATACAAGTCTTGTTTTTGTTGGGTGGCTTCACTCTGTGCATCCCCTTCCATTCCTGAAGGAAGAATCTTCACTCCCATCAGACAGTACTCCTCTCCCGGCCTGCATCTTTCATCCTTCGTTTCCCTTACATATCGTTTCATTATATTTTCTCTACCCTTTCTACTGTCTTAATTAACCAAACTTGCCCTTTTTAATGAGTGTTACTATCTCATGCACATAGAGAGCTCCAATCTTTAATTTTTAAGGTTCATGTAGGTGTGTAAAACATTTTATTATTATTATTATTTTTAAGACGAAGTCTCGCTGTCACCCAGGCTGGAGTGCAGTGGCAAGATCTCGGCCCGCTGCAACCTCCGCCTCCCGGGCTCAAGCAAATCTCCTGCCTTAGCCTCCCAAGTAGCTGGGACTACAGGTGTGTGCCACCACACCCAGCTAATTTTTGTATTTTTAGTAGAGACTGGGTTTCGCCATGTTGGCCAGGCAGGTCACAAACTCCTGACCTCAGGTGATCTACCTGTCTCTGCCTCCCAAAGTGCCGAGATTACAGTCGTGAGCTACTGCGCCCGGTCAGTGTGTAAACCATTTTAACAATTTGGCTCATGTTTGAAAACCCACAAATTTGTGCTCTTATTGTATTTTATAAACCAATCGATTGCAGCGCTTGTTGCAGTGTATTATAGCAAGTTTATGTTGGCTTTGAACTCCTAGGAAACAAGATCTGCAGATCCTATTTATCCTAATAATGCATAATCTTGAAGAATGATTTGCACAAATGCAGCAGTATGAACTTTTTAATGTTCCCCCAAAGGAATAAATGTTATCTTTTTCAAGTCAGGGTATAATTCCCATGTTTCTACCATCACCTCCAAAAGGGGTACAAAAGATTATTTTCAGAGTTGTTATAAAGATTAAATGAGATAATTGAAAAATGGCTAACCAGACCCTGGAACCATTGATTCTCTTTTCCATCATTGTCCCTGCATGTTCTTATAACCAGCAGGTGGGGAGATGACCCTTAATCAATCTGTTTCTTCTTTCCTTTCAATTTTGTCCCTACCACAGATTTTAGTTTTCTACCAGTGATGAGATCCTAGCATTAAAGCAATTTTCTTTTCATTTAGTCCTGGGCAGGGACTTTCCACCTATGTCTGAAAAAGAACAAGTATCCTGATTCACGCTCTACATTCATTAAGCATGCTGGATCTTACTTGAAAAGGGGAGAGTTCTTGTCAATCCACACAGCTATCACCTGTTTCTTTCTACAAATTTCAGGTATTATATCTTTCTCGCACCACATAACTAATAATTTGGCCCTACTCCACGTTTTCACAGGGTCTCGAAACCAGACTAATGCTGGGACTATTGCAGTAGTGTTATTTGCTGGAGACAAATGATGTTACTTCACTCAGTGGTTGCATAGGAAGAAAACTGATAAGTAATGGAGATTTTTATAAAGACCCTTTGTCCAGAAAACTGACCTGCTTCATCTTAAAGCACAGAGTCTGGGAACCAGGATAGATAACCAACCTGGGGGTTTGAGAACTCAGTCTTTGGATGCTATCTCTGAAAGAAGAAAAGAGGTCTAAAAAAATTCCACATTTTCTCTTTCTACCCATTAGATAGTAATACTTTGCACAAGTTTGGAAGGACACAAGGCACTCAGTAAAACCAGTACCCTAGTCTCACTGTCACCTCCCCAGCCTTGATGCTCCTCCTCTACCTATATGACACTTGCCTTACCAACAGATGATTTTGCTGTTTTACATTTGCACACTTCAGTTCATCACCTTCCTAAGAAGTGACTGCTCAGCTTCTAAGGCCTCTCATAAAAACAGGTCCTCTCTGTGCATCTTCTCTTATCCTATACTATTCTTTAATCTAGATGTTCACTCCAGTCAATCTGGGCTTTTCCCTAAATCAACCCACTCCCTGTCCCACCCCCGCTGCCAGTACTGCTCTCACTCATGCAGTTCATGATGGTTCCTTTCCCACTGCTGTTCCTCGGAATCATTTCCTCCTCTTCTCTGCTTCAAGTCTTACTTCTGCAAATGAACTATATTTTCAAGTTTTCTCCAAATACTCCAGTCTGTATGAATATATCCTTTATCTGCTATTCTTGAATTTTGTTACTTTTAAATTATACCCACTCTTTCTTTCTTTCCTTCCTTCTTTCTTTTTTCTTTCTTTCTTTTTCTTTCTTTCTTTCCTTTCTTTCTCTCTCTCTCTCTCTTTCTTTTTTTTATTTTTATTTTTCAAAGATAGCCTCACTCTGTTGACCAGGCTGGAGTGCAATGGCACGATCTCAGTTCACAACAACCTCTGCCTCTTAGATTCAAGCGATTCTTATGCCTCAGCCTCCCAAGTAGCTGGGATTTCAGGCGTGCGCCACCACGCCTGGCTAATTTTTTGTATTTTTAGTAGAGATGGGATTTCACCATGTTGCCCAGGGTGGTCTTGAACTCCTGAGCTCAGGCAATCTGCCTGCCTTGGCCTCCTAAAGTGCTACAATTATAGGTGTGAGCCACCACCCCCAACCCCCATTTGTATTTTCATTGCAATTTATAAATGTTTATATTTATACTTAATACATTGTTTATTAATTCAACAACTATTAATAACTATTTTGATCCAGGCATTTTTCTAGGAACTGAGGAGAGAATAGTGCAGAAAGTTCCTGGTGTATGGAGTGTATGCTGTATATGTGTCTTTTTTTCCTGGTATATATTGATCTTCATGAGATCTTCACCCTGGAACCTTAGCTCCTACTGCACTCTTTGAAACATGGGAGACGTTCAATAAGCATTTGCTCTTTGAATATCATCAGTTATACTCTGTGCTTCTTATGGAAGTATGTGCATGTTTTAGTTAATCGCCTTCCTAAAGAAGACAATGGGTGTTTGTCACTCTGTGAAGCCCTCTACCAACTTATTCTAAAGTCAGAAAGGAGGTGAAACTTGCCTTAACATATAGAAAGGAACAGTTTAGTGACCAAAAAGTTTGACAAGAACTGGAACTATATACAAGAAATACCAGCCGAATCACAGGACTATTCCTGGAGCCCCCGCTTCCAGTGTCCTTCACTCCATCCTCTCCTTCAACTTCAATTTAACTACAACAAACATTCATTAACATGTGTGCCGATGTTTCCGATTTTCCTGCCCTTTTCCCTTCTGTGACTTCCAAAGTACCTAAGGGTGCATTCTGCTGTTGTTCTTATTTCTCTTTTCCTAACCACAAACACTGAAGCCCCTGGTGAGAGGCTCCTGGCACGAGTGTGATAGGCTCATGGTAGGTCGTCATGAGAAGCTTTCCAGGCACATCCCATGGCACCTGCTAGTTATGCCCAGTAATTTCTTACTGTCCCTGTTTTAGATACATTATATTTGTGACCACTGATGAACCTTTTTCTTATGATTCTGAGTTTTGGATTCTATTTTAAAAATCTTTTTCTATTTCAAGATCAGGAAGATATTCTCTAATATCGTCTTCTAGAAGTTTTATTGTATTGATTTTTATGGATAGATATGTTTTCTACTGGAATTAATTTTGTGTATAAAGTGAGATAGGTGTCAAATTTCTTTCTTTCTTTTTTTTTTCAGTAAGGATATACAACTGATCCAGCAGCATTTATTGACAGGCTGATTCTTTCCGGGTCACTAAATTGACAATTATTAGATCACAAAATAGGCACAAAAGAGAACATACTGTATAGTTTAATTTGTATAATGTTACTAAGCATGTTTAGGAATAAATATTAGATTTTGAAGGTGTATTGAAAAGCAATGAAGGGATTGCTATGGAAGTCTGATGGTGAGTTGTCTTGATGGGAAGGGAGGGCAATGTAGACAGGAGGAAGCACGGGAGAGCTTCTGGTGCTGGCCTCATGCTGTTTCTTGATTTGGGTGGTGGGTTCATGGATGTTGGCATTGTAATGATTGATTAAGTTGTACATTTATGCTTTACATGTCTTACTATATGTGTGCTCTATGTCACTATACAATGTTAAAAATGTAACACATTTGGTTTCCTAATCATATCCCAGTAATAAATAAATATTTATTTATTTATTTGTATTTATTTGAGACAGAGTCTTGCTGTGTTGCCCAGGCTGGAGTGCAGTGGTGAAATCTCAGCTCGCTGCAACCTCCACCTCCCGGGTTCAAGGGATTCTGCTGCCTCAGCCTCCTGAGTAGCTGGGACTACAGGTGCCTGCCACTACGCCTAGCTAATTTTTGTATTTTTAGTAGAGACGGGGTTTCACCATATTGGTCAGGCTGGTCTCGAACTCCTGACCTTGTGATCTGCCTGCTTCAGCCTTCCAAAGTGTTGGGATTACAGGTGTGAACCACCACACCCAGTCATTATCAATATTTATTAAATACTATAAGTGATGGACATTATTGAATGTGTTGGGGATATAGCAGTTAAGTGAAAACATAGTGTGATACATACATCCACTGCAGGGTTATGATGAGAATCAAATGATACAAAGTGTCTGGAAGTAGAAAATTCAGTGCCTGGTGTAAAATAAACAATAACTCATCATTTTATTTTCCCTTCATTTGTCTGTGCATAAACCTATGGCAATCAGAGTTGGCATAATAGATCTCTCTGACAGTCTCCATCTCTTGTATAACAAGAATAGCAGGCAGATAGCAGCAGGATAGCTTTTTATTTGTGCTTTTAATACTACCCAGGGACAGGAATGGAAAACCAGGCATTATGTCTCTATCACTCTAAATGCCCAGCTCCTCCAATCCTCACTGCACATTTTGCTTTACTCTGCAAATATTCTTTATTTGCTAACTACTTATGTCCTAATTTATTCCACAAAGGAAGTTATCAGCCTTTCTTATCAACACCTAATTTAGTCATCCTGTTCTCCTGCAGCTTCTCTCCAAGACTTTATATAAGACCTTCTGGTCAGATGTATCTGCCGGAGATAAGTGATGTTGCTTCAGTCTTTATCCCTATTGGTTATAGAAAAAAACAGCAACAACTGTTTGTGAAGGGATGGGGATTTCCAGTAAATTTCTCTCTTTTTTCTACAAAATGTCTCAACCAGAAAGAAAGAACCAGCACACAGATGGATAGGAAGATTGATCCCTTTGGGTGTTACCTACAAAAGGAAAGAAAATATATTCCTTCTAAAAGACCTTCCGTTCCTCCCTTATTCATCAAATACCAATTCTAATGCACATCTGGAAATGCAAAAGGAGCATGGTATTCCCATCATCCATTTCTGTTGTCACCACACTGATCTCTGTGTCCAATCCTTCATAACTAACCTTGGATTGTAAAAGTTTTACTGCTTGATATTTTTTCCTGCGTCCATCCACATATTTCTAAAAGATGTAACTTCTTTGCCAAATTTTCAATGCCTTTCTTAGAACTTCAGCTCTGCACATCCACTCTGATCTCCCAGCGTTATTTAAGGGAGCCTTTCAATTCTAGTCTAACAGACTCCCCTCTATCTCTATTTCCGTTTCCCGACTCCTCCTGCTTCCTGCACACATGTTATTCATGATAGTTCCTGTTCCCCAGCGAGTCTCTAGCCAACCTGAAACGTAACCCTTTCTCTGTGTTCTGAGTTTCACTTCCTCTGGAACTTACATCTATACAAATGCTTCCTTCTTGTTGTAAATATAAGTTTATACTTAATTTTAACCATTTTTGTTTTAAAATTTTTGTCTTAAAAATTAATAACACCAAATTGTGTTTGATTATTTTTTATAGATATGTCTGTTGTAGATCTTGTGACATTTTTATATGAATTTTATATGTCTGTCATTACAATGCGCTCTTTTGTCTGTGTAGGATCTACTTAAAAGTAGGATCTAATTCATGTGAATCTTTGTATCCCCAGCATTAGAAGAATCTTTTGCACAAAGGAAGCACTGAACACACTTTTTGTGATTGAATATCCCCACCTAGATTGCATGTGTATGTGCACATGCATATGGTGGATCCTCAGTTAAAATTTACCAAATGTTAAGTGTGGCAAAAGATATGAGATAGATATTAAGAATATTTTTCTGACTGTGAGGATTTATATATGGAAATATGTGAAGGAGGGACAATCCCTTCTACAAAATTGTTTTCACCAGATTACCGCTGACTGTTACCACCCTGTGTGGCTCCCACAACAGATTCTCCTATGAGAAGCAGATAACTACATTTTTGTAGAAAACAAGAGGATGAACTGACTAGTGAGCAAGGGGTTAAACAGCTCCCAAATCATGTTCTCAATGATGCCCATCAGTCCTCACTTCATAATTTAATTACCAGTTACAAAAGACCTTCTGGATGCTGGATGTTTGGGTCTTCTGGAACTCTCTCCTGCTCTTCTGGTATATCCACAAACAGTCTTGTCAAAACTGGATCCTGATATTTCATACAATTACTTGCTTCGGGACCTCTCTTTTCCTCATTTCCTCACCAAATACTGGAGTCCATTGAGTGAGAAGGGGCTAGCCTCAGCCATATGTTTAATTTGGAGGCCTAGTCAAGAGCTTTACTAAAGCATCCTGTGGGAATCAGTGGCCTTGCCCCAATATTTTCTCATTTTCACACTATTCACTGTTCCCATTCAATGCGGCTGCTGAGCTATTACTTTGCTTTCTGTCTAGACACTGGTAACCCTGGCTGGAGCGCCATCTTGGCTGATTCTCCCGATCTTATTGTCCTTCTGTGACTCACATGTGCTACTGTCCATGAACCATGCTCTTTGTCACAAAACACAATTCTCAGCTTCCCCCCAGCTCCCACTCCTTCTCCCCCACACTTGCACTTACAGAAATGTTTCCTTCTCATTTCCCTTTTCTTTATCTACCATCTTTTATCTGCCCTAATGTCTACAAAAGTATCCTTAGTTCTCTTGAAGTAAAAATGGACACTTTTAAAATTATTTATGTAAGTATGGATGTATATATCTATAAATTTACGTGTACATATTTATTTATTCATGGATATTGGTGAATAAATGTCAGGGTAGCCCTACTTTTTACAACCACTTCTCTGTTTGGTCACAATACAGATGCACTCTCTGCATTTGGGTGGGAGGCAGTGAAAGAAGTGTCGATTGGCATGATTGTTGAATAGACACATGCACAGGAAATGCCTGGTGTTTAGTTCCCAGCCTCCATTTTTGCTTTCAGTACATATCTCACCTCAACTATACCTCTAGAAGGTATTTGAAGATTTATCCTGATCCTCCCATAAATATAAGAACCTTGTTCTATCCTATGATTTTTTAAATTATTGTATTTTTTTGGCAAATTATAATTGCATATAATTATAGGGTACAAAGTAATGTTATGATATATATACACAATGTGGAGTAGTTGACTCAAGCTAATTAATATATCCATCACCTTAAAAACTTTTCATTTATTCCTTCTGTCTGTCTGCTACTTTATACTCTTTGACTGATGTCTTCCTATTCCTCCCAATCTGCAGCCTCTGATAATCACTATTCTACTGTCTGCTTCTATGAATTTGATTGTTTTTGATTCCACATATAAATGAGAATATGCAGTATTTGTCTTATTTCACTTAGAAACGTCTAGCTTATTTCACTTAGCATACTGTCCTCTAGGTTCATTCATGTTGTTACACATGGCAGAACAGCGTTTTTTTTTTGTTTTTTTTTTGTTTTTGAGATGGAGTCTCACACTGTCGCCTGGGCTGGAGTGCAGTGGCGCTATCTTGGCTCACTGCAACCTCCGCCTCGTGGGTTCACACCATTCTCCTGCCTCAGGCTCCTGAGTAGCTGGGACTACAGGCGCCCGCCACCACGCCCGGCTAATTTTTTGTATTTTTAGTAGAGACAGGGTTTCACCGTATTAGCCAGGATGGTCTCAATCTCCTGACCTCGTGATCCGCCCGCTTCGGCCTCCCAAAGTGCTGGGATCACAGGCGTGAGCCACCACGCCCGACCCAGAGCAGCCTTTTTTAAAAAGGCTATATGTTATTCTGTTATACAGAATATATTCTGTATATATACCACATTAAAAAATTTGTCAGTTGATGGACGCTTAACATCTTGGCTATTATAAGTAACATTACAATGAACATGAGAGTGCAGATATCTCTTTAACATACTGATTTTAAGTCCTTAGTCCATACACCTAGAAGTGGGATTGCTGAGTCATATAGTAGTTCTACTTTTAATTTTTTCAAGAACTTCCATACAGTTTTTTATAATGGCTATACCAATTTACATTCCCACCAACAGTGTACAAGTGTTTCCTTTTTTTTTTTTTCAGATGGCGTCTCACTCTGTCACCCAGGCTTGAGTGCAATGGTGAGATCTTGGCTCACTGCAACTTCTGCCTCACAGGTTCAAGCTATTCTCCTGCCTCAGACTCCCAAATAACTGGGACTACAGGCGCACACTGCCATGCCCAGCTAATTTTTTTTTCTTTTTTTTCTATTTTTTAGTAGAGACAGGGTTTCACCATGTTGCCCAGGCTGGTCTTGAACTCCTGAGCTCAGGCAATCTGCCCACCTCAGCCTCCCAAAGTGCTAGGATTACAGGCGTGAGCCACCACACCTGGCCAAGTGTTCCCTTTTCTCCACATCCTCACCAACACTTTTCTTTTACCTTTTCAATAAGAACCATTCTTTCTGGTGTGAGATGATATCTCATTGTGGCTTTAATTTGCATTTCCCTAATGATTAGTGATGTTAAGCTTTTTTTTTTTTTTTTTTTTTTGAGACAGAGTCTTGCTCTGTTGCCCAGGCTGGAGTACAATGGCGCGATCTCAGCTCACTGCAACCTCCGCTTCCTGGGCCCAGGTAATTCTCCTGCCTCAGCCTCCCAAGTAGCTAGGACTACACGTGTGTGCCACCATGCCCAGCTAATTTTTGCATTTTTTGTAGAGACAGGGTTTCACTGTGTTAGCCAGGATAGTCTGAATCTCTTGACCTCGTGACCCACCCGTCTCAGCCTCCCAAAGTGCTGGGATTACAGGCGTGAGCCACTGCACCCACCAGTGTTAAGCATTTTTTCATATGCCTGTTGGCCACTTCAATGTCTTCTTTTGAGAAATGTTTATTCATATTCTTTGCTTATTTTTAAATCTTATTTTTTTATTTTTATTTTTTTGCTATTGAGAGTTTCTAATGTATTTTGGATGTTAACCCTTCATCAGATGTATTGCTTGAAAATATTTTCTCCCAGCTGATAGGTTGTCTCTTCATTCTGTTGTTTTCTTTGTTGTGCAGAAGCTTTTTAATGTGATGTAATCCCACTTGTCTAATTTTAAATTTTGTTGCCTAAGATTTTGGGGTCAAATAAAATAAAAATCATTGTCCAGACCAACGTTGTATAGGTTCTCTCTGTTTTCTTCTAGTATTTTACAGTTTCAGGTCTTATATTTAAGTCTCCAATCCATTTTTAGTTGATTTTTGTATATGGTGTGAGATAAAGATCCAATTTTATTCTTCTGCATGTGAATATCCAGTTTTCTCAGCACTGTTAATTGAAGAGATTGTCCTTTTCCCATTGTGTGTTCTTGGTAACTTTATTGAAAATAACTTGGTCATAAATAAGTAGATTCATTTCTGGGCTCTCTATACTGTTTCATCAGTAGATGTGTCTACTGTTATGCCAGTACCATGCTGGGTTTTGTTGTTGTTGTTGTTATTGTTTTTAGATGGAGTCATGCTCTGTTTCCCAGGCTGGAGTGCAGTGGTGTGATCTTGGCTCACTGCAACCTCCGCCTCCTGGGTTCAAGCAATTCTCTGCCTCATCCTCCTGAGTAGCTGGAATTACAGGTGGCTGCCACCATGCCCAGCTAATTTTTGTATTTTTAGTAGTAATGGGGTTTCACCATCTTGGCCAGGCTGGTCTTGAAGTCCTGACCTTGTGATCCACCTGCCTCAGCCTCCCAAAGTGCTGGGATTACAAGCATGAGCCACTGTGCCCAGCCATGCTGTTTTAAGTACTATAGCTTTGTAATATAGTTTGAAGTCAAGTGGTGTAATGTCTCCAGTTTTGCTCTTTTTGCTCAAGATTGTCTTAGCTATTCAGGCTTTTTGTGTGGTTCCATATGAATTTTATATTGTTCATAGATATTGTAAATGGGATTGTTTTCTTGATTTGTTTTTTGAATAGTTCATTGTTAGTGTATAGAAATACTACTGATTTTTGTGTGTTGATTTTATATGCTGCAACTTTACTGTATTCATTTATTAGTTCTAATAGCGTTTTGGTGAATTTTTTTAGCATGTTTTAGATATAATACACATTCTTCTCAAGCACACATTGAACTTTCTCCAGGACAGATGAGATGTTAGGCCACAAAAAAACTCTAAACAAATTTTGAAGTGCACAACATTATTTTGTTAACTATAGGCACTATGTTAGATAGCAGATCTCTAGAACTTATTCATCCAGCATAACTAACACTTTATACCCTTTTAGTGACAACGTTCCATTTCCCGCAGCCCCCAACTCTTGTTAACTACTATTGTATTCTCTGCTTCTATGAGCTTGAGTATTTTAGTTACCTCATATAAGAGGAATTCTGCAATATTTGTCTTCCTGTAACTGGCTTATTTCACTCAGCATAAGCGAAACTAAAAAGCTTTTGCATAGCAAAGAAAACAATAAACAGAATGAAAAGATAACCTGCAGAATGGAAGAAAATATTTGCAAACCATATATTTGATAAGGGGTTAATTTCAAAAATGTATAAGGAACTCATACAACTCAAGAGCAAAACAACCAACCAAACAAACAAGCTGATTAAAAAATGGGCAAAGGACTTGAACAGATATGTCTTGGAAAAAGATGTTATAGACTAAATGTTTGTGTTCCCTCCTAATCATATGTTAAATCCTAAGCCCCAATATTATAGGATTAGAAGGTGGGCCCTTTGGAAGGAATTAGGTCTAGAGTCTATCTAGATAAACACTCCAATTAATTGCCCATATGGGAACACAAATTGGTTTCTGATGGTGTAAAGTTATTAAGGAAAAATAATAACAATAAATGGATAAACAGGATCAATTTCTTCTTACCATGGAGGGAGGATATGTATCCTCAACAGAAGACTGTGCCATTTAAAGGCCATATTAGTATTCATCAGAGTTGATAGGACCCTTTCCTGTAAGATTTCAGCAATGTCATCCATCGAGGAACTTTGGGTGGAGCCAGTCTTTGCACCATGGCACTATCTAGGTCATGGCTGTAAGTCTACAAGTGAAAAAACCATGGTCAATATTAATGATATTGCAATTAGTATCAGCAATACCACTGAAGGAAACGTTGACAGTTAAAATAATTTAGGAGGCTGGGCACAGTGGCTCACGCCTGTAATCCCAGCACTTTGGGAGGCCAAGGTCAAGAGATAGAGACCATCCTAGCCAACATGGTGAAACCCCATCTCCACTAAAAATACAAAAATTAGCTGGGCATGGTCGTGTGCACCTGTAGTCCCAGCTACTCGGGAGGCTGAGGCAGGAGAATAGCCTGAACCCAGGAGGCAGAGGTTGCAGTTAGTCAAGATCACGGCACTGCACTCCAGCCTGGCAACAGAGCCAGACTCTGTCTCAAAAAAAAAAAAAAGAAAAAAAGAAAAAAAAAAGAATTTAGTGTTTAAATCCTGTTCTGGAGAGAAAATAAACCCATGCCTATGTATTTTGCCTCAGTGGCAGAACCAGTTGCTTTTAGAACTGATTCTTGTTATGCTTTTTTGTTTTTCATAGCTTTAGAACTTGTAATAGCAATAAAGATTCCTCACTTCTGGAAAAACTCAAAAATTTCTAATAATCCTTATATTATCTTCTGCTGTGGTTATTATAAAGTATTTTCCTCTGGTTAATAATATAGCTATGGCTTAGATTATTTTTTACTAGCTGGTACCTTTTTTCTTATTCTAACAGTTGACTAGACATCTCTTTAAGGTCAAATCCAAAATTGTGAACTATGGACACTGACAGGGTTTTGTTTGCACCCAAATCATCTTTAGCATCTCTAGATGGATACTTAATAGTACCAAGTTTTACACCTTTATCTTGCTGGTGTAACCCCTTGAATGACCACATGACCAACACAGGGATGCTAGCAATAGTTAGTGTGGTTCTTATGCTTCATTTTTCTCAGAATTGCTGTATGATACTGAGAGTTGCTTTGTTTGACAGGCACACAGGGTAGGAAGAGATGTCATGACAAAAGGATTAGCTAATTCTTTTGCACACACATAAGTTGATTTTATTTAGGTAAAATGTTGTTAACATAAATAAGTACTAGTAAGTTTACTTTTTCAAGATAATAAATTGTCTGCAAGGATGAGCTATTAGAAAAATAACTGGTAAAAGATTTTATTATTTATTTTAAATAAAATAAGCAACAAACCAGGCACACACTTCACAGGACAGATTGCAAAGAGGTTGGTACAGCTCAACAGGTTCATCAATGTCTTCACTGTCCACACTGCAGTCACTGGGGAGTGGGCTAGTGGAGCACCAAAATGAAATTTTGAAAAATAACCTGGCCTATTTTGGACTGGATAGATAGTTGGATACTTACCACAGCACAATTAACATAAGAGCTAGAAAGATAAATCAAAAGAAAATTCTTTGTACTTACAATATTAGTAGAAAGGCCTATGGGAATTCTAGTTGTTTTCTCTATATGCAATGGCAAGCATTCTGTTATAAAACAGCTAAGTTGAGCCAAAGAATGACATTTGGAAGTTAAAGAAGTCCTGTCAACTGACCTAGATAGTGTCATGGTGTAATGATTGGCGCTACCAAAGTTTCTTAATGGAGGACATTGCTGAGATTTTACTGGAAAGGGTCCTATCAAGTGTGATGAATACTAATAAGGCCTCTAAATGGCACAGTTTTCTGTTCAGGATACATATCTTCCATGCTGAGAAGAAACTGGTTCTGTTTATCCATTTATTGTTATTGTCATTTTTTCTTTAGATATAAGGATTAGTAATCTGCTTTTTACTTTAAATTCCAGATAGCAGTGGTTGCTTTCTGAAAACTCCTGAGAACATTTTGTGACTGCTTGGACAAGTGACAGACATTCTATGATAACCAGGGCTTGCTGATAGCCAAAAAAGCCTATTTTTCCAAAATGTGTTGCAAGCTTTCAGCCTTACTGCAAGTGAGCCCCATTCTGTGACAATCGGTAGGACTCAAGACATTCTGTAATCCTACCAATGTCAACCTGCCTGTTGTTCAGCAAAAGTCTGTGCTTCTGATTTTACCTGTTTAGTCCTGAGAATGCTGGGATTTATTTCCTGTAAAACCAAGCCTATGGTTTCATTCATCAAGACCAGAGACCATGCAACTTCCGTACGGAAAACCACTTTCTTCCAGAAACCAATTTAATTGCCATTTCCTCAGGAAATAAGCTCTCGTATTTGACACCTCTCACACACAGCAGAGTTGAGAGGATTCTTCTCTTGTTTTCAGTGCAAAAGTTCAGCCTAGAGATCACCTGTACGATTGATGGTTTGGTGACAGTTGCTACATTGTTTAGCCTGAACTATGCTTATATTGAATATTGAAGGAAAGTGTGAGATATATAATTTAAAGAAGCATATCTGTTATAGTTTAAGTGTGTCGCCTTTAAAATTCAGGTAGGACTCCTCACTGATGAATGGGATTAAGGCCCTTGTAAAAAACGCTTCACACAGTTTTTAGCCTCTTGTCTTTCCACCTTCTACCATGTGAGAACACAGTATTCATCCCCTCTGTAGGATGCAAGGTGCCATCTTGGAAGTGGAGAGCATGCCCTTTGCCAGACATTGAACCTGCTGGTGCCTTAATCTTGGACTTCTCAGCCTCCATGTATTCTTTATAAATTACCCAGTCTACCGTATTTTATCACAGCACAAATAAACTAAGACAACATCTTTGTTACTCATAAATGTATAAAACATACAGAATTTAGTTCATTGCCATTGGCCATTTTTTAAATATAAATTTGTATGATTTATGAATAGCGTGTCAAATTTATATAAACAAATTTTGAAAATTTCTCTTTAACTATATTTTAGTACATTCTTGATGTAGAATTACTTATTTTTGCCTCTGCATTTATCCTGTAATAATAAGGTGAACCTTAGCTTCCTTTCCTAGATTACCACACCACAATTAGTTAATTAGTAAATTACGATTTCCTATTATCAAATGAAATGTGATATTCTCCTGGTTGCAATTGCACAATTGTCAATAGTACTGAATTATCACTGTAGTGTAGGAACACAGTTTGTTCTCAAATCCAGGGACTTCTACCCAACCTCTCCAAGAAATCTTCAACTTTCCACATTAACAGAAATATATTTTTCCAAAGTAAACGAGACACTATTTTTATTCTATTCTGAAATGATCAAACTTGCACTACTTCGTGCTGAGAAATTAGAAATGATGATTGAGAGTAATAAACCGGAGTTAGGAATGTTGAGGCTGTTGTTATCTTTAATAAGAAGGAGATTTGTGCAGGAGCTATGGGTGTCCTTATGTAACATAAACGCAAACTGTGTCATTTCCAGAGGAGAGTAACCATGATGATGAGGGGAATCTTTTGAAGGAACTAGCATTGCTACACAGTATCTACCCCAAAGTCTATAAAATGTTGCCATTCACTAAAAGAAGTAGTCTTACTGATTTGCACAGCCATGAATTAAAGGGATAAAAATAATTTTAGTATAAGGGACATAATTCTCTTTAGAAATTGAATGTGAGGTAGTATAATACAACAGTAGAGCCTGAGGGGTTTGGAATCACATATATAATACCTTGGTTCAATAGAGTTGACAGAAAAACTCTGCTTTAAAATAATTAATATTTTATGTGAAGAGTGTTCAATCCCTCATTCCTGGCTCCCATTATGATCTCCTCATTTGTTTGAGGCTATGGCCCTTTACTATTCCACTTCTCTTGTTTTATCATAAAGGGAGATATAAGAAGACTTTGCTGGCCGGATGCACTGGCTCATGCCTGTAATCCCAGCACTTTGGGAGGCCGAGTTACAATTCTGAGAATTGCTACAATTCTGAGTACAAAGCAAAATGCTCAAAAATTGCTGAAGAAATTTTAGTCATTTTTATTGCAGCATGGTGAGTATCCCAACCCTAGAAACACTAAGGCACACAAGGAAGGAGTGTGTATCAGAACTGTGGTAGGGTGTGAATTAATGCAGAACTTTATCTGTATAGTTGTACTTTGAAGTCCATTCTGAATCTTAGATGCTACATTTATATAAATATAAAGCATAATAAGTATCTAAATGTAGAATTATATGTTTAAAATTATATGATTACATTAACTGATGTAATTCATAGATTTTCCCTAGGGTTCTGTTTCCTGAACATTCTGTAACGTATTAGTTAGCAAAGTCTTTTTTTTTTTTGAAACTGAGTCTCACTCTATCGACCAGACTGGAGTGCAGTGGCATGCTCCCGACTCACTGCAACCTCTGCCTCCTGGAATCAAGCAATTCTCGTGCTTCAGCCTCCTGAGTAGCTGGGATTACAGGCATGCACCACCACACCCAGCTGATTTTTGTATTTTTTCTGTTAGTAGAGACAAGGTTTCACCATGTGGGCCAGGCTGGTTTCAAACTCCTGACCTCAAGTGGTCCACCCACCTCGGCCTCCCAAAGTGCTGGGATTACAGGCATGACCCACTGTGTCCTGCCAGCAAAGTCTTCTTATATATTCCCTTATGATAAAACAAGAGAAGTGGAACAGTAAAGGGCCATAGCCTCAATCAAATGAGGAAATCCTAATGGGAACCAGGAATGAGGGATTGAACACTCTTCACATAAAATATTAATTATTTTAAAACTATTGGGGGAAATTCAGCCAGATATCAGGCAAAATTCACCCCCGATATTTCACGTAGTTTCTTTTCTATATTCCCTAAGTGTCGGCCGGTCTGAGAAATAAAGGGACAGAGTACCAAAGAGAGAAATTTTAAAGCTGGGTGTCCCCAGGAGACGTCACATGTTGGCAGGTTCTGTGATGCCCCACAAGCCACAAAACCAGCAAGTTTTTATTAGTGATTTTCAAAAGGGGAGGGGGAGTGTATGAATAGGGTGTGGGTCACAGAGATCACATGCTTCACAAGGTAATAGAATATCACAAGGCAAATGGAGGCAGGGCGAGATCACAGGACCACAGGACCGGGGCGAAATTAAAATTGCTAATGAAGTTTCGGGCACCATTGTCATTGATAACATCTTATCAGGAGACAGGGTTTGAGAGCAGACAACCGGTCTGATCAAAAATTTATTAGGCGGGAATTTCCTCATCCTAATAAGCCTGGGAGCGCTATGGGAGACTGGGGTTTATTTCATCCCTAAGCTTGACCACAGAAGACGGCCACCCCCTGAAGCAGCCATTTCAGAGGCCTAACCTCAGGGAAGTATTCTCTTTCTCAGGGATGTTCCTTGCTGAGAAAAAGAATTCAGCGATATTTCTCCCATTTGCTTTTGAAAGAAGAGAAATATGGCTCTGTTCCACGTGGCTCACCAGTGGTCAGAGTTTAAGGTTATCTCTCTTGTTCCCTGAACATTGCTGTTATCCTGTTCTTTTTTCAAGGTGCCCAGATTTCATATTGTTCAAACACACATGCTCTACAAACAATTTGTGCAGTTAACACAATCATCACAGGGTCCTGAGGTGACATACATCCTCCTCAGATTACAAAGATGACAGGATTAAGAGATTAAAGTAAAGACAGGGATAGGAAATCACAAGGGTATTGATTGGGGAAGTGAAGTGTCCATGAAATCTTCACAATTTATGTTGAGAGATTGCAGTAAAGACAGGTGTAAGAAATTATAAAAGTATTAATTTGGGGAACTAATAAACGTCCATGAAATCTTCACAATCTATGTTCTTCTGCCATGGCTTCAGGCGGTCCCTCCATTCGGGGTCCCTGACTTCCCGCAACAAAAACAGAGTTGTTCTGTCAACAGCTGACTTTGAGTCCTTGATCGGTCTCTCAGACCCCTGAATACTTGGATTGCACAGTTGACCTTATCACATTGTTAGGGTAAGTGCATACAAAGGCAACTTCAGACCCTCCATTGCACATAGGTGGCCCCTGCAAGCCGCTTGCCTGTGTGTGTTCTGGAGCTGCCACTAAACTTGGGGACAGCATCAGGAGATACACTTGAAAAAACCCTTTTTACTCAGATTAAATTATTAACAAACTTTCCATTTCCTTTAACTTACTAAAGAATCTCTACCTGTAAATAGGTACAGATTAAACTCGCTAGTCAACAGCTATCATTCTGTCATATCAACAGATACTCGTGGCTGCTGCTCCTTGAGGCATCCACAGAATCACAGCATTTTCCAGTATTGAAAGACCTGAAAGATCACGGTGCCTTCATTTTAACTGTGAGACATGAAGTAATTTTCCCAAGTCTACAACAGTAAGATATGGTGCAATAAGGACCAGATTAAAAGTCTCCTGATTTGCAACCATGTTCCCTCCATCTCCTTTACTCCTAAGCACACTCACACACTCACTCCTGCAAACAATTCTCTTGTCAAGTGGGAAATGAATGCTCTTACAAGGCTCAAATTTGTGAACACATCACTGACCAGCACAGAGCTGGCTAACAATAGGGACACAATTAAGGTGTTTTACACGCAACTGGTTCAAACCTTTCAAGTACTAAATTAAAACAATCCTTTAAAGAAGGAAATTGTTTCAGAAAAGGACCTTCATACAGCATCTCTGACCAGCGACTGATGATGCTATTGTACTCAGATGCTGATTCGTTCTCCAACACTAGATTACCCAATCCACGAGCAAGGAAATCAGTAACTTCTTCCCTATAATTTGGAATGTGGGTGGAGAGGGGTCATAGTTCTCCCTGAGTGAGACTCACCTGCTCCTCTGGCCCCTGGTCCTGTCCTGTTCTCCAGCATGGTGTGTCTGAAGTTCCCTGGAGGCTCCTGCATGGCAGCTCTGACAGTGACACTGATGGTGCTGAGCTCCCCACTGGCTTTGGCTGGGGACACCCGACGTAAGTGCACATTGTGGGTGCTGACCTACTATGGGGTGGGGAAAAAAGGGAGTTGTGTTAACATTGTGCCCAGGCCATGTCCCTTAAGAAAGTGTGACATTTTCTTCAGGGATTGCCCATCTTTATCATATGGATCCCAAATTATTTCCACCACAAATGGAACTTGGCTACTTGCCCTATTCATGAGACTGTGTAAAGGGCCTTTGTACAGGCCATGTTTTACTTTAAATCTCTACCAATAAAACCTTTGCATCACATGTCCTCAGGGTCTTTAGAGGATTTAGAAATAAGGATGCTAAAATAAATTCCTCATACAGCACTTCCCTTTATCATGTTGACTTATGTCAGACGAAACAAGGTTTTGTTTTGAAAATTTTGTGGGAGTCAAAGGAATTCAAAGGGTCTCTCCTAGACGATCCTGTGTTGTCCTCCACAGGACCTGTGGTGTTGGCCCCTCTTCCTCATATGTGAGGATGTACCCAGTGGCCTCCCCATTGTTTCCTTTCTTTTTTTTCTGAACTCCAGTGTTTATAAAGCCTGTATCCCTGTAGCATATGTAGGTTCTCTGACAGAAGTTATACTTAGTGCTCTTTCTTTCTTATGGGGAAAAATCCCTGGATCTGAAACTGACATCTTTAGTACTTGGAGTCACCCTACAGGTAAAGACCATTTATGAGGTATTCATTGGTGCCTCCTCTTGATCGGTCTCTCAGACCCCTGAATACTTGGATACTCCTCAAGAACTTAAGGCATCCTCTGAAAAACTGGCCCAGATTAGTGCTTATTATTAATCTTTTATAACCTTTCTATACTTGTTTCTCCTGCATGCTCTAACTAGACATGACAGAAGAGATTCAACTAACATAGGATAAATTATATGAAATTCTATTTTTGTAAGTCAAAAATAGTCAAATACCAGAAAATTAATAATGTTCAAACTATATACTCTGTGTGGGGTTACCGAGACGACATGGACATTGTTCACATCTAATAGGGCTGAAAGTCAATGAAGAAGTCCTGGAAACTCCTTGTCTTACTGGGGTCTTGTCCTAAATTTCATAGGTTCACCCATCATGCCCTCAGCTTTCCTTAATTAGCCATGTCTGCTTATCTCTACCTCCAGTTTCTCTCTATTTTTCCCCAGCTATGTTGTCATCATTTCCAGAAATCTCTAAAACTTGCAAAGATCCTTAGCACTATGAGATCCATTGAAAGAGATAATTTTTTTCTTTTTGAGACAGGGCTTGGTTCTGTCACCCAGGCTGTAGTGCAGTGGTGTGATCTAGGCTCACTGCAACCTCTGCTTCCCACGCTCAAGTGATCCTCCCTCCTCAGCCTCCAGAGTAGCGGAGACTACAGGCAGGCAAACATGTGCAGCTAATTTTCATGATTTTGTTAGAGATGAGATTTTGCCATGTTGCCCAGGCTGTTCTTAAACTCCTGGACTCAAGCAATCCTCCTGCCTTAGCCTCCCAATATGCTAGGATTATAGATGTGAGCCATTGTGCCCAGGCAAAAAGAGATGAACCTTAATTTAAAAATTTCCTTTTTCTTAAATCACTGTTTCTCTATCTGTGAATTCTTCTTCCAACTAGAAGGAGGAGAAAGAAGAAGTTTGCCTGTATTTCTCACCAGGAGGAGGAGTCTAGTGTGATATCAAAATGAAAGAGTGCTGGAGCTTGATCCCCTTCTTGCTTTCCAGGATCCCTGCAGTGATCAGTTCCCACACCCTGGTTTATTCATGTAAAGCACACTTATTTTTTTCAGCAGCTACTCTTTACTGGGCTCCATTCTAAGTTCAAATCATTCTATTTGAGTAAGATAGAGAGGGTCCCGACTCTCATGGAAGTTACACAAGAGTAGAGGAGACAGACACTAACCCAATAAGCATTTAACAAAGAAGAAAATGTTAGAGAGACATAGTGCACTGAAGAAAAGACATCAGGTTTGTGAAAAAGAGAGACATGGATTCACTTACTTTGGTTCATATGCTTAGGCAGCTATAACTGAGAAAGTGACATTCAGCTGAGACAACAAAATAAATAGACAGTCGTGAAGATCTAAAGGACGAAAGTTCCAGGGAGAATGAATGGGGGGGAAGCTCTGGTGTGGGAAATTATGTGGAAGGACAGAAAGAAGGCTAGAGGGACTGAACTATAGCAAGCAAGGAAATGGAGAGGCAGAAGATGAGGTAGGACACAGAGAGGAAGTCAGGAGCCTCATCATATTAGACTCTGATGGCCATGGTAAAAAAATTGAATTTTATTTTATTTTTATTTATTTTTTGAGACGGAGATTTGTTCTTGTTGCCCAGGCTGGAGTGCAATGGCGCGATCTCGACTCACTGCAACCTCTGCCTCCTGGGTTCAAGTGATTCTCCTGCCTCAGCTTCCCAAGTAGCTGGGATTACAGGTGCCTGCGACCATACTCGGCTTATTTTTTTGTATTTTTAGTAGAGACAGGGTATCACCATGTTGGCCAGGCTGGTCTCAAACTCCTGACCTCAGATAATCTGCCTGGCTTCCCAAAGTGCTGAGATTACAGGCGTGAGCCACCATGCCCAACCTGAATTTTATTTGAATAGATATGAGAAGCTACTGTATGGTTACAAGGACAGTCAATTTATATTCGATTTTTTTTTTTTGAGACAGAGTCTTGCTCTGTTGCCCAGGCTAGATTGCAGTGGTACAATCTCAGCTCACTGCAACCTCTGCCTCCTGGGTTCCAGCAATTCTCCTGCCTCAGCCTCCCAAGTAGCTGAGACCACAGGTACATGCCACTACACCTGGCTAATTTTTTGTATTTTTAGTAGAGATGGGGTTTCACCGTGTTAGCCAGGATGGTCTTGATCTCCTGACCTCGTGATCCACTCCCCTCGGCCTCCCAAAGTGCTGGGATTACAGGTGTGAGCCACCACGCCCGGCCTATATTCAATTATTAAAATTAATTCTAGCTACTCTGTGGGGATTGGATTGTTGGGTTTCACAAGTGGTCAGGAAGACTATTTAGGATCACAGCAGGGAATTCTCCAGGGAAAACAGGCTTGTGGCTTCATAGAGTGCATTAGTGATAAAGACAGTGAAAACGACAAAGTGGACAGACTAGGCATGTATTTTTGCTTAGCTTGTTAATGGATTACTCTAAAGGGGGTAGAAAAATCAAGCTTATTCCTAAGGATTTTGTTTTGACAAATAAGTGGATGGTGGTGTTTATTGAGATAGGAAAAACTGTGGGAGGAAATGATTTGAAGTGGGTGGTTGGAAATAAAAGTTTTGTTTAAATTTGAGATGATTTATTGACATTTATGTGGAGCAATCCGAAGGTCAATGGCATTTAAGAGACTCATGGTGAGGTGAGGCCAGGGCTTCAGGTATTTATGTTGGCGGCATCAGTACGTGTAATGTGTTAAATTCCAGGGAGTGGAAGAGGATACATAGGGAGATGGATTGTGTGGAGAAAAAAGAAGAGGGTACAGGCCAGCAAAGGGGGCTGAGACAGAGCCCAGGGATGCTGGAGAAAACCCAAGAGAACATAATGGGTGTAAGTCATGGAAAATAGATTATTTTCAAGGAGAAGGGAGAGGTCAATTGTGGTGAGTACCACTAAGAGGAGGGGGAAGTGAGAACGTGACAGAGAAGCAAGTGCTGGGTTTGCTGGAGTTGATATTTGCAGTCAATGGAGTATCCAGGGAGGAAACTGGATTGGACCATTTGAAGAGCAAGTAGAAGTGAGGACGAGGTTAAGGGTGACTATTTTAAGTAGAGAGCTTCAGGGAAGGACTGTGCTCTGGGTTCAGGGAGCCTGCTGGATCTAAAGGAAAAGGGCTGAAGAGGCTGAAGAGAAGGAGGAGGACCTGTGAACCAGAGATACTGAGTTATTATTAGCAAGGAAATACTAGAGGGTCCCTGTGTGCAGTGCTGACTGCTCATGCAAAAGGTCACACAGACAATATTTCACACAGCCAGTATTTATTAGTGACATAGAATATGCCAGTTATTACTCTAGGTCATGAGAATAGAGTGATAAATAAAATGAATCTGGTCGCCATCGGTATATGCCATGTAACATTTTGCAGTGACTGTGTACCAGGCCTATGAATTTCAGTATGCAATTTCAATAACGATCCTGTTGTATCTGTGGTGTTTAAAAACATATACATCTCTGGAATCTAAAATTGAGAGGATATAAGTAAAACCCAGTATTAGAAATTTAGTGCTGGAAATCAGACTGCAGTTTAAATCTGAGCATATAGAAAGTCCCTTTCTTCTATGTCAGCAGATGCCTTTTGTGTGAGGTTTAGGTATACTACATTATTAGACATAAACCAGTGATTCTGCCCTATGTTTTCAGAATGACAATTCTTTATGAAACTAATAGAAGAACAGAAGACAATTGCAAAATCATGATGAAGATGCTAGTGGCTTTAGAACCAAGGAATACAAAAAATAATGTGAGCTGCAGTTATAGGGATTATAAAAGTTAAAATGGGAATGCATTTGAGTGTTTATTATGTGATCAGTGCTAATAAGAGTCATCATTTAATTTTACACTTAACAATAATCCTGTGAGGATTAAGCTATTATTAAATGCATTTGATAGATTACAAAAAGGCTTACCGTTGGTAAAAATTGACCCAAGGGGAAGAGGTCACATTTTTATTCAGATTTTCTGATTCTAGAGTTTGAGAGTCTGTCCATCATTAGTGAGTAGTGACAATACTGTGTCTAAATTATCGACAGAATTTCTGATATTCATATGTACTATGTTGTTTCTTAGAGTGTGGGCAGAGATTCAGGGCTGCTAGTTCCAATGTATAGGAGAAACTTTCATTCATTGTGCATTTATCATTTTAAAAGTTCTAGGCTGGGTGCGGTGGCTCATGCCTGTAATCCCAGCACTTTGGGAGGCCAAGGCGGGCAGATCACGAGGTCAGGAGATGAAGACCATCCTGGCTAACATGGTGAAACCTCGTCTCTACTAAAAATACAAAAAATTAGCTGGGCGTGGTGGTGTGCACCTGTAGTCCCAGCTACTTGGGAGGCTGAGGCAGGAGAATGGCATGAACCTGGGAGGCGGAGCTTGCAGTGAGCTGAGATCGTGCCACTGCACTCCAGCTCCACCCTGGGCAAAAGAGCGAAACTCCGTCTCAAAAAAAAAAAAAAGTTCTATGTCTGTCATGGCATATGTTGAAGAACACAAGGAAGTATTAAATCACTCCTTCTGAGGTTTGTCTAGCAAGTTGGGCTAGGATTGCCAAATAAAATACAGGTTTCTAGTTAAATCTGAATTTCAGATACACAACTATAATTTACTGAAAATCCAAATGTAACTTGGCATCCTCTGATTTTATTTGCCAAATCTGTCAACCCTACATGAGACACATGAGCATGGATTACGGTGTTACCCATGGAAGCCACAGCCACAGTGACAGCGACTTCACACATGTTTATTTTTTAACTTTCTCTCTGTAAAGAAAGTGCTTAGATAATTTAGGGATAAAAAGATAGACATTGTTTGATCCAGGATGCACTCCTCTCTGCCATCGTTTCTAAAGGGCAAAGAGAGATTTCCACAGGTCTTACTCACAGTCTGACTCACAGTCTGGGGACCTGCTCATGCTTTGAAACTGTCTGTATGAGAATGTCATTTTCTTGGTTTCTCCCTTTCTGAGGGGACTTGACTACAAAACTGAGAGTTCTACCTCTGGCCAAGGCTGGAAATTTGATGCCTGCTAGTATTGTTGGGAATGGGAGACTGAAATAAATGAGTTAGTTGGGGCATTAAACAGGAATAAAATAGCTGTGGTTGTGATTCATTACTACAATTAGTGGACTAGTGGCAGAGAAATTAAGAAAGAAGATGATGTGAGAGATAAATTATATGATTTGGTAAGGCAAGGGAATCAGTAAATCTTGGTTCTGAACAAGTTCATTTTCTGGAAAGATAGCACTGTACTGGGACCAGAATTCTACAAAACATCCGTTTTATGTAAGACCAAGATTTTCAACAAATATTTTTCAATGCAGTTCTCAGCTGCTCCATAACTAATAGTGACTTATTCAACACAGATATTTTCAGATGGTTCACACCCATGTTTCTTACCCAGGGACAGTTCACCACCCCTCCCCTTCCCTCCCATCACTCTTGAGGAACATGTGGCAATGTTAGAATAATTTTTGGTTGTCACAACAGGGGTTTCTTCTGATATTTAATGAGCAGAAGCCAGGGACACTGCTAGAGAACCCACAATGTTCAGAATAGACTCCATCACCAACCAAGATTTATCTCGTCCAAAATGTCAATAGTGCTGAGGCTGGAAGCATTGGTTCACACTGTGCTCTTTCTGAAAAATGTAGACTCGCTTTTTTTTTTTTTTTTTTTGAGATGGGGTCTTGCTCTGTCGCCCAGACTGGAGTGCAGTGGCTCCATCTCAGCTCACTACAACCTCTGCCTCCCAGGTTCAAGCGATTCTCCTGTCTCAGCCTCCCCAGTAGCTGGGATTACAGGTGCACCCTGCCATGCCCGGCTAATTTTTTGTATTTTAGTAGAGATGGGGTTTCACCATGTTGCCCAGGCTGGTCTCGAACTCCTGAGCTCAGGCAATCCACCCGCTTTGGTCTCCCAAAGTGCTAGGATTACACGCATGAGCCACCGCGCCCGGCCTAGACTCACATCTTTTATACACTTACTGCCCAATTCAGTTCTTTATGGTTTATTTTTGCTTGTTTCATTATAAAAAACTAGACAGTTGCATAAATTCAACCACTTACTTGTTGAATCCATTTAGTCAATGCAAGCTCAACATTTTCATATTTATTTTTTGCCTTATGCAATATTGTTCAACATTTTCATAAGTTGTTGGTCAGCACTATCTCTATTAACTTTCAACAGTTTGCCCTTCTAAGTCACAAATAGTGATGCTGCTGCAATTATTTTTCACTAACATGCCTCAGATTTCTGTAGTGATTCTACATTTGATATTATTCACAATGTAAAATGCTTCTATTTATTCATTTCACTTTTACCCACAGGATTATTTTTAAGTTATTTTTGTCATTTTCACACTTCAACCAAACATAAAGACAAAAACATCAAAAATATGTACATAGTGTTATACATAGGTGTATATTTACACACATATATGCACATATGTTTATATGTATTGAAACTACAGAAGCACATGTCACCAATAAGAGCTCTGAGACACCTTTGACCACTTACCCTTATCAGATGAGATTTGCCAAATGAGTTTTGGGAACAAATTTCTTTTAACTGAATTTCTGAGCTTTGTGGATTTAGAAATGCAACTGAAAGTTTGTGGACATTTACGAGGATCATAGTTTTATTCTCCTTAAAACTCTTCAATACTTTCCCATTGTCTTTAGTAAATCCAAAATCCTAACACCACTCACGAGGCTTTTCAACACCTGACTTCTTGTGATTTCTCCAATCTAACCTTTTACCCTCCTTCCCCTCAGCCTCTCTGCTTTAGTGAACTTTGTTCTAGTTTTTTGAAGTTCATCATCAATTCAAGCTTTTGTACATGGGATTTCCTAAACCTGAAATGTGCCTCCGGTTTTGTCCAAACAGACACACAGGCTCCACTCTGCCCCCTGGCTCACACCTGCTTAACTTGTTAAGTCACATCTGTAACTGTCACTCTTCTCTGGCACCCTAAAGGAATTGAGATCATCCTATTATTCTCTGTTCTAGAACTCCACACTTCTGAAATTTCTCATTCCTGTCTAAGCTCTTGTGTGTTTGGTTTTTGGCCATCACTTTCACTGCTCTTAAAGCTCCCCCAGCGGAGTGGAGAGGTCTGTTTTCCCGTGTTTGGATTCCTAGAGGCAGCGCAGGCCTGGCACAAGGTCATCACTAAGGAAGTGTTCACAGGATGAAAGCGGTGCGTGCTGTTTAAGGAAAGGGTAAAGCCTTTAAATGGTAAAGGGTTGAGAGAAGGAGCAAAGTGCCTTTGGGGTGGAGGCTCCCAGGAGGAGGCGGCGCGGGCTGCGGTGCTGGACGGATCCTCCTCCAGCTCCTGCCTGGAGGTCTCCAGAACAGGCTGGAGGCAGGGAGGGGGTCCCAAAAGCCTTGGGATCAGAGGTAGTTTTTCCACCTGGTCCCCCAGACCCCCGTCCGCCTCAGAAAGACAGAGGATGAGCCCCTGGGCTGCGTGTTGTCGGGGTTGCGGGTGGGGCCAGATAGTGTCTTCCCCGGAGGCCGCTTCTGTAACCGGATCGTTCTTGTCCCCCCAGCACGTTTCTTGGAGCAGGTTAAACATGAGTGTCATTTCTTCAACGGGACGGAGCGGGTGCGGTTCCTGGACAGATACTTCTATCACCAAGAGGAGTACGTGCGCTTCGACAGCGACGTGGGGGAGTACCGGGCGGTGACGGAGCTGGGGCGGCCTGATGCCGAGTACTGGAACAGCCAGAAGGACCTCCTGGAGCAGAGGCGGGCCGAGGTGGACACCTACTGCAGACACAACTACGGGGTTGTGGAGAGCTTCACAGTGCAGCGGCGAGGTGAGCGCGGCGCGGGGCGGGGCCTGAGTCCCTGTGAGCGGAGAATCTGAGTGTGTGTGTGTGTGTGTGTGTGTGTGTGTGTGTGTGTGTGTGTGTGTGAGAGAGAGAGAGAGAGAGAGAGAGAGAGAGAGAGAGCGCCATCTGTGAGCATTTAGAATCCTCTCTATCCTGAGCAAGGAGTTCTGCGGGCACAGGTGTGTGTGTAGAGTGTGGATTTGTCCGTGTCTGTGAGGCTGTTGTGGGAGGGGAGGCAGGAGGGGGCTGCTTCTTATTCTTGGAGACTTCTGTGGGGAGGTGACAAGGGAGGTGGGTGCTGGGGGCTGGAGAGAGAGGCGACCTTGATTGTCTCGGGTCCTTAGAGATGCAAGGAAGGGAAATGTATGGGGTGTGTGGTTGGGGTGAAGGTTTAGGGGAGGAGAGCTGAGGGGTAAGGAAGGTTTGGGATAATGTGAAGAGGCCAGTTTCAGACTGTCCCTGGCACACACCCTTCATGTAATCTCTGAAATAAAAGTGTGTGCTGTTTATTTGTAAAAGCATTAGATTAACTTCTAGGGGAATTGAGTAGACCTCTGAGGCACCTCTGAAGCTTCTTTAGGTATAAATTTCTTGCTAGTTTTTTGTTTTCTTAGTGTTATATTTTTACATAGTTGAAATGACTGTGAAACTAACTTTTTGAATTAAAGTTTGAGAACACTGTTACTATTTTATTATAATGCTAATAATTTCATAGTTACTTTTTAAATATATAATAGTTGTGACACAAATTACCTCACTTTCTTTGTTTTTTTTTTTCTTACACTTTAAGTTTTAGGGTACATGTGCACAACGTGCAGGTTTGTTACATATGTATACATGTGCCATGTTGGTGTGCTGCACCCATTAACTCGTCATTTAACATTAGGTATATCTCCTAATGCTATCCCTCCCCACCCCCCCACCCCACAACAGGCCCCAGTGTGTGATGTTCCCCTTCCTGTGTCCATGTGTTCTCACTGTTCAATTCCCACCTATGAGTGAGAACATGCGGTGTTCGGTTTTTTGTCCTTGCCATAGTTTGCTGAGAATGATGGTTTCCAGCTTCATCCATGTCCCTACAAAGGACATGAACTCATTCTTTTTTGTGGCTGCATAGTATTCCATAGTGTATATGTGCCACATTTTCTTAATCCAGTCTATCATTGTTGGACATTTGGGTTGGTTCCAAGTCTTTGCTATTGTGAATAGTGCCGCAATAAACATACATGTGCATATGTCTTTATAGCAGCATGATTTATAATCCTTGGGTTATATACCCAGTAATGGGATGGCTGGGTCAAATGGTATTTCTAGTTCTAGATCCCTGAGGAATCGCCACACTGACTTCCACAATGGTTGAACTAGTTTAGAGTCCCACCAACAGGGTAAAAGTGTTCCTATTTCTCCACATCCTCTCCAGCACCTGTTGCTTCCTGACTTTTTAATGATCGCCATTCTAACTGGTGTGAGATGGTATCTCATTGTGGTTTTGATTTGCAATTCTCTGATGGCCAGTGATGATGAGCATTTTTTCATGTGTCTTTTGGCTGCATAAATGTCTTCTTTTGAGAAGTGTCTGTTCATGTCCTTTGCCCACTTTTTGATGGGGTATTTTGTTTTTTTCTTGTAAATTTGTTTGAGTTCATTGCAGATTCTGGATATTAGCCCTTTGTCATATGAGTAGATTGCAAAAATTTTCTCCCATTCTGTAGGTTGCCTCTTCACTCTGATGGTAGTTTCTTTTGCTGTGCAGAAGCTCTTTAGTTTAATTAGATCCCATTTGTCCATTTTGGCTTTTGTTGCCATTGCTTTTGGTGTTTTAGACATGAAGTTCTTGCCCATGCCTATGTCCTGAATGGTATTGCCTAGGTTTTCTTCTAGGGTTTTTATGGTTTCAGGTCTAACATTTAAGTCTTTAATCCATCTTGAATTAATTTTTGTATAAGCAAATTACGTCACTTTCCCCATTGATGACCTTTATTATGACATTCACCAATAGTTGAAAATGTATGTTTCTGGTTAATTTTTGATTTATATTTTTTTGATTTGTAATTATTTTGAATTATTTTGACCTATTTATTGGCCAGTTGTAATTACTGCTCTGCTCTACGAATTACCTGTTGTATTTGGTAGGTAATGGACAATGATCTATTGTCTCTTATCTTTAGGGCTTAGTATTTTTCTCAGTGACTTTGTGGGTTTGTTGTACTGTAAGATTATTAACACTTTATTGATATTTGATTCAGTATTTTCTCCAGTTTGTGGTATGTATATTTTGAAAATTCTTTTCCATGTTAAGAATTTGAACATTTTTATTTAATAAAATATATTGCAAAATGTTAATTAATGATTCACAAACTAGCTCAAGTCTACCATTTTGTGGTATTGATGTCTCCAGGTTTCTCCTTCCTTCTTAAAAAAAAATGTATTTATTGAGAGTATGCTAGTGTCAGGGATTTCCCTAGGCATAAGCACTCCAAGTAATGAGTCCCAGACACTGCCTTGATCCAAATGTCATTCTGGAAAGAAAAATCATTTTACAGTGATAAGCCTAATAATAGTTATACTTGTTTTGCCTGGGAGATGCATTGATCAGCTAAATGTAAATATAAGAACTTTCAAAACTAAAATGACGTTCCTTAATCTTTCTCTCTGCTTTAGGAATCATGCTTTCTTAGGAACTTAAAGATTTGGAGAATCATTTCTGTCTGTCCCACCTTCCCAGGAGCATAACCATTTCTGTGGTGTTCTAAGGTGTGAGTGCATGGCAGTAGTATTCCTAAAAATCCATATTCAGTTTCCTCATGTGCCCTACTCCGTCCCTTTCTCTATCCACATTGCTTTAAATCATATTTTTCTCTCAAGGTGTACAAGGATGATAAATAGGTGCCAAGTGGAGAACCCAAGTGTGACGAGCCCTCTCACAGTAGAATGGAGTGAGAAGCTTTCTGACCTCATAAATTGAAGGCTATCGTAATTCATTCTTTTATATATTTTACTTGCATTAATCCTCATATAACCTCAAGAGGTAAATTAATATAATTATCCTCCATTATTGGAGAGAAAGTTGAGACACAAAAGAATCAAAAACTCTTCCAGGATCAACCAGTAAAAGGCAGACCTTGGATTTGAACCAGGCAACCTGGCTCAGAAGTCAGTTTTAATTACCACACTCTGTACTTTCAAAGATTTGTAAACGCTTTGACAATGCATGTCAATTTCAAGCTATGAAGAGCCAAACATAATTTTTCACAATATCTCTCAAATCTAATGGGTCCCCACTATAAAGATTAAATTCCAGGCTGATGACACTGTGAGGCCACATGGCCAGCTGTGCTGGAGGCCTGCTCAAGGCCAGAGCCTAGGTTTACAGAGAAGCAGACAAAAAGCTAAACAAGGAGACTTACTCTGTCTGCATGACTTATTCCCTCTACCTTGTTTTCTCCTAGTCTATCCTGAGGTGACTGTGTATCCTGCAAAGACCCAGCCCCTGCAGCACCACAACCTCCTGGTCTGCTCTGTGAATGGTTTCTATCCAGGCAGCATTGAAGTCAGGTGGTTCCGGAACGGCCAGGAAGAGAAGACTGGGGTGGTGTCCACAGGCCTGATCCAGAATGGAGACTGGACCTTCCAGACCCTGGTGATGCTGGAAACAGTTCCTCGGAGTGGAGAGGTTTACACCTGCCAAGTGGAGCACCCAAGCCTGACGAGCCCTCTCACAGTGGAATGGAGTGAGCAGCTTTCTGACTTCATAAATTTCTCACCCACCAAGACGCGAACTTTACTAATCCCTGAGTATCAGGCTTCTCCTATCCCACATCCTATTTTCATTTGCTCCACGTTCTCATCTCCATCAGCACAGGTCACTGGGGGGTAGCCCTGTAATACTTTCTAGAAACACCTGTACCCCCTGGGGAAGCAGTCATGCCTGCCAGGCAGGAGAGGCTGTCCCTCTTTTGAACCTCCCCATGATGTCACAAGTCGGGGTCACCTGCTGTCTGTGGGCTCCAGGCCCTGCCTCTGGGTCTGAGACTGAGTTTCTGGTACTGTTGCTCTGAGTCGTTTGTTGTAATCTGAGAAGAGGAGAAGTATAGGGACCTTCCTGACATGAGGGGAGTCCAATCTCAGCTCCGCCTTTTATTAGATCTGTCACTCTAGGCAACTACTTAACCTCATTGGGTCTCAGGCTTTCTGTTCATCAGATGTTGAAGTCCTGTCTTACATCAAGGCTGTAATATTTGAATGAGTTTGATGACTGAACCTTGTAACTGTTCAGTGTGATTTGAAAACCTTTCTCAAGAAATGGTCAGTTATTTTAGTTCTTGCAGAGCAGCCTTCTTTCTCATTTTCAAAGCTCTGAATCTCAAGGTGTCAATTAAAGAGGTTCCATTTGGGATAAAAATCACTAAACCTGGCTTCCTCTCTCAGGAGCACGGTCTGAATCTGCACAGAGCAAGATGCTGAGTGGAGTCGGGGGCTTCGTGCTGGGCCTGCTCTTCCTTGGGGCCGGGCTGTTCATCTACTTCAGGAATCAGAAAGGTGAGGAGCCTTTGGTAGCTGGCTGTCTCCATACGCTTTTCTGGAGGAGGAACTATGGCTTTGCTGAAGTTGGTTCTCAGCATATGAATGGCCCTGGATAAAGCCTCTCTACTCCCAAATGACCTCCAATGTTCTGCAAATCCAGAAATCATCAGTGCATGGTTGCTATGTCAAAGCATAATAGCTTGTGGCCTACAGAGATAACAGAAAGATTAACAGGTATAGGTGCTTTGGTTGAGATCGTGGAGCAAATTAAGGAAGAGCAACTAAAGCTAATACAATTACACTGGATCCTGTGACAGACACTTCACACTTCATGGGTCACATGGTCTGTTTCTGCTCCTCTCTGCCCTGGCTGGTGTGGGTTGTGGTGTCAGAGAACTCTCAGGTGGGAGATCTGGAGCTGGGACATTGTGTTGGAGGACAGATTTGCTTCCATATCCTTTAAGTGTATATCTTCTCTTTTTCCTAGGACACTCTGGACTTCAGCCAACAGGTAATACCTTTTCATCCTCTTTAAGAAACAGATTTGGAGGCCAGGCGCAGTGGCTCACGCCTGTAATCCCAGCACTTTGGGAGGCCGAGGCGGGCGAATCATGAGGTCAGGAGTTCGAGACCAGCCTGACCAACGTGGTGAAACCCCGTCTCTACTAAAAATACAAAAAAAAATCAGTCGGGCGTGGTGGTGTGCGCCTGTAATCCCAGCTACTCAGGAGGCCAAGGCAGGAGAATCGCTGGAACCCGGGAGGCAGAGGTTGCAGTGAGCCGAGATTGGGCCACTGCACTCCAGCCTAGGTGACAGAGTGAGACCCCATCTCAAAAAAACAAAAAAAAGAAAGAAAGAAACAGATTTCCTTTCCCTAGAATGATGGTAGAGGTAATAAGGCATGAGACAGAAGTAATAGCAAAGACATTGGATCCAAATTTCTGATCAGGCAATTTACACCAGAACTCCTCCTCTCCACTTAGAAAAGGCCTGTGCTCTGCAGGAGTATTGACTCATGGAGACTTCAGAACTTGTTTTTCTTCTTCCTGCAGTGCTCTCATCTGAGTCCTTGAAAGAGGGCAAAATAAACTGTTAGTAGAGCCAGGTCTGAAAACAACACTTTCTTGCGTCTCTGCAGGATTCCTGAGCTGAAGTGAAGATGACCACATTCAAGGAAGAACCTTCTGCCCCAGCTTTGCAGGATGAAACACTTCCCCGCTTGGCTCTCATTCTTCCACAAGAGAGACCTTTCTCCGGACCTGGTTGCTACTGGTTCAGCAGCTCTGCAGAAAATGTCCTCCCTTGTGGCTGCCTCAGCTCGTACCTTTGGCCTGAAGTCCCAGCATTAATGGCAGCCCCTCATCTTCCAAGTTTTGTGCTCCCCTTTACCTAATGCTTCCTGCCTCCCATGCATCTGTACTCCTGCTGTGCCACAAACACATTACATTATTAAATGTTTCTCAAACATGGAGTTAAAAATCGTCTGGTCATTTGGCCCCAAGGACAAAAAATAAAAAGAAAAGAAAAAGTGAAGATTATTTCCCGATAGAATAATGGTTTTCATGGATATGTCATAAGTATGTGAGATAGTGCATATGTTAAATAGGTTGATTTAGACATTTTACACTACAGGCATATATCAAAACTTCATGCTGTATGACATAAATGCACAATTTTTACTTGTCAATTTAAAAAGTAAACCTAACGTTTAAAAAGGTGATGCATAAAAACTGAGAACAGACTATAAGAACTGAAACAAACTTGGCAAACATGAGATGATAAACCAGCTAGCAAGTCAATCAGAACTCTTTCTCAACCCCGTCTACAATATTGTGTGTCTATAACTGTAAATTAGTATATAGTTTTTCATTCCAGAGATTTCAATTATATGGTATTATCAAAGGACTTGTACAGATTTCAGAGAAAGACAAATTTAGAAGATGGAGGGTTCTCCATTGTATTCTGAGAGTCAGTATCAAATATGTCAAATCTAAAAGTACATAATCAATTCAAATTTTATTTCAACATAATCATTTGAGCATAATTTTTCTACCGTCAGAGACAACTGTTATTTTATTTTCAATCAAATTCAGTGTATATTTTGTGCATATTTCATTTTTAGTTATATTACATGTTACTTGTACATACATACCAGGTGTGTAAAGGTACATATAAATTCTATAAGAATATAAAACCTATAAGAATATATTAAGCTGATAATTATGTCTGCTCTGTTTGATCCCAGAGTTGCAACAAATAAGACTTTGTTCCCTAAGTTGAGAAAATGATTTGTCTCATTCATATGAGACTTGTGGTGTGGAATTATAAGGTAGAACTAAAATGTGTGGGTTGAATATTATAATGAAGATGCCTTCTGCTGTGAACAGCAGGAAATCTGATCTAGTGGGGTGTATTTTTCTTTCACCCATTATCTCACATAGCCAATAGATCCAAGGCTGGGCATCTCCAGGTTTGCTCAACTCAGCAGGCCAGTGGCATCACCAGTGATCCTGGGACTTCATAGCTCATCTCTCTATCACACACAGCATGTCAGCTTTCCTGAGATGGTAGGAGGACCCCCGCAGCAGCTTTAGGTTTCTTATTCTTTCACAACAACTTCAAATGCAGGAAAAAGATACTACATTTTCCTGTGTGCGTTTATAAGCAGCAACTAAACTGTTTCCAGAGTTTTCCCAGTACCCACTTTCTCACATATTGGAATGAGTATATACACATATATATACACATATATATGTGTATATATATGTGTATATATGTGTATATATATAAAATGTGTATATATGTGTGTATATATATAAAATGTCAGCCATTAACTCAATTACAATAAAACAAAAAAGCAAGCAAAAACGATTGTTTTTAGAACTCAATTAAGCATGCTGACATGTTATTTTATGAGATAAATATATTTTCCAGGAAATTTTTGAAAAAAGGTAGAATAAAGAATGACTAGCTCTTTAAGGTCCCAAAACGTACTATACATTTATTTTTTAAAATGCATTTGTTACGGATTTTTTTTATTAAATACGCTAGTAAAACAGAGTATAGAATTAGAAACAGAAAGAGTTGAGATTTAGTTTCATTTTTTTGTAAGTTGCATTCCAAACTCATTTCTTTCATTAAATGGATCCTGGATAAATAAAAGTTGAAACATAAAGGGACAATATAAAATTAACAAGATAGATTTTTTTTTTATTTTTTGAGACGGAGTCTCACTCTATTGCCCAGACTGAAATACAGTGGCGCGATCCCGGATCCCCACAATCTCTGCTTCCTGGGTTCAAGCATTTCTCCTGCCTCAGCCTACAAAGTAGCAGGGACTATGGACGCCCGCCACCATGCCCGGCTAATTTTTATATTTTTTGTAGAGACGGGTTTTCACTATGTTGACCAGGCTGGTCTCCAAGTCCTGACCTCGTGATCTGACACCTCGCCCTCCGAAAGTGCTGGGACTACAAGCGTGAGCCTCCACATCCAGCTGACAGATGTTATTTCTATCATCATCATTATAAATATGTTTGAAGACAAACAGACTTTCTAAATCCTTATGTATTATTGGTGGGAATGTATGATTTTACAAATATCTGGAAATATGACAATTTCTTAAAAAGTTTAACATAAATTTGCCATATGACCCAGCAATTTCACTCCTTGGAATCTACCTGAGACATAAAAACATATGTCCTCACAAAGATATGTGTTCAAGGGTTCAGAACAGCCTTAGCCATAGCAGGCCCAAACTGAAAACAATACAAATATCCTTCAATTAGTAAATGGATTAACAAAATGATACTACATCCATGCAAGGCAATATCATTCAACAATAAAAGGGAACAAAAACAGACTTATCTGACAGGGGAGATACCATAAACATGAGGATAGTTTTCCCAAGGCAAGTTTCAACCCATGCACTCTGGATGATGAGACATTACTTAATGGGGACAATGCATGTGATTTGGGTGGTGGATACTGTAGAAACACTAACTTCACCACTATACGATCTATGCATGTAACAAAACTACACTTGGATCTTATACATTTATACAAATGAAAAAAGAGAAAATAAAAAGAAATGAAAAGAAACAAAATGATGATACATACTACAAACTGATGAGCTTCAATAATGTTAACTAAGTGATGGAAACTGGACACAAAAGATTACATGTCGTATGATTTCATTTACTTGAAATATCCAGAAGAGATAAATTATAGACACAAAAAGCATATCATTGGATGCCTAGGACTTGGGCTATTGGTGGGAATTAACTATAAATAGAGAAATTTTGAACGTGACAGAAATGTTATAAAACTGGATTGTTGTGATAATTGCACAAATCTATTAATTTACTAAAATCATTAAATTTTACATGTACAATAAGTGAATTTTGTAATATGTAAATTACGCTTTAGTAAAGCTGTTAAAATAATTCTTTTTTAAAAAATAAGACACTGTAAGCAAGACAAAATCCAGAAGACACAAGTGAAAAAAATTGAAGAAAATTATGGATTTCTTTGCATGAAGAAAATAACAAAATTAAAAGAAGTATATGAAGTTCAGGAAAAATTTTGATCACATAAGGCAGACGATGGGCTAAATTTCTTATGAAAAATTGTTAACTAATCAATAAATTAATGGAAATGCCACAGAACATTGGGCAAAGGATATAGACTGATTATATAAGAGAATATTTCAATAGTCAATATATATAAATATTAGCTCAAACTCACAAATGAACAAAAAAATTCAAATTCAAATAGCAATGTAATAAACTATCCTCCACAAAACTGGCAAACACAATAGTTTGCTTTAAAATCAAAGATTTAGAAGATTCTATGGGAATAGATTCTCTCATATTAGGATTGTGAGTGGATGGTAGTGTGATAGTATCTATTAAAACTCAAAATGCAATTGTTACATGCTTAATGAAACAACAAAAATCCCATTCTAAACATCCGTGTTAAAGAAACAATCCTGGCCAGGCGCAGTGGCTCACGCCTGTAATCAAAGCACTTTGGGAGGCCGAGGCGGGTGGATCATGAGGTCAGGAGTTTGAGACCAGCCTGGCCAACATGGAGAAACTTCATTTCTATTAAAAATACAAAAATTAGCCAGGCGTGGTGGCAGGCACCTGTAATCCCAACCACTGGGGAGGCTGAGGCAGGAGAATCACTTGAATCCAGGAGGCAGAGGTTGCAGTGAGCGTCTCTGCCTGGCCGCCCATCGGCTGGGATGTGAGGAGCCCCTCTGCCTGGCTGCCCAGTCTGGAAAGTGAGGAGCGTCTCTGCCCAGCCGCCATCCCATCTAGGAAGTGAGGAGCACCTCTTCCCGGCCGCCATCCCATCTAGGAAGTGAGGAGCGTCTCTGCCCGGCCGCCACCCCGTCTGGGATGTGAGGAGCGTCTCTGCCCTGCCGCCCCGTCTGAGAAGTGAGGAGCCCCTCCGCCCGGCACCCACCCCGTCTGGGAAGTGAGGAGCGTCTCCGCCCGGCAGCCACCCCCTCCGTCCGAGAGGTGAGGGGCGCCTCTGCCCGGCCGCCCCTACTGGGAAGTGAGGAGCCCCTCTGCCCGGCCAGCCGCCCCGTCCGGGAAGGAGGTGGGGGGCCAGCCCCCCGCCCGGCCAGCCGCTCCGTCCGGGAGGTGAGGGGCGCCTCTGCCCGGCCGCCCCTACTGGGAAGTGAGGAGCCCCTCTGCCCGGCCACCACCCCATCTGGGAGGTGTACCCAACAGCTCATTGAGAACGGGCCATGATGACAATGGCGGTTTTGTGGAATAGAAAGGGGGGAAAGGTGGGGAAAAGATTGAGAAATCGGATGGTTGCCCTGTCTGTGTAGAAAGTAGACATGGGAGACTTTTCATTTTGTTCTGTACTAAGGAAAATTATTCTGCCTTGGGATCCTGTTGATCTGTGACTTACCCCCAACCCTGTGCTCTCTGAAACATGTGCTGTGTCCACTCAGGGTTAAATGGATTAAGGGCTGTGCAAGATGTGCTTTGTTAAACAGATGCTTGAAGGCAGCATGCTCGTTAAGAGTCATCACCACTCCCTAATCTCAAGTACCCAGGGACACAAACACTGCGGAAGGCCGCAGGGTCCTCTGCCTAGGAAAACCAGAGACCTTTGTTCACTTGTTTATCTGCTGACCTTCCCGCCACTATTGTCCTATGACCCTGCCAAATCCCCCTCTTTTGAGAAACACCCAAGAATGATCAATTAAAAAAAAAAAAAAAAAGAAAGAAGGTTGACGTGATTAGGATTTTCGTCCCGGCAGGAGCTACAGTTTATAGTCCTATCACAAAGAGTATGGTTAGTACGCTGCTTAATAATATGATGAAATAGTAAAAGGATCCCATTAAAGGGGCAAGGAGAGGTGTTAAAAGTAAAGATTATGTAGGTTTTCACTTGTCTTTTTTAAGAAGGAAGGGTTTTTTTCTTCAGGATCAGTAGTAGGAGCTTTTTTAGTCTGGGATGTTTCCTTCCGAAATAGGAGATGCAAGTCCTCCACTCGTTCGCAGGTGTATCGAGGCTGGTCTGGCTGATCTTGGGACGGTCCCGCAGGTTCCTCAGGGCGTGTCCAAAATTTAACTCCGGTGTGGTGAATCCAAGATTCCACTCCCGCCACCTTAACTGCAGTGGGGGTAGAGAGGATTACCGAGAATGGTCATTTCCACAAAGAGTCCATAGATGGGGAGGTAGAGGGAAGAGATTTGACCAACACTAGATCTCCTGGTTGAAACAACTCTTGTTTCCTTTTCTCTGTGACATCCCTCAGGTAGGTTTTTAAGGTTTTGATGATATTTTGCCAAAGAAGTTATATCTTTGACCAAGTTGACCATTTCCTGATCAAGTAGGAGGTCATTTGTGAGAAAAGGTCATCCATACAGCATTTCGTATGGACTGAGCCCCATTTTGTGAGGAGAATTTTGGATTCTCAGCAAGGTCATGGGCAAAAGAGTAGGCCATGGGAGATGAGTTTCTTGTGTTAGTTTTCTTAAGTGCCTCTTAAGTGATTCATTTGCCTTCTCAACCTTCCCTGAGGATTGTGGCCTCCAGGCCCAGTGAAGGTGATATTGTATCCCTAGCGCCCTGGAAATTCCCTGAGTTATTGTGGTTTTTATTAAAAGCCGAACCATTGTTGCTCTGTAAGCTTTGGAGTTCCAGACCAGCCTGACCAACATGGAGAAACCGTCTCTACTAAAAATACAAAATTTGCTGGGCATGGTGGTGCATGCCTGTAATCCCAGCTACTCAGGAGGCAGAGGCAGGAGAATTGCTTGAACCCGGGAGGCAGAGGTTGTGGTGAGCCGAGATTGCACCATTGCACTCCAGCCTAAGCAACAAGAGTGAATCTCCATCTCAAAAAAAAAAAAAAAAATAGAGAAAACCAGTGAAAGAAAAATTTTCTTCTTTGAAAAGATTAATAGAACTCACAAATTTCTAGACAAAATAAAGGGAAAAAGGAGAAAAAACACCAATATTGGGATTGAAACATGTTATATCACTACAGATCCTTTGGCATCAATAGTATACCAGAGGAATACACCAAAAACACTTAGGTGAAATGGAAAAAAAATTCTTAAAAAGTACACACTTTTACAACTAAAAAATTTTCTTCTTTGAAAAGATTAATAGAACTCACAAATTTCTAGACAAAATAAAGGGAAAAAGGAGAAAAAACACCAATATTGGGATTGAAACATGTTATATCACTACAGATCCTTTGGCATCAATAGTATACCAGAGGAATACACCAAAAACACTTAGGTGAAATGGAAAAAAAAATTCTTAAAAAGTACACACTTTTACAACTAACTCAATATCAAATAGATAAATTGAAAAGCAGTGTAATTATGAAAGAAATTGAACTTATAATATAAAGACTGCTGAAAGAGAAACCTCTAGGCCAGAATAGTTTCACAGGAGAAATCTACCAAACATTTCAGTAGAATTAAGACAAGCCTGCAAAATTTCCTCCAGAAAACAGAAGAGAAGGGAACACATCCCAACTCACTTCATGAGGCCAGCATTTCCTAAAATCAAAAGGACACAAAAATAGAACAGCAAAAGAAAATTAAAAAGCAATATACTTGCTTGACTATAGATGCAAAACTCCCTAACAAAATAGTAGCAAATAAAAATCTGCCAAACTGAAAAAATATATAAACTATGCCAAGTAGCATTTACTCTAGGGATGCAAGTCTGGTTTAATGTTTGAAATCAGTGTCATCCATCTTATTAACAAGCTAAAGAAGAAACATTGAATGATTCTATCAATTGATGTAGAAACGACCTTCAACATAATTCAATGTTCATTTATGGTAAAAAACAAAACAAAACAAAACAAAAAAGCCTCTGAATAGTAGGAATAGAGGAGGCCCTACTCAACTTGATAAATAACTTCTACAAAAATGTTGCGGCTAAATTATACTTAAGGGTGGAAGACTGAAAGTTTTTCCTCTTCTGCTTCAGCTAATGATGAAATTCACAAAGGTCACAGAATTCAAGATCAACCAAAAAATCAATTTTATTGGAATATACAGTAATAAACAAATCAAAACAAATATTAAAAATACAACATGAATTAGCTTCACTCAAAAAACCTCATAAGTATGCCAACAGAACATGTACACAGTCGATATGCTGAAATGCTGATAAAGAAATTAAAAAATCTAAAGAAATTGAGAGATTTACTGTGTTCATCAACTAGAAAACTAAATATAAGAAAGATGTCAATTCTACCCAATTTGATATTCAGGTTTAACACAATTTCTCTCTAAATTCCAGCAAGATTTGTAATAGTTGTAGACAAAGTTGTTCTAAAATGTTTATGGAGAAGCAAGGGAACTAGTATAGGTCAAACGAATTTCATAGGGAAAAAGAGATGGAGAATTAACTGTAACCAAATTTCAGAATTTTTATAACTATAATAATATTGATTGACATTAGTACAGGGATAGACATAGATTGGTGGAGCAGTATGGAGAATCCAGAAAAACACTTATGCCAACTCATTTCGATGAAGATGCAAAATAATTCAATGGAGATAATATAGTCTATAGTCTTTTCAAACAATAGTCTAGGAGAAAGTGGAAATCCATAGACAAAAACAAAACCAAACAAAACCAAACAAAAACAAAAAAGAACTCAAAGGAAAAAGAAGCAAGAAACAAACTTAACAAATTCTCACACCTTATGAAAACATTTTCCCCAATTAAATCATGTTTACATGTAAAACTTTTCGAAGAAAACATGAGAAAATCATCAGGAGCTAGGGCCGGGGGTCTGAGTTCTGAGTTCTTAGACATGACACCAAAAGTGCTATGTGTAAAAAACAAAAAACAAACAAATAAACAAACAAAATCAATAAATTGGGCTTTATCAAAATTGAAAACTTTTGTTCTGTAAGGTGTCCTGCTAAGAAATGAAAAGCAAGCTAGAGTTATGGAGAAAATATTTAAAACCACATACATTACCAAGAATACAGTATCTAGAACATACGATCAACTATAAAAGCTCTAATATAAAATCTATAGTAGAATGCAAACTATAAAATTTAATTTCAAAATGGGCAAAAGATATGAAGAGACATTTTATCAAAGAGGATATATATACATGGCAAATAAGCACAATGAATGACATGCAAATCACTAGCCATCAGGGAAATGCAAATTAAGGACTTAATGTAATAGTGCTACACACTTCTTACTACAGCTAAAATTTTAAAACAACTGACAATGGTAAATGCTGGTGAGAATGCAGAAAAACTGGATTTCTCATACACTGATGGTGAGAATGTAAAATGGTACAGTCCTTCTAAAAATAGTGAGTCAATGTCTTGAAGAACTAGACATATATTTGCCATATGAGTCAGGAATTACATTCTGACACATTTATATCAGAGAAACAAAAACACATGTTCACACAAAAATCTTACACAAATGTTCATAACAGCTTTATTTGTAATAGCCCCACAACTAGAAACAGCCAAAATATCCCTCAACAGGCAAAGAGTTAAACTGCAGTGCCTTCCTCTGATGGAGTATTCCTTAGCAATAAAAAAGAGCAAATTGTTAATACATGTAACAACTTGGATGAATCTCAAGGACATTACGCCGAGGGGAAAATGCCCGTCACAAAAGTCACATACTGTGTGATTCTATTTACGTAACATTTTCAAAAGGACACTATTATAGAGATTGGTGGAGAAGAGATTAGTGGTTTTTAGTTGTCAGGGTGATGGTGTGTAGGGAGTAGGGTGTGACTCTGAAGGGCAGCATGAGGGGAGATCTCTGTGGGATGGAATAGCTCTAGATTGCATGGTGGTTACATAAATCTGCAAATATGATAAGACACAGGCATAGAACTATGGACACATATTCTACCAAAGTCCTGGTTTTGCTACTGTGCTAGAGCTACTTAAGATATAAACATTTGGAAAAACTGGGTGAAAGGGCACACGTGTCATCTGTACCATCTTTGCAATTTCCTGTGACTCTATAATGATTTCCAAGTAAAAAGTTTTTAAAAAGCATTTTTCTTTTTGGCTGAAATCCAAAACTCTCACAAAACCGAATGCTGGCAAGGATGTAGAACAACAGGGACTCAGATTCATTGATGGTGGGAATGCAAAACAGTACAGCCACTTTGGAAGACACTCTGGCTGTTTCTTACAAAGCTAAACATACTCTTACCATATAATCCAGCAATGGCACCTCTGAGTATTTACTCAAATGACTGAAAAACTTATGTCCACACAAATACCTGTACATGGATGTTTATGGCAGTTTTATTCATAATTGCCAAAAATTGGAAGCCCCCAAGATGTCCTCAACAGGTGAGTGGATAAAGAAATTGTGATATATCCATACCGTGGAGTATTATTCAACAGTAAAGAGAAATAAGCTATCAAGTTATGAAAACACATGGAGGAAACCTATAGGGATATTGCTAAGTGGAAGGAGCCAGCCTGAAAAAGCTCTATACTGTATAATTACAACTATATGACACTGTGGAAAAGGCAAAAATACAGACAGTAAATAGTCCAGGGGTTCAGGAGGAGGAGGGATGGGTGAGTAGATTGAGCCTCAGGCATAGTTAGGGAAACTACTTTGTATGATGCTTTTGTTGCTGAAACACCGTGGGTTTGTCTAGCTCCTGCCCTGGCCACACACAAAGCCAATCACTGAGATGACAAGTATTGCCAAGGAAGAAGGCTTTAATCTTTAATCAGACACTGCAGCTGAGTAGATGGGATATCAGTCTCTCCCTGACTGACTAAAATTAGGGGTTTATGTGCAAAGAAAGAAGGAATGTTACTATGTATGGGAAAACAAGAACTCCAGACAATAAGGAAGCAATCATAATGAATGATGGGGACTGGCATCTCATGATCTGGATGTGATGATCTGGTGAGTTCCAGTTATTTGATAATTGTTGAGAGACCTGAGCATCCTTTCTTGAGAAAGGAATTCAGACAAAACAATGTAAATTTCAAGCTTTAAGAGCAGAGGGGTCAATTTCTACGTTTATCCAAATAACTATCTTATGGGACTATTGGGTTGGTTTCACACTGATGGTAGATACATGACATTGTGTATCTCCAGAACCCATAGAACTGTGTAATAGAGTGAACCCCAATATAAGTATGAACCTCAGTTAACAATAAGTATCAGTATTGGTTCATTAATTGTAACAAGCATGCCACACTAATGCAGGATGTTAATAATAGGAGAAACTGAACAGAGGGCTGTTTTAGGGAAGGAGGTATGGGGAACTCCCTAAATTTTCTCTGAAAATTTTTTATACCTTAAAACTGCTTTAAAAATGGTCTTGTTACATGGGAGGATATGGATTTAGTTTTGCTTTTCATTCTATGCTTGTCTGAGTTTGAGTTTATTCTCTATTGTTCATCTATTTATTTTATATTAAAATTGTAGATGTTAACAAACATCCTATTTGCAACATTCTCAACAGTCTGCTTTCTCTAAACCATAGGTAAAGAAACTTGTTATTTATTAGTAAGTCTTACTAGGTTATGGCACCTTGTTTTGTGCTTGTTTTATTTTGCTTTTCTTAGATTTTCATCACCGGGCTGTAGAAATTTTGAGGGAAACAATTCCACAACCAATCGAGGCCGAAATGAAGTTACAATGCTACACTCCTATGCAAAAATCTGATTGGTTGCAAAAAACAACAAATCAGAGGTACTTTCAATTTCCCATCTGCCTTGCAGAAAAGGTAGGGGTTTGCAAAGGGAGTAGTCTCTGGTCCTTTTGTTGCTTAGGCATAGAAAGCTAGGGTTTTCCTTTCAATTTAGTTCTATTCAGAAGTCAGCATGAATAGAGGCCTTAGGTTCCCTGCCTCCAGACCCTATTCTCCTGCCTCATCTGGAAGACACTCTGGCTGTTTCTTTCAAAGCTAAACATACTCTGTTATAAGATTCAGCAATTGCAATCCAAAGTATTTACTCAAATGAATGGAAAACTTCGGTCCATACAAACAGGTGTACACAAATGTTTATAGCAGCTTTATTCATAATTGCCAAAAATCCAAAGCAACCAAGATGTGCTCCAGTAGGTGAATGGATAAACAAATTGTGGTATATCCATACCATGGGTTATTATTCAACATTAAAGAGAAATAAGCTATCAAGCTATGAACAGACATGGAGAAAACCTATATGCATACTGTTAAGTGAAAGAAGCCAGTCTGAAAAAACTATATACCATATGATTACAACTATATAACATTCTAGAAAAGGCAAAAATACAGACAGTAAATAATGGTTTCCAGGAGTTCAGGAGGAGGAAGAATGGATGAGTAGGTGGAGCCTGGGGCAATTTTAGGTCAGTGAAACTACTTCATAGGTTACTCTTTTTACTGAGACACCAGGAGTTCAGTCTAGGTCTTGCACACGAGGGCTTCAGCCTGGGTCTTGCTGCTTGCCACACAGAAAGCCAATCTCTGAGATCACAATGAGTATTGCCAAAGAAGGTTTTAATCTTTAATCAGGTGCTGCAGCTTAGGAGATAGGAGACCAGCGTCAAAGCCATTTCTGTGACTGAATAAAATTAGGGGTTTATACAGCAGGGAGGAAATGTAACTATGTATGGAAAAACAGGAACCAGGGAGGGGTAAGGGAACAATCATGATGAATGAGGAACCTGGAGTCTCATTGTCTGGATGAGATGATCTGGTGAGTTCCAGTTCTTGGATTATTTTTGAGAGGCTTGGGGGATCTTTTTTTTTGGAAAGGAACTCAGATAAAACAAATACAAGTTTCAAGCTTTAAGACGATAGGCTGGGTGCAGTGGCTCATGCCTGTAATCCCAGCACTTTGGGAGGCTGAGGCGGGCAGATCACGAGGTCAGGAGATGGAGACCATCCTGGCTAACACAGTGAAACCCCGTCTCTACTAAAAATACAAAAAAAATAGCCTGGCATGGAGGCGGGCGCCTGTAGTCCCAGCTACTTGGGAGGCCAAGGCAGGAGAATGGCGTGAACCCAGGAGGCAGAGCTTGCAGTGAGCTGAGATTGCGCCACTGCACTCCAGCCTGGGCAACAGAGTGAGAAGCCATCTCAAAACAAAACAAAACAAAACAAAACAAACAGAAAAGACAATAAGTGTCCATTTCTATGTTTATTTTAAAAATTGTCTATGGGACTCTTGGGTCAGTTTCACTTTAATGGTGGACATATGACATTATGTATTTATCAGAACCCATAGAACTATATAATAAGAATTAACCCTAATTTAACTATGGACCTCAGTTAACAATAAGTACCAGTATTGGTTCATCAGTTGTAACAAGTGTACCACACTCAAATAGGATGTTAATAATAGGAGAAAATGAGCAGAGGGCTGTTTTAGGGAGGAGGGGATATGGGAACTCCCTGAAATTCCTCTGCAATTTTTGTGTACACTTAAATCTACTTTAAAAAAAGGTCTTGTTACATGAAATGATATGGATTTATTTTTGCTTTTTCATTCCATATTTTTCTACATTTGACTGCATTTTCTACTGCTCATCTACTTACTTTATATTAAAATTGTAGATATGTTACAAAACATTCATGCCTATTCTATCCATAATATTTTCAAAATTCTGCTTGGATTCTCTAAACCATAGATAGAGAAACTTGTTATTTGTTGGTAAGTCTTACAAGGTCATGCTGTCTTTATGTGTGCTTGTTTTATTTTTTATAATTATGTCATAGACATTTTGAGGAATAGAATGGAAAGTATAGTTTTTGCAGTATGTTATTATCACCAAACATGTTACCTAATTACTTTGCTTACTTTTTCCCTTTAATTCTGATAATAATTCAATGTAGTAAAAATTCACATCAGTATTTCTATGAGGAATCCAAGGCTAAGGTAAGTAAGATACCAGTGAAAACATAGCTAGTAAATGATACAGCCCAGATGAAATCCAAATCTAACTCAATATTTACTTGCAGTCTATCACACTGTTATGGATAATTCATCTTTATGGTTTGTGGTAGGTTCTAATAACAGTTTTAGAAATAAGTATCATCATACTTTTACAGATAAATGAGCAATAGCTCACTGTGTTTCTAATATTCTCTTCTCATCTTAATGCTGTATCCTGCCCCTGTTCCCATTACTCAGTTTTTCTACTTAAATATACATGTCCAAATATATGATGGTTTCAGTAACAAGTCAGACTGTTTTCCTGGTAATAAAACAGGCATCCAAGGCTTTTCCTTTTCCTTTTCTTTTCTTTCTTTCTTTATTTTTTTCAGACAGTGTCTTGCTCTGTCACCAGACTGGAGTGCAGTGGTGCGATCTCGGCTCACGGCAATCCTCCTCCTGGGTTCAAGTGATTCTCTTGCCTCAGCCTCCCGACTAGCTGAAACTAAAGGCACACACCACCATGCCCAGCTAATTTTTGTATGTTTAGTTGAGACGGGTTTTCACCATGTTGGCCAGTATGGTCTCTATCTCTTGACCTTGTGATCTGCCCACCTCAGCCTCTCAAAGTGCTGGGATTACAGACTTATGGTTGGTAAAAATTGACCTGGCCAGGCTCGGTGGCTCACGTCTGTATTCATAGCAGTGAGCCAAGGTCAAGCCACTGCACTCCAGCCTGATGACAGAGCGAGACACTGTCTGAAAAAAAAGAAAGAAAGGGAAAAAAAATAAAGGAAAAAAAGAACAGGCAATGTCAATCTTCAGTGTCTGATCTCATTCCTCACTAAGTCTGGAGTGAGCAATGATGATATGTAAATCTTGTCATATTTGTGGGTCCTCTTCTCATTCTACTCCCCAGTCTACCCCTTATTTCTCCTCTCCGTCTCACCCATTCTCAGAGGCCAAACCCTGGGGTTTCAGATTCACTCTACTGAAGATACAGATATGTTGTTGACTTGTAGACTCAAGAACCAAAAACCTATTCTGAACCCATTGCCCAGTAGATGTCTCCCAACAGAAAAAACCATGCTTTATGGTTTTCCTACTGAAGACTAGACGACAGCAATAGAATTGCCTGCACATGCTCAGAAAGAAACCAAGCCCAGTGAGCCTGGATATTTCTGATTAATTCCGTTACTAAAAAGTGCACGAATCCCCCATTCTTGTCTCACTTAGAAGAAAAATATCAGCCAAGGATGCATAGGAAGGGTTGAGTAGCAGAGTTTGTTGAAGGAAGATAAAGTACATTCCTAGAGAGAAGTAGAAAACCGTTCTGGGCTGTTCCAACTGGAAAAATAGTGGTAGCAGTGTTTATTTAGAGACAGTATGCTCTGAAAGAGGAGACAGACTGGGGTGTTCAAAAGAAGGAGCCAGCAGCAGCCAGTGCTGAAGGACTCTCTTTATGAGAATCTTACATGACTATTCAGGAAGGGGCCTGAGGGGGTGTCTCTTGCAAGCATGTTTCAGGAGGACTGTTTGGGTGCGCATGCTCTGTCTTGTACTTGCTACTACACATGTTGCATGTCTCAGTATTTAAAATCTCCACCCAGAGCTGTGTTTTTCACTACCATAATGAGCAAAAAGCTATTCTAGGGCAAGTTATTGGAGGAGTGCACAATTTCGTCAGTGGAGGAAGTCCCTGCCATGGCTGTTTCTGGCTAGGACCTGATACGTCCCCTCCAGGGCCGGAGGAGCCCAACCACAAGGCCAGATGTAGCCATTGTAGCCATTGTCCTTTTTGCTATTAGTGCGCAGTGCTGATTATTAGTGGTCAGTGACTCCAAGACTTCTTTTCCCAGGGGCTCCCTTGCCTGCTCATTTCTGGCTCTCTGCCTACTCTAACAATTCCAGAGCTTATATGATACATTCGACATTCAGACTATTCAGGATGCAGGGATCACATAAATCCTCTAGCTCCCCTCACTGCAAATCAGAAAATTCACCCAAGAACCATCAGAATAGTATAGTATATTCAGAAAAATCACTATTTGAAGAAACTTGAAGCAGTAAGTACATGGAAAAGGTCCCCACAGAATGTTTAGAAAATTCCATAGTACAGAAAGAATCCTATGCAGTATATTCCAGAAGCATTGCATAGTGATAATAAAAGGATTGGAACAAGTTTTGAAAGTGCTCCCTTTAACCCTATTTCAGTATGCTATTGATAAAGAATTACTTTTCTTTGCCACCTGTAATAGTCTGTTTTTACATTGCCATAAGAAAATACATGAGACTGGGAAATTTATAAAGGAAAAAAGGTTTAATTGACTCACAGTTCTGCGTGGCTGGGAAGGCCTCAGGAAACTTACAATCATGGCAGAAGGGGAAGAGGCCCATCTTACATGGCAGTAGGCGAGAGAGTATGGACCCCATAGGAGGAACTGTCAAACACATAAAACCATCACATCTCATGAGAACTCACTCACTATTACAAAACAGCATGGGGGAAACCGCACCCATGATCCAGTAATCTCCCACCAGGTCCCACCCTGGACATGTGGAGATTATGGGGATTATAATTCCAGATGAGATTTGGGTGGGGAAACAGAGCCAGCCTAACCATATAACTGATACGGGATCACTGGGTTTCACTTTTCTTGCCAGAATCTTGTGGCTGGTAATGCCTTTGCCTGAGTTTTGCTCAGGCTAGCTGGGCTCATTCCACCCACTTTGGCTGGCAGGCTCTGCTCTGCTCACACTACCAGCCTGGATTCCACACCTGCCAAGTGTGATTCACATAGTGAGGGATGTGTGAGCAAGTGAGCAGGGGTCCAGCCACTGTGCACAGCCAGGCATATTGGCTGTATAGGGCAGGCAGCTCTGGGAGACGGCATGGGTGCCAGCTCCCTGTGAGGCTGCAGCTGGAACCAGGCGCACTGCAAGCAACTTCCACAGCCGGCACTGGGGAAAGTGGTGGCACCTGGAAGCTTGGAGACCCCGGGAACCACAGGCCCCAAAAAGGTGGTCACATCCCTGGCTCTGAGCTCCAAGATTTGGGCTCTCTGAAGAGACACGTCTTGCCCACGACATGGCAAGCAAGGGGCATTTTCAGCCCTCTTTGTGTTTGAGGTTTCTGCCTTACCATTTGGCAGATCCATGGTTCTTGTCCTGTGTCCAGGAAGAATGAGGTATGCAGACAAGTGGAGGATGAGCAGGATAAAGAGGAGCTTTATTAAGCAATAGGACAGCTCAGAGACCCTCAGTGGGCAGCTCCTCTCCATAGCCAGGTTGTCCAGACACCTGTTCAGCTCTCAGCAGAAAGGGTAGCTTCTCTCTGCAGCTGATCATCCTGTCCTTTCCTCAGTTCTCAGCAGACAGGAGACCCTGGTGAGGGCAGCTCCACTCTACCGCTGAGAGGAGACCCTGGGGAGGGCAACTCCTCTCTGCAGCAGGTCATCCCTAATCTCCCTGTCCTCTCTCTCCACTCTCTCCATCTTCTGCTCACGTCTGCCTGAGCCCAGGGCTTTTACGGGCCTCAGAGGGGAGGAAGTGCACATCATGGACGGCTATGGGGCAGGCCCAGATAAGGCACAAGTTCCCACTCCTGTCAGCAGGACTGGCAGCCCAGCCCACAGCCTTCAGGCCCTCCCTGGTGCCCAGGCTGCTCATGGCAAGGGGCACCTGTAGGCCAGTGCCAGTTACCCTCAACCCATCTCCCCTCAGCTTCCCCATGGCTGAGATGGCAGGAGGCTGGTGTGTCAATGTTGCCCTGAGCATGCACACACCCCGCCAGGCTGTGACAGTACCGGGGCTTAGCCCCAACTCCACTCTTACATCAGAGTGCATGCCTGGGAGACCAGAGAGGCCAGGCAGTGGGAGTAGACACCCCCAAGCCTGCAGGGACGGGGCGTCTTCTCAGCCTTGAGTGCACAGAGTGCAGAGAGGCCTGGATCCTGCTGTGGGGAGGGTGGGGCTTTCACCCACTCCGTGGAGCCTACAGGTAGCCCCTGTCACACCTTTTCACAGTGTGGGGTGGGCAGCTCCCCTTGCTGGGCTTAGTTGGGCATCTGGGGCAAGGGTAATGTCTTTGCAAGTTCTTCCTATAGCACTCAGGGGTGCCTGGGGCTCCCCCTTGCCTGTATGGAGCAGGGGAGGCCTGGGTGGGTGTCATCATGAACCTTAGCTGGCTTTCTTAGATTACCATCCTCACAATTAGTTTCTTTATTTTTTCACAATTTCTTTTCTTTTCTTTTCTTTTTTCTTTTCTTTTCTTTCCTTTCTTTTCTTTCTTCTTTCTTTCTTTCTTTCTTTCTTTCTTTCTTTCTTTCTTTCTTTCTTTCTCTTTCTTTCTTTCCTTCTTTTTTTTTTTTTGACAGGCTCTCCCTCTGTTTCCCAGGCTGGAATGCAGTGGCATGATCTTGGGTCACTGCAGCCTGGACCTTCCAGGTTCAAGCAATCCTCCCACCTCCTGAGTAGCTGGGACCAAATTAGTTTCTAAGTAAATTATCATTTTCTGTTGACCAAGTTAAATTGATGTTCTGGTTGCAATTGCACAACTTCCAATAGTATTGAATTATTATTGGGACGTTCCTTTGGAAATTGATAAAGATAAACTGGTCAGTTCCTTTGGAAACTGATAAAGACAGCATGACAGTTCCAACAAACTGGAGACATGTAATTACCCAAAAATCTTAGGGGCCTAGCTTTATGTATGTACAAGCCCATACTACCAAGTACCAGAAGAGTCTATAACCAAAAATTGCTATGTCTATTAACAAGTCTTTCTTACCAAAATACACTAATTTGTATTGCACTGGGCTGAGTGTACTGGTATCATATGGATTATTTTTTAATAATCCTTTAGTTTATTCTCAAATCCAGGGACAATAGTGATTTTACCCAAGAGATTTTGAACTTTGTGTATTAATAGAAGTGTGTTTTTCCAAAGTAAATGAGGCATTTTTTTCTTCTATTTTATGATGATCAAATTTACTACTTTATGATGAGAAATCTAAAGTAGTAAGAAATCTAAAGTAGGACTTAGTTTATTCTCAAATCCAGGGAAAATAGTGATTTTACCCAAGAGATTTTGAACTTTGTATATTAATAGAAGTGTGTTTTTCCAAAGTAAATGAGGCATTTTTTTCTTCTACTTTATGATGATCAAATTTACTACTTTATGATGAGAAATCTAAATAATAATTCTGAGAAATAGTTTCTATTTGGGAATTTTGAGGTCACTGTTACCTTTAATAAGGAGACTTTTCAGAAGCTATGGGTGTCATCACATAAGATAAATGCAAATGTTGCCATTTCAAGAGGAGGGTAAGGATGATGATGAGAGGAATCCTTTTAAAGAAATAGAATTGCTACACAGTATCTTCCTCCAATTGTATAATGCTGCCGTTCATTAAAAGAAGTAGTCTTATTGCTATGCACATCCATAAATTAAAGGGATGCAAATAATTTTAATACAAGGGACATTGTTCTCAGAAATAGAATGTGAAGGAGTATGATATAGTGGCTGAGCTTGAGGGGGAAATGTAGGGGTTCAGTCAGGACAGTGTGAAAAATTGTAAAATAAACACAAACCTTCTTGGAAACCCGGAAGGTTTTTGCAAAAGCCTCAGGTTAGAGTTACAGCTGAAGGCAGCCTAATCCTTTTTGAGCTATAGCAAGGGTAATTAACATAGTAATATAGGGGAGTCTATCTAAATAGCTTGTTTACTTATGTGGCCCTAAGACTAACCTTTGACCATCCAAGGTTGCATGATTGCTCTCTACTTGGGGTCAGCACCTGTAATTACCTAGCAGTGGTGTTTACTTTAGACTATTGTCATTTAATGTGTGCTGAATAAATGCCTGGAGGGCCAGTGAGTTGGGGCCACGGTTGCAACTCTTCACAGCACTCTCCTGGGAGTCTGTAAGCGGCCCGGACTCTCAGCCAGACTGACAAGCATAATATCTATGTCAGTGTACATTATTCACCCATTGTTGGGTCAGGTTCTGTGGGACAGACCTCTGCAGGTATATAATTTGGTTCAACCTATAGTGTACCATTTACTAGCTTTATATCTTTGCAAAAGTTGTTTTATCTCCATCATTTTACTCTTTCCACCTGTAAGCATGAAAAGGGTGTTTATTTTACTGAGCTGATGTGGGAATTAAAAAAAATATGAAGTATAGAAATCCCTTAGTACAATTCTGAGAACAAAGTAAAATGCTCATTTTCATTGTAGCATTTAAATGCAGAAATTTATATGTATAGTTGCACTTTGAGGTCCATTCTGAATCTTAGATGTCACATTTATATTAATATAAGGGATAATAATTATCTAAATGTAGAATTATATGTTTAAAATTACATGATTACATCAACTGATGTAATTCATAGTTTTTCCCTAGGGCTCTCTTTCCTGAACATTCTGTAACGTATTAGCACAGTCTTCTTATATCTTCCCTTATGATAAAACAAAAGAACATAATAGTAACGGGCCATAGCCTCAATCAAATGAGAAAATCACAGTGGGAACCAGGAATGAGGGATTGAACACTCTTCACATAAAATATTAATTATTTTAAAACAGAGTTGTTCTGTCAACAGCTAACTTTGAGTCCTTGATCGATCTCTCGAACCCCTAAATTCTTTGATTGCACAGTTGACCTTGTCACATTGTTAGAGTAAGTGCTATACAAAGGCACCTTCAGAACCTCCATTGCACACAGGTGGCCCCTGCAAGCCCCTTGCCTGTGTATGTTCTGGAGGTGCCATTAAACTTGGGGGCAGCATCAGGAGACACGCTTGAAAAAACTTTTTTTTTTTTTTTCCATGATGGAGTCTCGCTCTGTTGCCCAGGCTAGAGTGCGGTGGTGTGATCTTGGCTCACTGCAATCTCCACCTCCCAGATTCAAGTGATTCCCCTGCCTCAGCCTCCCGAGTAGCTGGGACTACAGGTGCCTGCCACCATGCCAGGCTAATTTTTTGTATTTTTAGTAGAGGTGGGGTTTTACTGTGTTAGCCAGGAAGGTCTCAATATCCTGACCTTGTGATCCGCTCGCCTTGTCCTCCCAAAGTGCTTTGATTACAGGCATGAGCCACCTCACCCTGCTGAAAAATGTTTTTACTCAGATTAAATTATTCACAAACTTTCAGTTTACTTTAACTTATTGAAGGCATCCCTACCTGTAAATAGGTAGAGATTAAACTCTCTAGTCAACAGCTGTCATTCTGTCATATCATCAGATACCCGGGGCTGCTGCTCCTTGAGGCGTCCAGAGAATCACAGCATTTTCCAGTATTGAAAGACCTGAAAGAACATAGTGTCTTTATTTCAACTGTGAAACATGAAATAATTTTCTGAAATCTACAACATTAACATATGGTACAATAAGGATCAGATTAAAGTCTCCAAATTTGCAACCATGTTCCCTCCATCTCCTTTATTCCTAAACACACTCACACACTCACTCCTGCAAACAGTTGTCTTGTCAAGTGAGAAATGAATGCTCTTACAAGGCTCAAACTTGTGAACACATTACTGACCAGCACAGAGCCGGCTAACAATAGGGGCTCAATTAAAGTATCTTACTTGTAAGTGGATCAAACCAATGAAGTATTAAATTAAAACAATCCTTAGGAAGAGCTCCGGTCTGTAGCTCCCAGCAAGATTGACGCAGAAGATGGGTGATTTCTGCATTTCCAACTGTGGTAACTGGTTCATCTCACTGGGACTGGTTGGACATTGGGTGCAGCCCATGGAGGGCGAGCTGAAGCAGGGCGGGGCATCGCCTTAACCAGGGAGCGCAAGGGCTCGGGGGATTTCTCTTTCCTAGCCAAGGGAAGCCATGACAGAAGACGTGTACTGTACCTGGAGAAATGGTACACTCCTGACCAAATACTGTGCTTTCCCCATGGTCTTAGCAACCAGCAGACAAGGAGATACCCTCCTTTGTCTGACTCGGTGGGTCCCATGCCAATGGAGCCTTGTTCACTGCTAGTGCAGCAGTCTGAGATCAACCTGTGATGCTGCAGCTTGACAGGGCACAGCGGGGGGCGGGGGGGGGCAGAGGGAGGGGCATCCACCATTGTTGAAGCTTGAGTAGCTTACAGTAAGCAAAGCAGCCAAGAAGCACAAACTGGGCAGAACCCACCGCAGCTCAGCAAGGCCTACTGCCTCTACAAATTCCACCTCTGGGGGCAGGGCATAGCTGAACAACAGGCAGCAGGCAGCTTCTACAAACTTAAACCTCCCTGTCTGACAGCTCTGAAGAGAGCAGTGGTTCTCTCAGCATGGCGTTCCAGCTCCAAGAACGGACAGATTGCCTCCTCAAGCAGGTCCCTAACCCCCATGTAGCCTGTCTGGGAAACACCTCCCAGTAGGGGTCAACAGACACCTCAAACAGGTGGGTGCCCCTCTGGGACAAAGCTTCCAGAGGAAGGATCAGGCAGCAATATTTGCTGTTCTGCAGCCTCCGCTGGTGATACCCAGGCAAACAGGATCTGGAGTGGACCTCCAGCAAATGCCAACAGACCTGCAGCTGAGGGTTCTTTCTGTTAGAAGGAAAACTAACAAACAGAAAGGAATAGCATCAACATCAACAAAAGGGACATCCACACCAAAACCCATCTGTAGGTCACCAACATCAAGGACCAAAGGTAGATAAAACTACAAAAATGGGGAGAAACCAGAACAGAAAAGCTGAAAATTCCAAAAAACAGAGCACCTCTTCTCCTTCAAAGGATCAGAGCTCCTTGCCAGCAAGGGAACAAAACTGGATGGAGAATGAGTTTGACGAGTAAACAGAAGTAGGCTTCAAAAGGTTGGTAATAACAAACTTCTCCGAGCTAAAGGAGCATGTTCTAACCCATCACAAGGAAGCTAAAAACCTTGAAAAAAGGTTAGATGCATGGCTAACTGAATAAACAGTGTAGAGAAGACCTTAAATGACCTGATGGAGCTGAAAACTATGGCACAAGAACTTCGTAATGCATGCGCAAGCTTCAACAGCCGATTCAATCAAGTGGAAGAAAGGATATCAGTGATTGAAGATCAAATTAATGAAATAAAGCAAGAAGACAAGATTAGAGAAAAAAAGAGCAAAAACAAATGAACAAAGCCTCCAAGAAATATGGGACTATGTGAAAAGACTAAATATATGTTTGATTGGTATACCGGAAAGTGATGGGGAGAATGGAACCAAGATAGAAAACACTGTTCAGAATATTATTCAGGAGAACTTCCCTAACTTAGAAAGGCAAGCCAACATTCAAATTCAGGAAATACAGAGAACACCACAAAGATACTCCTCAAGAAGAGCAACCCCAAGATGCATAATTGTCAGATTCACCAAGGTTGAAATGAAGGAAAAAATGTTAAGAGCAGCAAGACAGAAAGCTCGGGTTACCCACAAAGGGAACCCCATCAGACTAACAGCAGATCTCTTGGCAGAAACCCTACAAGCCAGAAGAGAGTGGGGGCCAATATTCAACATTCTTAAAGAAAAGAATTTTCAACCCAGAATCTCATATCCAGCCAAACTAAGCTTCATAAGTGAAGGAAGAATCAATATCTTGAAAATGGCCATACTTCCCAAGGTAATTTATAGATTCAATGCCATCCCCATCAAGTACCAATGACTTTATTCATAGAATTGGAAAAAACTACTTTAAAGTTCATATGGAACAAAAAAGAGCCTGCATAGCCAAGACAATCCTAAGCAAAAAGAACAAAGCTGGAGGTATCATGCTACCTGACTTCAAACTATACTACAAGGCTACAGTAACCAGAAGAGCATAGTACTGGTACCAAAACAGAGATATAAACAAATGGAACAGAACAGAGTCCTCAGAAATAACACCACACATCTATGACCATCTGATCTTTGACAAATGTGACAAAAACAAGAAATGGGGAAAGGATTCCCTATTTAATAAATGGTGCTTGGAAAACTGGCTAGCCATATGTAGAAAGCTGAAATGATCTGTTCCTTACACCGTATACAAAAATTAACTCAAGATGGATTAAAGACTTAAATGTAAGACCTAGCACCATAAAAACCCTAGAAGAAAACCTAGGCAATACCATTCAGGACATAGGCATGGGCAAGGACTTCATGACTAAAACACCAAAAGCAATGGCAATAAAAGCCAAAATAGACAAATAGAATCTAATTAAACTAAAGAGCCTCTGCACAGCAAAAGAAACTATCATGAGAGTGAACAGGCAACCTACAGAATGGGAGAAAATTTTTGTAATCTACCCATCTGGCAAAGGGCTAATATCCAGAATCTATGAAGAACTTAAACAAATTTACAAGAAAAAAAAACAAACAACCCCATCAAAAAGTGGGCAAAGGATATGAACAGACACTTCCCAAAAGAAGACATTTATGCAGCCAATAGACACATGAAAAAATGCTCATTATCACTGGTCATCAGAGAAATGCATGTCAAAACCACAATGAGATACCATCTCATGCCAGTTAGAATGGCGATCATTAAAAAGTCAGGAAACAACAGCTGCTGCAGCGGATGTGGAGAAATAGGAGCGCTTTCACACTGTTGGTGAGAGTGTAAATTAGTTCAACGATTGTGGAAGACAGTGTTGTGATTCCTCAATGTTCTAGAACTAGAAATATCATTTGACCCAGCGATCCCATTACTGGGTGTATACCCAAGGAGTATAAATCATGCTGCTATAAAGACACATGCACACGTATGTTTATTGCAGCACTATTCACAATAGCAAAGACTTGGAACCAACCCAAATGCCCATCTATGATAAACTGGATTTAGAAAATGTGGCACATATACACCATGGAATACTATGCAGCCATAAAAAAGGATGAGTTCATGTTCCTTGCAGGCACATGTATGAAGCTGGAAACCATCATTCTAAGCAAACTATCACAAGGACAGAAAACCAAACAACAAGAACACATGGGCACAGGGTGGGGAACATCACACACCGTGGCCTATTGTTGAGGGGGTGGGATGCTGGGGAAGGGAAAGCATTAGGAGAAATACTTAATGTAAATGATGAGTTGATGGGTACAGCAAACCTACATGGCACATGTATACCTATGTGACAAACCTGCACGTTGTACACATGTACCCTAGAACTTAAAGTATAATAAAAAAAATAATTCGTAAAAAAAATTCTTTAAAGAAGTAAATTCTGTTTCAGAAAAGGACCTTCATACAGCATCTCTGACCAGCAACTGATGATGCTATTGAACTCAGACGCTGATTCATTCTCCAACACTAGATTACCCAATCCAGGAGCAAGGAAATCAGTAACTTCCTCCCTATAATTTGGAATATGGGTGGAGCAGGGTCATAGTTCTCGCTGAGTGAGACTTGACTGCCCCTCTGGGCCCTGGACCTGTCATGCTCCTTAGCATGGTGTGTCTGAAGCCCCCTGGAGGCTCCTGCATGGCAGCTCTGACAGTGACACTGATGGTGCTGAGCTCCCCACTGGCTTTGGCTGGGGACACCCGACGCAAGTGCACATTGTGGGTGCTGAGCTACTACGAGGTCAGGAAAATAGGGAGTTTTGTTAACACCGTGCCCAGGCAATGCCCCTTAAGAGATTGTGACGTTTTCTTCAGAGATTGCCCATCTTTATCACGGGATCCTAAGTTATTTCCACCACAAAAGGAGCTTGGTACTTGCCCTCTCCATGAGGTTTGTGTAAGGAACTTCCATACAGGCCATTTCTTTTCAAATCTCCACCAATAAAACCTTTGCATCACATTTCCTCAGGGTCTTTAGAGGATTTAGAAATAAGGATGCTAAAATAAATTCCCCATACAGCACTTCCCTTTATCATGTTGACTTATGCCAGACAAAACGAGGATTTTCTGAAAACTTTGTGGGAGTCAAGGGAATTCAAAAGGTCTCTCCTAGATGATCCTGTGTTATGTCCTCCAAAGGACCTGTGGTGTTGGCCCTTCTTCCTCATATGTGAGGATGTACCCAGTGACCTCCCCATTATCTCCTTTCTTTTCTTTCTGAACTCCAATGTTTATAAAGCCTGTATCCCTGTACATGTATGTAGATTCTCTGACAGAAGTTATACTAAGTGCTCTTTCTTTCTTAGGGGGAAAAAATCCCTGGAGCGGAAGCTGAGATCTTTAGTACTTAGATCAGATAAAGAGTATTTATGAGGTATTCTTCGGTACCTAAAGAACTTAAGGCATCTGGCCAGGCATGGTGGTTCACGCCTGTAATCCCAGCACTTTGAGACATGGAGGTGGGCGGATCACAAGGTCAGGAGTTTGAGATCCGTCTGACCAATATGGTGAAACGTCATCTCTACTAAAAATACAAAAATTAGCCGGGGTAGTGGCGCACACCTGTAATCCCAGCTACTCTGGAGGCTGAGGCAGGAGAATCGCTTAAACCCAGGAGGCAGAAGTTGCAGTGAGCCAAGATCATGCCACTGCACTCCAGCCTGGGCGAGAGGGTGAGACTCCCTCTCAAAAAAAAAAAAAAAAAAAAAAAAACTTAAGTCACTAGTGTTAATTTTGAATCCTTTTTAACTGTTCTATGCTAGTTTCTCCTACAACTCCTACATGTTCTAACTAGACATGACAAGAAAAGATTCAACTAACATAGGATAAATTATATAAAATTCTATTTTTGTACGTCAAAAATAGTAAAATATCTGAAATTTAATAATGTTCAAACTATATACTCTGTGTGGGGTTGCAGAGACGATGTGGACATTGTCCGCATCTCATAGGGCTGAAAGTCAATGAGCAAGTCCTGGGAACTCATTGTCTTACTGTGGTCTTTTCCTAAATTTCATAGTTTCATTCATCATGCCCTCAGCTTTCCTTAATTAGCCATGTTCACTTGCCTCTTCCTCCAGTTTCTCTCTATTTTTCTTCAGCTATGTTGTCATCATTTCCAGAAATCCCTAAAGTTTGCACAGAGCCAGGGCACTATGAGATCCATTAAATGAGATTTTTTTTTTGAAGACAGGGCCTGGCTCTGTTACCCAGGCTATAGTGCAGTGGTGCCATCTAGGCTCACTGCAACCTCCACCTCCAAGGCTCAAGGGTTCCTCCTCTTCAGCCTCCAGAGTAGCAGAGACTTCAGCAGGCAACCATGCCCAGATAATTTTTGTAATTTTGGTAGAGATGAGGTTTTGCCATGTTGCTATGGCTGGTCTTAAACTCTTGGACTCAAGCAATCCTCCTGTTTTGGTCTCCAAACGTGCAAGGATTATAGGTGTGAGCCACTCCACCCAGGCAAAAAGAGATGAATCTTAATAAAAAAATTTCTTTTTGCTTAAATCACTGTTTCTTTATCTGTGAATTCTTCTTCCACCTAGAAGGAGGAGAAAGAAGAAGTTTGCCTGTATTTCACACTGGGAAGAGAAGGGGTGTAGTATGACATCAAAATGAAAGAGTGCTTGAGCTTGAGCCCCTTCTTGCTTTCCAGGATCCCTGCAGTGATCAGTTCCCAGAACCCTGGTTTATTCATGTAAAGCACACTTATTTTTCTCAGCAGCTACTGTGTACTGGGCTCTATTCTAGGTTCAAATCATTCTATTTGATTAAGATAGAGAGGGTCGCTACTCTCATGGAAGTTACACAAGAGTAGAGGAGATAAAAAATAACCCAATAATCATTTATCAAAAAAGAAAATTTCAGATAGTAATAGTGCACTAAAGAAAAGACATCAGGTTTGTGGAAAAGAGAGAAATGGATTCACCAAACTTTAGTTCATGTGTTTAGGCAGCTCTACCTGAGAAAGTGACATTCAGATGAGACAACAAAATAAGTAGACAGTCATGTGACGATCTAAGGAACGAAAGTTCCAGGGAGACAGCATGGGGGGAAGCCCTGGTGTGAGAAATTATGTCCAGGGACAGAAAGAAGGCTAGAGGGTCTGATGTATAGCAAGCAAGGAAATGGAAGGGCAGAAGACGAGGTAGAACACAAAGAGGTAGTCAGAAGCCTCATCATATTAGGCTCTGATGTCCATGGTAAGAAATTTGAATTTTATTTTATTTTATTATTTATTTATTTATTTTGAGACGGAGATTCATTCTTGTTGTGTGGTCTCAGCTCACTGCAACCTCCGCCTCCTCGGTTCAAGTGATTCTCCAGCCTCAGCCTCCAAAGTAGCTGAGATTATAGGTGCCCACCCACCATGCCTGGCTAATTTTTTTGTATTTTCAGTAGAGATGAGGTTTCACCATATTGTCCAGGCTGGTCTTGAACTCCTGACCTCAGGTAATCTGCCTGTCTTGGCCTCTCAAACTGTTGGGATTACAGGCGTGAGCCACCGCGCCTGGCCTGAATTTTATGTAAATAGATATGGGAAGCTACTGGATGGTTACAAGGAGAGTCCATTTATATTCAGTTTTTAAAACTAATTCTAGTTACTCTGTGGGGATTGGATTGTTGGGGTTCACAAATGGTCAGGAAGACTTTAGGAGCAGAGCAGGGAATCCTCAGCGAAAACAGGCTTGCGGCTTCATGCAGTGCATTAGTGATAAAGACAGTGAAAAAGATAAAGTGGACAGACTCGGCATGTATTTTGCTTCACTTGTTAATGGATTATTGTAAAGGCAGTAGAAAATCAAGCTTATTCCTAAGGATTTTATTTTGACAAATAAGTGGATTGTGGTGTTGTTTACTGAGATAGGAAAAACTGTGGGAGGAAATGATTTGAAGTGGGTGGAAATAAAAAATAAATATTTTGGAAATATTTATTGGAATAAAAGTTGGAAATAAAAGTTTTGTTTAAGTTTGAGATGATTTATTGATACTTATGTGGAGCAATCAGAAGATCAATGGCATTTAAGAGACTCATGGTGAGGCCAGGGCTGGAAGTATTTATGTTGGCGGCATCAATACGTGTACTGTGTTAAATTCCAGGGAGTGGAAGAGGTGACAGCGAGATAGATTGTGTGGAGAAAAAAGAGGGCACAGGCCAGCAAAGGACTGAAAAAGAGCCCAGGGATGTTGGAGAAAAACCAAGAGAACATAATGCATGTCAGTCAAGGAAAATAGATTTTTTTCAAGGAGACAGGAGAGGTCAATTGTGGTGAGTGCCACTAAGAGGAGAGTGAAGTGAGAATGTAAAACAGAAGCAAATGCTGGGTTTGGTGGAGTTGATATTTGCAGTCAGTGGAATATCCAGGATGAAAACTGGATTGGATCCTTTGAAGAGCGAGTAGGAGTGAGGATGAGGTTAAGGTTGACTGTTTTGAGTAGTGAGCTTCAGGGAAGGACTGTGTTCTGGGTTCAGGGATCCAGCTGGATCTAAAGGAAAATGCTAAAGAGGCTGAAGAAAAGCAGGAGGACCTGTGATGCTCAGTCATTAGTGGCAAGGAAATACTAGAGGGTCCCTGTGTGCAGTGGTGACTGCTCATGCAAAAGGTCACACAGCCAATATTTCACACAGCCCATATTTATTAGTGACTTTGAATACACTAGCTATTACTCTAGCTCATGAGAATGAAGTGATGAATAAAATGAATCTGGTCTCCATCAGTGTATGCCATGTAACATTTTGCAGTGACTGTGTACCAGGCCTATGATTTTCAGTATGCAATTTCAATAATGATCCTGTTGTATCTGTGGTATTTAAAAACATATACATCTCTGGAATCTAAAATTGAGAGGATATAAGTAAAACCCAGTGTTACAAATTTAGTGCTGGAAATCAGATTGCAGTTTAAATCTGAGCATGTAGAAAGTCCCTTTTTTCTATGTCAGCAGATGCCTTTTGTGTGAGGTTTGTTTAGGTATACTGCATTATTAGACATAAACCAGTGATTCTGCCCTATATTGTCAGAATGACAATTCTTTATGAAACTAATAGAAGAACAGAAGACAATTGCAAAATCATGATGAATATACTAATTGCTTTAGAATCAAGGAATAGAAAAAGTAATGTGAGCTGCAGTTACAGGATCATAAAAATTAAAATGGGGATATATTTGAGTGTTTATTATGTGATCAGTGCTAAGAAGAGTCATTATCTAATTTTACACTTAACAATAATCCTGCGAGGATTATACTATTATTAAATGCATTTGATACATTACAAAAAGGCTTACGGTTGGTAAAAATTGGCCCAAGTAGAAGAGGTCATGTTTCCATTCGGATTTTCTGATTCTACAGTTTGAGAGTCTGTCCATCATTAGTGAATAGCGACTAGATTGTGCCTGAATTATTGACAAAATTTCTGATATTCATATGAACCAGGTTGTTTCTTAGAGTAGGGGCAGAGATTCAAGGGCTGCTAGTTTCAATGTATAGGAAAACCTTTCTTTTTCTTTTTCTTTTTTTTTTTTTTTTGAGATGGAGTCTTTCTCTGTCACCTGAGCTGGAGTGCAGCAGCGCGATCTTGGCTCACTACAAGCTCTGCCTCCCAGGTTGATGCCATTCTCCTGCCTCAGCCTCCCCAGCAGCTGGGACTACAGGTGCACACCGCCATGCCCGGCTAATTTTTTTGTATTTTTAGTAGAGACGGGGGTTTCATTGTGTTAGCCAGGATGGTCTCCATCTCCTGACCTCGTGATCCACCCGCCTCGGCCTCCCAAAGTGCTGGGATTATAGGCGTGAGCCACTGCACCTGGCCTGTATAGGAGAAACTTTCGCTCATTTTGCATTTATCATTGTAAAACTTTTATATGTCTATCATGGGCATGTGTTGAAGAAGACAAGAAGTATTAAATCACTCCTTCTGAGGTTTGACTAGCAAGTTGGCCTGGGGTTGCCAAATAAAATACAGGTTCCTAGTTAAATCCGAATTTCAGATACACAACCATAATTTATTGGAAATTCAAATTTAACTGGGCATCCTCTGATTTTCTTTGCCAAATCTGTCAACCCTAAGTGGGACACTTAAGCATGGATTACAGTGCTAACCATGCAAGCCACAGTGACAGCAACTTCACACATGTTTATTTTTTAACTTTCTCTCTGTAAAGAAAGTGCTTAGTTAATTTAGGAATAAAAAGATAGACATTGTTTGATCCAGGGTGCACTCCTCTCTGCCATCATTTCTAAAGGGCAAAGGGTGTTTTGTGAAGGTCTCTACTCAACGTCTGGGGACCTGCTCATTTTTTGCAAACTGTCTGTATGAGAATGTCATTTTCTTGGTTTCTCCCTTTCTGAGGAGAATTGACTACAAAACCGAGAGTTCTACCTCTGGCCAAGGCTGGTAATTTAATGCCTGCTGGTATTGTTGGGAGTGGGAGACTGAAAGACATGAGTTAGTTGGCACGTTAAATGGAAATAAAACAGCTGTGGCTGTGATTCATTACTACAGGTAATTAGTGGACCAGTGGCAGAGAAATTAAGAAAGAAGATGATATGAAAGATAAATAACATGATTTGGTGACTGATTGGTAAGGCAAGGAAATCAGTAAATCTTGGTTCTGAACAAGTTCATTTTCTGGAAAGATAGCACTGTATTGGGCCCAGAATTCTACAAAACATTTATTTTATGTAGGACCAAGATGTTCAACAGATATTTTTCAATGTAATTCTCAGCTGCTCCATAACTAATAGTGGCTTGTTCAACACAGATTTCCCTGTGGTGTTTACCAAGGGAAAGTTCACCACCTATGCCTTCCCTCCCATCACCTTTGGGGAACGTGTGGCAATGTTTATAACAATTTTTGATTGTCACAACAGGGTTTTCTTCGGATATTTAATGAGTAGGAGCCAGGGACACCGCTAGAGAACCTACAATGTACAGAACGGCCTCTGTCACCAACAAAGAATTATCTGGGCTGGGTGTGGTGGCTCATGCCTGTAATCCCAGCACTTTGAGAGGCCGAAGTGGGCAGATCACAAAGTCAGGAGATCGAGACCATCCTGGCTAACATGGTGACTCCCTGTCTCTACGAAAAATACAAAAAATTAGCCGGGCGTGGTGGCGGGCACCTGTAGTCCCAGCTACTCGGGAGGCTGAGGCAGGAGAATGGCGTGAACCCGGAGGCGGAGCTTGCAGTGAGCCAAGATGGCACCACTGCACTCCAGCCTGGGCAACAGGGCGAGACTCTGTCTCAAAAAAAAAAAAAAAAAAAAAAAAAAAAAAAAAAAAAGAATTACCTAGTCCAAAATGTTAATAGTGCTGAGGCTGAGAGCACCAGTTCACACTGTTCTCTTTCTGAAAATTCTACACTCAGATCTTTTATACACTCACCATCCACTTCAGCTCTTTATGGTTTATTTTTGCTTGTTTTATTGTAAAAAACTTGACAGTTGCATAAATTCAACAACCTTTGTTGTTGAATCCATTTAGTCAATGCAAGTTCAATACCTTCATATTTATTTTTTGCCTTATGCAATATTTTTCAACATTTTCATGAGTCATCACTATTTCTATTAACTTTCAACAGCCTGTCTGTATAAGTCACAAATAGTGATGCTGCTGCAATTGTTTTTCAGTAACATACCTCAGATTTCTGTAGTAATTCTACATTTGATATTATTCACAATGTAAAATGCTTCTATGTATTCATTTCACTTTTAACCACAAGATTATTTTTAAGTTATTTTAGTCATTTTCACACTTCAGTCAAACATAAAGACAAAAACATCAAAAAATATACATAGTGTTTTACATATGTGTATATTTACACACATATATGTATGTATGTTCATATGTATTGAAACTACAGAAGCACATGTCACCAATAAGAGCTCTGAGACACCTTTGACCATTTTCCCTTATAAGATTTACCAAATGAGTTTTGGGAACAATTTTTTTTTCTTTTTTTGAGAGAGTCTCGCTCTGTCGCCAGGCTGGAGTTCAGTGACTCAGTCTTGGCTAACTGCAACCTCCGCATCCAGCGTTCAAGCAATTCTCCTACCTTAGCCTCCAGAGTAGCTGGGACTACAGGCGTGTGCCACCACCCCCAGCTAATTTTTGTATTTTTAGTAGAGACGGGGTTTCACCATGTTGGCCAGGATGGTCTCGATCTCTTGACCTCGTGAGCCACCTGCCTCAGCCACCCAAAGTGCTGCAAATTTCTTTTAACTTAATTTCTGAGCTTTGTTGACTTAGAAATGCAAAAGAAGGGCCGGACGCAGTGGCTCATGCCTGTAATCCTAGCACTCTGGGAGGCCAAAGCAGGCAAATCACCTGAGGTCAGGGGTTCAAGACCAGCCTGTCAACATGGTGAAACCCTGTCTCTACTAAAAATACAAAAATTAGCCAGGTGTGGTGGCACATGCCTGTAACTACAGCTGCTTGGGAGCTGAGGCAGGAGAATTGCTTGAACCTGGGAGGCAGAGGTTGCAGTGAGCCAAGATTGCGCCACTGCACTCCAGCCTGGGTGACAGAGCAAGACTCTGTAGCAAAAAAAAAAAAAAAAGAAAAAGAAATGCAAAGGCAGGCTTGTGGACATTTCATTTATGGGGATCATGGTTTTATTCTCCTTAAAACTCTTCAATACTTTCCCATTGTCTTTAGTTAAATCCAAAATCCTAACACCATCAGTGAGGCTTTTAAATACCTGGCTCCTGTGATTTCTCCAATCTAATATTTTACCCTCCTTCCCCTCAGCCTCTCTGCTTTAGTGAGCTTTGTTCTAGTTTCCTGAAGAAGTTCATCAATTCAAGCTTTTGTACATGGGATTTCCTAAACCTGAAAAGTGCCTCCCGTTTTGTCCCAACAGACAACACAGGCTCCACTCTGCCCCCTGGCTCACACCTGCTTAACCTGTCAAGTCACATCTGAACTGACACTCTTCAGAGGGTCCTTCTGTGGCACCCTAGTGTAATTGAGATCATCCTATTATCCTCTGTTCTAGAAGTCCACACTTCTGACATTTCTCATCCCTGTCTAAGCTCTTGCGTGTTTGGTTTTTGGCCATCGCTTTCACTGCTCTTTAAGCTCCCCCAGTGGAGTGGAGAGGTCTGTTTTCCCTTGTTTGGATTCCTAGAGGCAGCGCAGGGCAGGCACAAGGTCATCACTAAGGAAGTGTTCACAGGATGAACACGGTGGGTACTGCTGAAGGAACCGGTAAAGCGTGTGGGATGAGAGAAGGAGCAGAGAGTGTTTTGGGGGTGGAGGCTCCCAGGAGGAGGCAGCGTGGGCTGCGGTGGTAGGTGGATCCTCCTCCAGCTCCTGCACTGAGTTCTCCAGAACAGGCTGGAGGCAGGGAGGGGGTCCCAAAAGCCTTGGGATCAGAGGTAGTTTTCCCACCTGGTCCCCCGTACCCCCGTCCGCCTCAGAAAGACAGAGGATGAGCCCCTGGGCTGCGCGTAGTCGAGGTTGCGGGTGGGGCCAGTCAGTGTCTTCCCCGGAGTCCGCTTCTGTAACCGGATCGTTCGTGTCCCCACAGCACGTTTCTTGGAGCAGGCTAAGTCTGAGTGTCATTTCTTCAATGGGACGGAGCGGTACCTGTAAAGATACTTCTATAACCAAGAGGAGTACGTGCGCTTCAACAGCGACATGGGGGAGTTCCGGGCGGTGACTGAGCTGGGGCGGCCTGACGCTGAGTACTGGAACAGCCAGAAGGACATCCTGGAGCAGAAGCGGGCCGAAGTGGACAACTAATGCAGACACAACTATGGGGTTGTGGAGAGATTCACAGTGCAGCGGCGAAATGAGCACGGCGGGGGGCGGGGTCTGAGTCCCTGTGAGCTGGGAATCTGAGTGTTTGTGTGTTGAGAGAGAGACACACACACACACATCTGTGAACATTTAGAATCCTCTCAATCCTGAGCAAGGGGTTCTGAGGGCAGAGGTGTGTGTGTAGAGTGTGGATTTGTCTTTGGCTGTTGTGGGAGGGGAGGCAGGAGGGGGCTGCTTCTTATCCTTGGAGGCCTCTGTGGGGAGGTGACATGGGAAGTGGGTGCAGGGGGCTGCAGAGAGAGACCTTGATTGTTCTGGGTCCTTAGAGATTCAGGGAAGGGAAATGTAAGGTTTGTGTGGTTGGGGTGAAGGTTTAGGGGAGGAGAGGTGAGGGTTATGGAAGGTTTGGGATAATGTGAGGAGGCCAGTTCCAGACTGTCCCTGGCACATACCCTTAATTTCTAGGGGAATTGAGGAGACCTCTGAGATACCTCTGAAGCTTCTTTAGGTCTAAATTTCTTGCCACTTTTTTGTTTTCTTAGTGTGCGTATTTTTACATAGTTGAAGTGACTGTGAAACTAACTTTTGAATTAAAGTTTTAACACAGTTGTTATTTTATTATAATGCCAATAGTTTTCTACTACTTACGTATTATTCTTTTATATATAATAGCTGTGACACAAATTACCTCACTTTCCCCTTTGTTGACCTTTATTATGACATTCACCAAAAGTTTAAAATGTATGTTTATGGTTAATTTTTAATTTATATTTTTTGACATATAGTTCTTTTGAATTATTTTGACCTATTTGTTGGCCAATTATAATTACTGTTCTAAGAATTCCCTATTGCATTTGGTAGGTAATGGACAATGATCTACTATCTATTATCTTTAGGGCTTTGTACTTTCCTCAGTGATTTTGTGAGTTTTTTGTATGGTAAGATTATTAACACTTTATTGATATTTGAGTCAACATTTTCTCCAGTTTGTGGTTTGTATGTTGATTTTGAAAATTCTTTTCCATGTTAAGAATTTGAACATTTTGGCCGGGCGTGGTGGCTCCTGCCTGTAATCCCAGCACTTTGGGAGGCCAAGGTGGGTGGATCACGAGGTCAGCAGATTGAGACCATCCTGGCTAACACAGTGAAACCCCATCTCTACAAAAAATACAAAAAAAAAATTAGCTGGATGTGGTGGCAGGCACCTGTAGTCCCAGCTACTTGGGAGGCTGAGGCAAGAGAATGGCGTGAACATGGGAGATGAAGCTTGCAGTCAGCCAAGATCGTGCCACTGCACTCCAGCCTGGGTGACAGAGCAAGACTCTGTCTCAAAAAAAAAATTTTTTTTTGAACATTTTTATTTAATCAAATATATTGTGAAATTTATATTAATGATTTACAATCCATCTTAAATCTACCATTTTGTGGTATTGTTGTCTCCAGGTTTCTCCTTCCTTCTTAAAAAAAATAGTATTTATTAAGAGTATCCTAGTGTCAGAGGTTTGCATAGGCATAAGCATCCCAAGTAGTGAGTCCCAGATCCTTCCTTGATCCAAATTTCATTCTGGAAAGAAAAATCATTTTACCATGACAGGCCTAATAATAGTTATGCTTGTTTTGCATGGGAGATGCATTGATCAGCTAAATGTAAATATAAGAACTTTCAAAACTAAAATGACGTTCCTTAATCCTTCTCTCTGCCTTAGGACTCATGCTTTTCTAGGAACTTAAAGATTTGGAGAATGATTTCTGTCTGTCCCACCTTCCCAGGGGCAAAACCATCTCTGTGGTGTTCTAAGGTGTGAGTCCATGGCAGTAATATTCCTAAACATTCATACTCAGTTTCCTCATGTACTCTACTCTGTCCCTTTATCTATACACATTGCTTTAAAATATATTTATCTCTCAAGGATGATAAATAGGTGCGCAGTGGAGCACCCAAGTGTGATGAGCCCTATCACAGTGGAGTGGAGTGAGCAGCTTTCTGACCTCATCAATGGAAGGCTATCTTCAGTCACTGTTTTTTTGTTTTGGAGATGGAGTCTCCCTTTATTGCCCAGGATGGAGTGCTGTGGCACAATCTCCAGTTACTGCAACCTCTGCCTCCTGGGTTCAAGCAGTTCTCCTGCCTCAGCCTCCTGAGTAGCTGGGACTACAGATGCGCACCACAATGCCCAGCTATTTTTTGTATTTTTAGTAGAGACCAGGTTTCACCATATTGGCCAGGCTGGTCTTGAACTCCTGACCTCGTAATTCGCCTGCTTCTGACTCACAAGTGCTGAGAGTACAGGCTTGAGCCACCACGCCTGGCCCGGTTATTGTTTTATGTATTTTACATGCATTAATTTCAACCCTTGGGGATTAATGCACATAAAATATATGAAACAATATATAAATGTTTTATACACATAAAATATATAAAACAATATACCTCCTGGGATTATATTAATCATATAACCCAAAGAGGTAAATTAGTATAATTATCCTCCATTATAGGTGAGAAAATTGAGACACAGAATCGAAAAACTCTTACAGGATCAACCAGTAAAAGGTAGACATTGGATTTGAATCAGGCAACCTGCCTCAGAAATCAGTTTTAATGACTACACTCTGTACTTTCAAAGATTTGTAAACATTTTGACAATGCATACCAATTTCAAGCTATGAAGAAACAAACACAATTTTGTTGGGGTGACCAGACCCAACACCAGGTCGTGGGGGTGACAAAGTCCAACAGAGTCAAAGGAATGAGAAAAAGACAGTTTGAGAGAGAAAGTGGGACCAGGGGGCCATTGCGAGTGTGGAGGCTGCGAAGGCCCTGAGCTCTGGAAGCCCATGCTATTTATTGGTGCTCAAACAAACAGTTGGTGAGGATGTGGGGGTTGAAAGGAAACAGTGTATCAAGTGAATGAGAAACATGGCTGCTTGAGAAAATGAGAGTGCTAGAAGCAAGGAGCCAGTAAGTCTAGCAGACATGCAAGCCCTGCCTCAAGCTTCTCTCCCAACACTCAGTTTTCTCCCAACATGCCCCCCTTCTCTTTTTGCAGGCTATGTAGCCCTTAATTGCCAGTTGGTGATCCAGCTTCCTTTTTATGAGCCCTTATTCAAAATGGAGTAACTTTGGTTTGAATGCTTCCTACATATCTCCCCTTTCCCTTTTACAAGAGGACTCTTAATCCTAGGGGTTGCAGAAGGATGAAGGTCCGTCTTCCGTAACTTCTTCATGCTAACTAGGGGCGATGATACTCCTATCTACCTATTAAGGTCTCTTGTATTCAGGATAGAGAGGCGTTCAGTCAGAAAGCATTGGTCCGTTAAGCATCTATAGGTAAAACCTTGGCACTCCAGCAGTTTCTCAGCATGGCTTGTACTGGGGGAACCTGGTCCATGGTTGGGATCCATGGGTCCCTCCGGTCTCCCATTCCATGGTCGTACACATCTTGAGGGCACCTACATGGTTTGTTCATCTCCTGCAAAAACACAAGCATACCCTCACCCTCACGTTAGTAAATCTACTGAAACAGAAGCTACTGAAAAAGAAGACTTGTGGCTGTAGCCGGGAGGCATGCCATTGCTGAAGCATTTGTAACTCAGCTTCGGCCTCTTTGGTTAATTACCACAGGGTAAAACTTACCATTGATAATGAGAAGCAGGCCCCTTCTAACAGAAGGCACAGAGAAAGCAAATCGAGGCTTAAATGTAATCCTTAAGCCTTCAATTTGCACTGTACAGGAGGGTCCACTAGATGCTGTGGCTCATGATAGATCTTCAGATGTTTGGTGGGCACCCACACAGGCACCTGATTGTCACCTGGAGAGACACAAGTAAATCCTCTTCCCCATAAAATTATCTTTCCCTTTTCCTAGCTCTTTGTATGTGCATCCCTCCACCATATATCTTGTCCAGCCTTTTTATTTTCTTTTTGTCCTCTCAGGTGCTGTTCAGCTGCAGTCATGGGTTGATCTTTTTGTAAATTAAAAAACTTTAATGTTAATAAAGCTAAATGCAATTGCATATTTGGTGTCTTATATTCCTGGTCTCCTCCATTTTGCTTTTGTATTTGAGTTTTTAAAGTACAATTAGCTCTTTCCACTATTGCCTGTCCTTTTGAGTTATATGGAATACCCACAGTATGGGTAATATTCCATTGTTGAAAAAATATAGGCATGGCTTTACCACAGTATCCTGGGCCATTACCAGTTTTTATTTTTTCTCGGGTTCCCATAACTGAAAAGCAACATAAAAGATGTCTTTTAACATGAGCTGTAGCTTCCCCTGTTTGACATGTGTCCCGGATAAAATGTGAATAGGTATCTACTGAAACACGAATGAAAGACAATTTTCCAAAAGTAAGACTATGTGTTACATCCATCTGCCAGATGGAATTTGGAGATAAACCTCTAGGGTTAACTCCTCTTCCTTGATGTAGCAGATACAGGACTTGACAGGCAGAACAGTGTTGCACAATTTCTTTAGAACAGTAAAAGCAAATTTTTCATAATCTTGGGCAGCTAAAGGAATGGTAAAAAAGCAATCCTTTAGATTTATCACTATGAGAGACCAGTATTTTGGGATCATTGTTGGGGAGGGCAGCCTGGTTGTAGCATGCCCATGGGTTGAATCACAGCATTGATAGCCCTTAAATCTGTTAACATTCTCCATTTCTCTGATTTTTTCTTAATGAGAAATACAGGAGAATTTCAAGAGGAGAAAGTAGGCTCTATATGTTCCTTTTACAATTGTTCCTGCACCAGTTCTTCTAAAGTCTCCAGTTTTTCCTGTTTCAGCAGCCATTGCTCCACCCAAACCAGTTTGGCAGTTAGCCAAACAAGAGGAATGGGAGCCGGAGGCTCAACAATGGCTGCTCCTAAAAATGACACCCCAATCCGGTCCGATCTGTTTGCCCTTTTAATTCTAAAGGTTCTAATTGCCCAACTTTATCTTTTTCCAGTCCTTTTCCCGGGTGATATCCCATATTTTTCATCATTTGTCTACCATTATTACTATATTGGTCTATAGGAATAGATATTTCAGCATCCCATTGTTGCAATAAGTCTCTACCCCATAGATTAACAGGAATAGGTATTATGATAGGCTGAATTGTCTCTTCCTGACCATCTGGTCCTTGACATGGTAAAATCAAGGAACTTTGAAAAACTTCTGAGGCAGCTCCTACTCCAACAATACCAATGGATGCCTTTTGCTTAGGCCAGAGCCAGGCCATTGATTTATAGCAATAATAGAGACATCAGCTCCAGTGTCTACTAGTCCTTCAAAATCTTTTCCCTGTATAGTTACTGTGCAAATAGGTCTTTTGCCAGACACTTGATTAACCCAATATACAGCCTTTCCTGCTGGATTAGTGTTACCAAAGCCTCCTGTTCTTTTCACTGTGCTGCTTCCTAGTTTTATATAAGGTAAAAGCAACAAGTGAGCAATTCTTTCTCCTGGGGAGGCAGACCACGGAGTCAAGGAACTAATAACTAATTGAATCTCCCCAGTATAATCAGAGTCAATTATTCTCGTATGTACAGTAACACCTTTTAAATTTAGACTAGACCTTCCAAGTAATAGACCAACTGTTCCTGAGGGTAAGGGTCCCCTAACTCCCGTGGGGACCTTCTTTGGTGGCTCCCCAGGAAGTGTGAACTAAAAGATGAGTTACATAGGTGTTTACAAAACACAACTGGATATTTTCCATTATTTTGGGATAAACCAAAATAAATTTTAAAGTTTCATTTGGAGATTTCAAAGCTGAAAATGCTTTCAGCAAATTCTTAGATCTTAAGAAAGTATATATTGTCCATTGTTTATATAATCATTTGCCTTTTTGATCTAAAAATTTTAATACTTGAATTTAATAGGTTTTTCTTCTGGAAAAATTCTTTGGCATTCAAGTAAAAACGATACTTTCAGAGTAGTCACCTGCATCACACTAGAGTGACTGCTTTAATTTCTAAATCATCAATTAGTGTAACCTAGAGATACTGATAGCCTTGATACATAATTTAGTCTCGTTATTATAGCATGTGGAAATCAGGGCTTTGGGGGGCATCATCTGACCCCATTTCTTTTTACCACAATGGTTCCTGCTACAGTGTCATAGGCTGTTCAATTATGCTGAAAAAACAGCAGTGTGATATAAGCAGGGAAAAAAAGAAGCAATCAAAAAATTCTTGATCAAAGCTCGTTGTAATGCTAACATTTGAGGAAGGCATCACTAAAACCTGACTTGGTGCAATAAGCACTAATGTATCACATGTCTCAACTCAAATGCCCAGCAGGAACTTCCCTGGGGTAGCTCCACCTGCTCCCCAAATGCAAATTATCTCATAGAAACAAATTAATAATCTGTATAAAAGAGCCACAACCATCATTTTCTGCAAGTCTTCCAGTGATGTGTCTTCATTCATTTCTTCTATTGTATAATGCATAGCAAACTTAGAAATATCCTTTATCCCACTGAGGTGCATAATGCTTAAGATAATGGTTGCTTTTACAAAGAAGAGAATAAAGAAATCCACCATCTCTACCATAAATCTGTGGGCCAAGGATAGAATAACATATTATCTGCCTGCCTGTCGCCTGGTCTCGCTCGGGCTTCCCGAAGGGGCTATGGATCCTACCTTTGTCACTGGAGTGACCCAGACTGATGCCTGCACATGAGGAGCCTGGGGTCCCAGGCCCACGACTTGAGCCGGGGTGCTGATGCCAGCAGCTGTTCCCAGGTTAGGCCTGTGGCCTGGGGGACAGCAGCGCTGCCCAAAGGGAAGCTCCGTGGGGATGGTTGGGGGCTGCAGTAGGTGGAGAAGGCAGCCGGGATGCTGCGCCAGGTGAGGTAGCCGCAGTAGGACTGCCACAGCCACTCGTGAACTTGGGAGCACTTGTGGGCGCTCAGCCGTGCCAGTCTCTCCGCGGTGCCACAGCCTTGGGTGCTTCACAGCCCGCCTGCCCCTGCAGCCCTGCCCTGGAGCCAGAGGCCACCTCCCCATGCCTCCCAAGTTTGCAGGGTGGCTCTGACCCATCAGTGGCAGCAGCTGTGAGGCCTGCGGCCATGGGCCAGCCCAGGGGCCACCATAGGGACATGGGATGGTGGTGGCTGGAGGGCCTCTCAAAGAAGGGATGGGCTCGTGGTCCCCTCCTCCCTCACCGCACCCGGGAGGGTGACCTCAGGGCCCCCTGCCATCGTCGCCCCAGCAGCACCCACCATGGCACCTGCCACTACTCCATCCCTATATGCCCTTCCAAAATCTCCTCCAATTCTCCCCCATCCATCCAACTCCACAGTCCCCCGCTGCGGGAACCATGGACAAAACTGCTTCACTCTACTAAAAAGTGATAACAAACTCTGAGTACTAACTTTCACTCCCCCACTTCATAACAAATGCTTTAAAAAAATTTAAATAAGCAGAATGTCTGCTTTCACTTTGTTCTATTGTTACCTTAGTTTTCCGGGCACTCAGCTTTCCTGCTGAGCTTCTTTTAAGTGTCCTTGAGTGTCCTTTGACAATGCGTCCTCTGCTGTCACATGCTCTAGCATTCCTTCACCAGAGCCTTTGTCACCCCACATTGGACAGCCAGGTATGTTGGGGTGATCAGACCCAACACCAGATCATGGGGGCAACGAAGTCCAACAGAGTCAAAGGAATGAGAAAAAGACAGTCTAAGAGAGAAAGTGGGACCAGGGGGCCATTGTGAGTGTGGAGGCTGCAAAGGCCCTGAGCTCTGGGAGCCCATGCTACTTATTGGTGCTCAAACAAACAAACAATTGGTGAGGATGTGGGGGTTGAAAGGAAACAGTGTATCAAGTGAATGAGAAACATGGCTGCTTGAGATAACAGGAGTGCTAGAAGCAAGTCTAGCAGACATGCAAGCCCTGCCTCAGCTTCTCTCCCAACACACAGCTTTTCACAAAAACACAATTTTTCACAACATCTCTCAAATCTAATGGGTCCTCCTTATAAAGATTCAATTCCAGGCTGATGACACTGTGAGGCCACATGGCCAGCTGTGTTGGAGGCCTGGTCAAGGCCAGAGCCTGGGTTTACAGAGAAGCAGACAAACAGCAAAACATGGAGACTTACTCTTCTTCCTGACTCATTCCCTCTACTTGTTCTTCTCCTAGTCCAACCTAAGGTGACTGTGTATCCTTCAAAAGACCAGCCCCTGCAGCACCACAACCTCCTGGTCTGCTCTGTGAGTGGTTTCTATCCAGGCAGCATTGAAGTCAGGTGGTTCCAGAATGGCCAGGAAGAGAAGGCTGGGGTGGTGTCCACAGGCCTGATCCAGAATGGAGACTGGACCTTCCAGACCCTGGTGATGCTGGAAACAGTTCCTCAGAATGCAGAGGTTTACACCTGTCAACTGGAGCACCCAAGCATGATGAGCCTTCTCATGCAGTGGAATGGAGTGAGCAGCTTTCTGACTTCATACATTTCTCACCAACCATGAAGGGGTCTTTGGTAATCCCTGAGTGTCAGGTTTCTTCTCTCCCACATCATGTTTTCATTTGCTCCATGTTCTCATCTCCATTAGCACAGGTCACTGGGGGGTAGCCCTGTAATACTTTCTAGAAACACCTGTACCCCCTGGGGAAGCAGTCATGCCTGCCAAGCAGGAGAGGCTGTCCCTGTTTTGAACCTCCCCATGATGTCACAGATCAGGCTCACCTGCTCTCCCTGGGCTCCAGGCCCTGCCTCTGGGTGTGAGACTGTGTTTCTGGTGCTGTTGCTCTGAGTTGTTTTTTTGACCTGAGAAGAGAAGTAATGTAGGGGCCCTCCTGACATGAGGGGAATCCAGTCTCAGCTTTGCCTTTTATTAGCTCTGTCACTCTAGCCAAACTACTTAACCTCATTGAGTCTCAGACTTTCTGTTGATCAGATGTTGAAGTTGTGCCTTACATCAAGGCTGTAATATTTGAATGAGTTTGATGCCTGAACCTTGTAACTGTGCAGTGTGATTTGAAAATCATTTTTTTCTCCAGAAATGATCAGTTATTTTCATTCTTGCAGGGAAGCCTTCTCTCTTATTTTCAAAGCTCTGAATCTCAGGGTCTCAATTAAAGAGGTTCCATTTAGGATAAAAATCACTAATCCTTGCTTCCTCTCTCAGGAGCATGGTCTGAATCTGCACAGAGCAAGATGCTGAGTGGAGTCGGGGGCTTCGTGCTGGGCCTGCTCTTCCTTGGGGCCGGGCTGTTCATCTACTTCAGGAATCAGAAAGCTGAGGAGTCTTTTGTATCGGCTCTCTCCATAGACTTATCTGGAGGAGGAAATATGGCTTTGCTGAGGTTAGTTCTCAGTATATGAGTGGCCCTAGATAAAGCCTTTCTTTCCGCAAATGACCTCCAATGTCCTGATAATCCAGAAATCATCAGTGCATGGTTACTATGTCAAAGCATAATAGCTTATGGCCTGCAGTGATAAGAGAAAGGTTAATAAGAAAGAGTCCTTAGGCCAGGCATGGTGGCTCACGCCTGTAATCCTAACACTTTGGGAGGCCAAGGCGGGTGGATCATCAGGTCAGGAGATCGAGACCATCCTGGCTAACACAGTGAAACCCCGTCTCTACTAAAAATACAAAAATTAGCTGGGCATGGTGGTGGGCGCCTGCAGTCCCAGCTACTCGTGAGGCTGAGGCAGGAGAATGGCATGAACCCGGGAGGCGGAGCTTGCAGTGAGCCGAGATCACGCCACTGCACTCCAGCCTGGGCGACAGAGTGACATTCCATCTCAAAAAAAAAGAGTCCTTTCGTTTGACATCCTGGAGCAAATTAAGGAAGAGCCACTAAGACTAATGCAATTACACTGGATCGTGTGACAGACATATCACGCTTCATGGGTCACATGGTCTGTTTCTGCTCCTCTCTGCCCTGGTTGCTGTGGGTTGTGGTGTTAGACAAATCTCAGGTGGGAGATCTGGGGCTGGGACATTGTGTTGGAGGACAGATTTGCTTCCATATCTTTTAAGTGTATATCTTTTCCTCTTTCTCCTGGGACACTCTGGACTTCAACCAACAGGTAATACCTTTTAATTCTCTTTTAGAAACAGATTCAATTTCCCTAGAATGATAGTGGAGGTGATAAGGCATGAGACAGAAATAATAAAAAGACTTTGGATTCAAATTTCTGATCAGGCAATTTACACCAAAACTCCTTCTCTCCACATAGAAAAGGCCTGTGCTCTGCAGGAGTACTGGCTCATGGAGACTTAAGAACTTGTTTTTCTTCTTCCTGCAGTGCTCTCATCTGAGTCCTTGAAAGAGGGGAAAGGAAGCTGTTAGTAGAGCCAGATCTGAAAACAACACTCTCCTCTGTCTTTTGCAGGACTCCTGAGCTGAAGTGAAGATGACCACATTCAAGGAGGAACCTTCTTCCCCAGCTTTGCAGGATGAAAAGCTTTCCCACCTGGCTGTTATTCTTCCATAAGAGAGGGCTTTCTCAGGATCTGGTTGCTACTGGTTCAGCAACTCTGCAGAAAATGTCCTCCCTTGTGGCTTCCTCAGCCCCTGCCTTTGGCCTGAAGTCCTGGCATTGATGGCAGCACCTCATCTTCAACTTTTGTGCTCCCCTTTACCTAACCCTTCCTGCCTCCCGTGCATCTGTACTCCCCCCTTGTGCCACAAACACATTACATTATTAAATGTTTCTCACACACGGAGATAAAAATCATCTAGTCCAGCCAGGCACTGTGGCTCATGCCTGTAATCCCAGCATTTTGGGAGGCCGAGGCGGGCAGATCACGAGGTCAATAGATCAATACCATCCTGGCCAATATGGTGAAACCCCGTCTCTACTAAAAATATAAAAATTAGTTGGCCGTGGTGGCATGCACCTGTAGTCCAAGCTACTTGGAGGCTGAGGCAGGAGAATCACTTGAACCTGGGAGGTGGAGGTTACAGTGAGCCGAGATCGTGCCACTGCACTCCACTCTGGTGAGAGTGAGAGTCTGTCTCAAAAAAAAGCCAAAAAAACAAAACAAACAAACAAACAAAAAATCATCTGGACCATTTGGCTCCAAGGACAAAAAAAAAGAAAGAAAGAAAATTATTTCCCAAAAGAATGATGGTTTTCATGTAGCTGTCATGAGTATGTGAGGTAGTGTATATGTTAAATAGCTTGATTTAGACATTCCACATAGGCATGTATCAAAACTTCATGCTGCACAACATAAATATACAATTTTTACTTGTCAATTAAAAAAGTAAACCTAATGTTTAAAAAGCCAATGCATAAAACCTGAGAACAGACTATAACAACTAAAACAAACTTGGCCAACATGAGATGAGAAACCAGCTAGCAAGTTCATCAGACTCTTTCTTAACCCCATCTACAGTATTGTGTATCCATAACTGTAAATTAGTACATAATTTTTCATTCCAGAGATGTAAGTAATATAGTATTATCAAAGGACTTTTACACATTTCAGAGAAAGACAAATTTAGAAGATGGAGGGTTCTCCATTGTGTTCTATCTGAGTCAGTATCAAACATGTGAAATCTAAAAGTACATAATCAATTCAAAAGTTTATTTCAAAGTAATAATCATTTGAGCATAATTTCTCTACTGTCAGAAACAACTGTTATTTTGTTTTCAAATTCAATGCTTGTTTTATGCATTTTATTTTTAATTATATGTTACTTGTACATACATAGCAGTACAAGTACATATAAATCCTATAAGAATGTAAATCCTATAGGAATATATTAACCTGATAATTATGTCTGCTCTGTTTGATTCCAGCTTTGCAACATATAGGCTTTGTTCCCTAAGCTGAGGAAATGATTTGTCTTCAGACTTGTTGTGTGGAATTATAAGGTAGAACTAAAATGTGTGGGATGAATATTTCAATGAAGATGACTTCTGCTGCGAATAGCAGGAAATCCGACCTTTATTTTTCTTTAACCCATTATCCGCATAGCCTAACAGATCCAAGGCTGGGCATCTCCAGGTTTGCTCAACTCAGCAGGCCGGTGGCATCACCAGTGATCCTGGAACTTCATAGCTCATCTCTCCATCACAAGCAGCACATCAGCTGAGATGGTGGGAGGACCCTCGCAGCAGCTTTAGGTTTCTTATTCTTTCACAACAAGTCCCAAAGGCAGGAAAAGGATACTACTCTTTCCTGTGTGCCTTTATGAGGAGCAACTACACTTTCCAGGGTATTCCCAGTACCCACTTTCTCACACATTGGAATGACCGTGGGATCACACGGGCTCAGACAAGCCAGGATTCAACCTTTGTAAAGTGGGCCTAATGCACATGGGAAGAAAAAGAGCAAAATCATATATTTTTAAAAATAAAGAAATGGGCGGCGCCACACGGGGCAGCACGGGGTCGCCATGGAGGAGCTGCAGCCGCTGCTGGTGCAGGAGGCAGTGGACTCCATCCTGAACAATCTGGAGAGAGAGAACATCCGGAATATGCAGGGTCTCATGTTCCGTTGAAGTGCCAGCTGTCGTGAGGACAGGCAGGCTTCCATGCAGCAGGTGCACCAGTGTGTCAAACTCTGCCATGTTCCTCTGGCTTAATCCCAGGCTTTGGTCACCAGTGAGTTCCAGGACTGCCTGGCCCGGTGCACCATGCATTGCAACCACAAAGCCAAAGATTCAATAGATGCTGGGAGTAAGGAGCTTCAGGTGAAGCAGCAGCTGGTTGGCTGTGTGACCAAGTGTGTGGATGACCACATGCATGTCATCCCAACTATGACCAAGAAGACAAAGGAGCCTCTCTCATCCATTGGGAAATAAAAGTCTTTGCCAGTGGCCATCAGGACTGAGGGCAAGAATATATTTTTTATAGAGAATTGGGGATTTTAGACTTTTAAGCAAAGTTTATGAATGAAGAAATTAAGGATGGCCACACGTGTAAGGCATATGTCACTTGCCTCTGGACACTGGTTCTTTTAAAATGTTTCAGTTCTAAAAAATAAAATGAAAAGAAGTCGTGCTAAATTGGATCAGAAATATTACAGGAGAGTTTTAGAACTTATATTTCCTGTGGCCAGTGTTTATCCTGGCAGTAAGGATCTCTCCTGTAACAAGCCAGAGCTCTCCAAGGTACCAGACTCTTCTTACTACACAGGTAACAACGGGCTGGCAGGTTAGAGTTGGTGGAGTTTGAGGAGAGATATTTTCTCTTTGTTGCCAACATCCTATTTACCAGAAGTGTCACCTTACCATTTTCCATAAGCTGTGAAACAAAATTCATGAGGTCACTAACTTGGGGAAAAAAGTTTTCTGGGTCTTTGTTTTCCTCGTTTTGTGTAATTTGTTCAAGGGCATACAAGTTGATTTTAAGATGTGGAATTGGGAGGGAGACTAGTTTGGATAAGAACTTCGAAAGATTCCTTGTGGATCCCCATTTCTAGTCATCAAGATGTGGATGTACATTTCTTAAAATTATTACATGCTGCATCTTTGAGCCTGGAGAGCATGCAAAAACATGAGAGGATGACACATTAATTATGGGAAGCAGAATTACTGGCTGATGGGCCCCGAGGCTGTGTGTAGCAAAATGACAGGACAATCTTGCAGTAACACTTTCCTCTTGGAGAGAAGGGTTTGTTTTTTTTTATGTTTGTAAATTTTACTTAGGCCATCGTTTTTTATTTTCACCTTTGAATTTCAAAGTAAATTAGAGATATGTAAATAACAGAATTATCAACATTAAAATCTTATTCACAACAATGGCTAACAAGAACAGGACGACAGTCAAGTCAGTAGCTTTTTAATAAAATGAGCAGAATCCCATCGTAACAGTTCTTTGTTACATGAATTCAAATACACAGCAGACCAATCATGTTCCCTGAAATTTAACAATCATACTTAATAAAGGCCTGTTAGTGCTGTCCCTCAAGACTCTAATTCTAAAGGGCTTCCTTTGAATTCCCTTTATAAAGCTTTGTGCAAAGAAGAGCTTAAGCACCAGTAAGAAAGACTGTTGCTAGCATTTTTATTTCATCATCAACAACAAACATGCAGTTTCTTTCTCTGATGTGCATGGCACTGTAAAATGGGTGCTACACTCTCTCTTGTGGTACAAAGTTTATAAATACAATATACTGATACAAAGTTGAAGCCATTAAAAAGAGCTTAACAACAACTATGAGGAGATAATTAAATCTGGAGTGTTGATGGAATCTATGAAGAGATTTAGAAACAAGACATAAACACTACGGTAAAAGTTTTACTTGGGAAGGGGCCAGAGGGGAACTTTTTATGTGCTACTGAAAGATTTTTTAAGTTGCTCCAAATTTACTTTCTTTCTGCTATTATCTTTAAATACTGCAAAGCATTGTGAGCTGCATCACTTTGTGCATTGCCACAGGAGATACCGGAGCCATGACAGACTGTGATGGGGCTGGTGGACAGTTCAGCAAGACATTGATATTGTCCATTGGCGCTCAGTTCATCTATATCCAAATATGTTATATTAAAACCTTGTTCCTTGGCAATTTCACTAAGCAGCTGGATGTAATCTGTATTTGGAATACTAAGGAGGCTTCTTTTCAATAAGTTGTTCTTTTCACCAGGAGAATTCCTCAAGGAATGCCAAGTACATCCTAAAGAATGTCCTACTACATTTGTTAAAGAAATGTGGTTCTCTGGAGAAATATTACTAAATTTGGCAAGAAATTTCTCAGCAGCATTCCTTTTGGCTTGCTTTTTTGATGCCCCCTTTCCAGTTTCCATAAATGACTCTAGCCTGCAAATTGTAGTATATTCTCTCTTATGAGCAGGTCCTCCCTCCTGGGAAAGGGTATATTCAGGAAGTCTCCAGCCATGATGAATAGCCAATTCCTGTAATGAACCAATAAGATTAAGCTGGTTCTTTGGTTGCTTGGAAGGGTCAGGCATTAAGGGGTCAGGAACTGCAAAGCAAGTACTTGCATTGGCTTTCAAAATGTTTATGGCAGCCTCTGCAGCTCTATGTTTCGCCAGCTTCTTACTTGTACCTTCACCTGTGCAGGTTATGTCACCAACGGTTACTCTGAAGGTGAAAGTGGGCACGTGTATTTGCACATCAGATCTTTCACATTCATAAACTGGGATGTTCTTGGTCTTCATGCCGTATTCGTGTAATACCTGAATCGGTGTTTTCCCTGGCTTAGCTGTTATCATCTTCCCCAAACTGAAGGTCCCACTGTCCTCGCGCTCCAGCGGCGGGGCCTCGGCGGTGCCTGCTCTGGGACAGGGCGAGAAGGGACGGCTCAGCGGTTGGAGGAAGAGCGGTGCGGAGCGACGTGCTCGCTCCCCGGGTCGCTGGTCCCCGGGAGGAGCTCCAGCGCCGCCACCTCCTCCGACTCCCCCGCCTCCTGCTTGCGTTCCTCCAGCGAGGGCGCAGGCCGAGAAGGGGGTTTTAATTGTGATATATACTAGTATCTAGGAATGAACAGTAAAAGAGGAGCAGTTGGCTACTTGATTATAACAGAGTTATGAAGTACTAGCTTTGGAAAAATCTGGTTTTTATAGAACAGATGGAATAAAAGCCTAAATCTAGCATTGCCTACTTAGCCTTCTGAATTAACAGAGCTCAATTGAGACAAACCCCTGGCAAAAGGAAATTCAAGGGAGAAAAAGTAAGTAATTTGGGCTAGTATGAGCTGACTCCCTTAGAGCAAAGGAGAGGAGCCCTGATTACCAAATACCATTTTGCCTGGGGCTTTCACAACTTGCACTGTTCCTGCCCTGGCATGGCAACTTATTGTTTTGATAGCAACCTCATTGTATTTTCACCAACTTATTACTTGAAATGATAACATAGCCTTTCAATTTACTGGTCCAGGCTGTGATATATTTTCCTAGTGGTTTGGTTTTAAAAATAAATGAGGTTTAATTTTCTCCCCCTGAAAAAAAAAAATTAAAGAAATGGTGGATGGAGTAGGAGAAATTGATTTCAGGGTAGGGAAATGATAGATTGTGGTACTCTTAGGTTGTTAGTATTTGTAGTTAAATTCCACATGAAGGCCTAAAGATTCCTGATAGGCATCCTCAATTCAGGGTTTGGGGTCTACATATATATATATATATATACATACATATATATATATATACACACACACACATATATATATAGAGAGAGAGAGAGAATTAAATGTCAGCCATTTACTCAATTACCATAAAACAAAAAAAAGCAAGCAAAAAAGGATTGTTTTTAGAACTCAAGTATGCTGACGTGTTATTTTATGAGGTAAATACATTTTCCAGGGAAATTTTTGAAAAAAAGTAGAATAAGGAATGACTAACTCTATAAGGTACTAAAACATACTATGTATTTATTTTTAAAAATGCATTGTGGCCGGGTGCGGTGGCTCATGAGTGTGGTCCCAGCACTTTGGGAGGCCGAGGTGGGCGGATCACGAGGTCAGGAGATTGAGACCATCCTGGCTAACACGGTGAAACCCCATCTGTACTAAAAATACAGAAGAGAATTAGCCGGGCGTGGTGGCGGGTGCCTGTAGTCCCAGCTACTCAGGAGGCTGAGGCAGGAGAATGGCGTGAACCCAGGAGGCAGAGCTTGCAGTGAGCTGAGACAGTGCCACTGCACTCCAGCCTGGGCGACAGAGTGAGATTCCATCTCAAAAGAAAAAAAAATGCATTTTTACTGATTCTCTTTTTTATTATATGCTAGTAAAACAGAGTCTAGAATTAGAAACAGAAGGAGTTGAGATTCAGTTTCAGTTTTGGGTAAGTTGTATTCCAAACTCATTTCGTTCACTAAATGGATCCCAGATGAATAAAAATGGAAACATAAAGAGAAAATATAAAATTAATAAGACAGTTGTAATTTCTAATGCTATCATCATCATTATAATTATGTTTGAAGACGAATAGACTTTCTAAACCCTTATGTGTTGCTGGTGGGAGTGTATGATTTTACAAATACCTGGAAATTTGTCAATTTCTTTAAAAGTTTAACATATGTTTGCCATATGACCCCCCAATTTCAGTCCTTGGAATCTACATAAGAGACATAAAAACGTATGTCCTCACAAAGATATGTGCTCAAGTGTTCAGAAAAGCCTTAGCTGTAGTTGGCCCAAACTGAAAACAATCCAAATATCCTTCAACTAGTAAATGGACAAACAAAATGGATCAACTACACCCATGCAAGGCAATATCATTCAACAATAAAAGGGAACAAAACTAGACTTGTCTGGCAGAGGAGATACCATGAACATGAGGGTAGTTTTCCCAAGGCAAGTTTCAACCCTTGCACTCTAGATGATGAGAGATTACTTAATGGGTACAATGCATGTGATTTGGGTGATGGATACTGTAGAAACACTGATGTCACCATTATGCAATCTATGCGGTCTATGCAGGTAACAAAACTACACTTGTACCTTATAAATTTACACAAATGAAAAAAGAGAAAATAAAAAGAAATGAAGAGAAAAGAAACAAAATGATGATATATACTACAAAACTGATGAACTTCAATAGTGTTAACTAAGTGAAGGAAACTGGACACAAAAGTTCACATGTGGGATGATTTCATTTACTTGAAATATCTAGAAGAGGTAAATTTATAGACACAAAAAGCAGATCATTGGGTGCCTAGGGCTTGAGGTATCAATGGGAATTAACTATAAATAGAAAAATTTTGGACATGACAGAAATAAAACTGGATTGTTGTGATAATTGTAAAAATCTATTAATTTACTAAAATCACTAAATTTTACAAATACGAGTGAATTTTGTAGTATGTAAATTCTGCTTTAGTAAACCTGGTAAAATAATTCTTTTTTTTTTTTTTTTTTGTGAGACAGAGTCTTGCTCTGTCGTCCAGGGTAAAGTACAGTGGTCAATTTCAGCTAACTGCAACCTCTATCTCTTGAGTCCAAGCTATTCTCCTGCCTCAGCCTCCCAAGTAGCTGGGACTACAGGCATGCACCACCACGCCTGGCTAATTTTTTGTATTTTTAGTAGAGACAGGGTTTCACCATGTTGGCCAGGCTGGTCTCAACTCTTGACCTCAGGTGATCTGCCCACCTCAGCCTCCCAAAGTGCTGGGATTACAGGTGTGAGCCACCATGCCCGGCCAAAATAATTCTTTTTTAAAAAATAAGAGTTGGTAAGCAAGACAAAATCCAGAAGACACAAATGAAAACAATATTGCAAGAAAATTACTGATTTCTGGCCGGCTGCGGTGGCTCACGCCTGTAATCCCTGCACTTTGGGAGACCGAGGTGGGCGGATCACGACGTCAGGAGATCGAGACCATCCTGACTAACAAGGTGAAACCCCATCCCTACTAAAAACACAAAAAGTTAGCCAGGCGTGGTGGCAGGCGCCTGTAGTCCCAGCTATTCGGGAGGCTGAGGCAGGAGAATGGCGTGAATCCGGGAGGCGGAGTTTGCAGTGAGCTGAGATCGTACCACTGCACTCCAGCCTGGGCGACAGAGAGAGACTCCGCCTCAAAAAAAAAGAAAGAAAGAAAGACAGAAAAGAAAATTACTGATTTCTTTGCATGAAGAAAATCACAAAATTAAAAGAAGTATATGAAGCTCAGGAAAAATTTTGATCATATAAGGCAGACAATGGGATAACTTTCTTATAAAAAAAATTGTTGGCCAGGCGCGGAGGCTCACGCCTGTAATCCCAGCACTTTAGGAGGCCGAGGTGGGCTGATCACGAAGTCAGGAGATCGAGACCATCCTGGCTAACACGGTGAAATCCCCGTCTCTACTAAAAATACAAAAAAAATTAGCCGGGCATGGTGGCGGGCGCCTATAGTCCCAGCTATTCGAGAGGCTGAAGCAGGAGAATGGCGTGAACCCGGGAGGCGGAGTTTGCAGTGAGCCCAGATCGCGCCACTGAACCTCCAGCCTGGGCGACAGAGCGAGACTCCGTCAAAAAAAAAAAAAAATTGTTAACTAATCAATCAATAAATTAATGGAAATGCCACAGAAAATTGGGCAAAGGATAAAGACCGACTATAGAAGAGAATCTTCCAGTAGTCAATAAATATAAATATTTGCTGAAACTCACCAATGAACGGAAAAATTCAAATTCAAACAGCAATGTAATAAACTATTTCTCCCCCAGCAAAATTGGCAAGTAAAATAGTTTGTTTTAAAATCAAGGATTTAGAAGATTCTATGGGAATAGATTCTCTCATATTATTAGGATTGCGAGTGGATGGCAGTGCGGGAATATCTATTAAAACTCAAAATGCAATTGTTACATGCTAGATGAAAACAACAAAAAAACCATTCTAAACATCTGTCTTAAACAATCTTACATGAGCCCAGGGAGACATAAAATTTGTCGTTTTTTGAGCCACAGTACGGAATAACAAAAACATTTCCAAATTCTAAAAGAAAAACTGAAAATTTGTCTTGATTAGAAAACTTTTGTACATCATAAAAACTATGCAGTATGTGAAGTGACAGCACATTGCAGGATGACATTCGGTGCTGTGTGGAGCACTGTGAGCATATATAGGTGTAACCCCGTGAGTAGTTTGGATAATACAGTATTTCCACTCCAGACTTTTACAGTCTCGATACATTTTACTTTGTATGTCCATGATTACATATAAAAAATGTAACAGGAGGGAAAAGAAACATTTTTAATATTTAGATAGAAGAAAGGTAAATTGTGGTATAGCCATAAAAAAGAATAATATACAGGGCTTTAAGTAAGTTATGTGGGATTATCAACATGGATTGGGAAAAAACCATTAACCATAATGCCAGTTAGGAGGTAGAAAATTACAAGAATTGTCACTAGTAATATAAGAACAAAAAATATAGACTAAACTAAATGGATAAACTGGAAAATAATCTTATTTTTAATATTTTAATGAACCATAGATCCAAAAGTATAAAAATTCCAAATTCCAGAGATGAACAAATTCCACTTAGGTGAGCAAGGACAAATGTCCACTTTTATTCCTTGGTCCACCTACTGAATCTTAACATGGGTGGAAGATAAAGCCTGGCTGAGAAAGGGAGATTGTGAGGGAGTAAGGACAAACCAGCTGAGTTGTAAATAGCCCTGTGGGCCTGTGTGATGCATTACAATCTATGGAGACCCCCTGAGTAATATCTATCTATTTTACCCTGCCAGCTGATTCTCCTTCTAGAACTTTTTCTGACTTCATCCTGGTGGTGTGGGAACTAGGGAGGTAGATAGAAGACAGCAAACATCTCTGTAGATTCATGTAAACAAAGATCAGGAAGTAAATCAATATAGGAACAGTACTTTCAACCATCTTGACTTAGTTGGCATTTACAATTGACATATATATTGACAATATCTGATAACTACAGAATATTTATTTTTTACATTGCACAAATAATATTCATAAAATAGAGCAAATACTATGACTATAAAACTAGTCTCAATTACTTTTACAAGAATAAAATCATACAGAGTGTATTCTATGAACACAGTCTTATCAAATTACAAATTAGTAAGATGCAGAACATTGCCCAAATTTTTGGAAGTAAAATAATATATTTCTAAATAAACTATGACTTGTCAAAGAGAAAATCAGAAGGAAAATTAGAAAGTAATTTTAAAGAAAATAATACTAAAATGAATTTTAAAAATTTTTCAGATGCAACCAAGGCAGTCCTTAGAGAAAAATATTTAGTTTTCAATGTTGTATCATAAAAGGATAAATATGTAAAAATCAAAGACCTAACTTAAGAATCAACAAAAGCAAATTTAACTTTAAAAAAGTAGAAAAAAAAAGGTGAGAAAATTGATAAAATTACTCTTGATTTTGTTTTCTATTTGTTTACGGTAGAACATAATTGTGTTCATTCTGACATTGCTAAAAAGAAATACCTGAGGCTGGGTAATTCATAAAGAAAGAGGTTTAACTGGCTCAGGGTTCTGCAGGCTGTACAGGAGGTGTGGTGCTGGCAATTGCTTCTGGTGAGGGCCTCAGGAAGCTAACAATCAGGGGGAAGGAAAGGGGAGCCCGGGTATCACATGGTGAGAGCAGGAGTACAGAAAAAGTGGGGAAGAGTCACACTCCTTTAAACAACTAGATCTCATGTGAACTGAATCAAAACTTACTCATTTCAGCTAGGATGGCACTAAGCCAATGATGAAGGATCCGCCCCCCGACCAAACTACCTCTCAACAGGCCTCACCTCCAATATTGGAGGTTACATTTCAACATGGGATTTGGAGGGGACAAACATCCGAACTATATCAATAATTGCTTTAATGTATACTGACTTTGTATCCAGCAACATTATATAAACTTACTTCTTAAATCTATGAGTTTGTCTATTATTTTTATTTTCTAAGTACCTGATTATGTCAAGAGTAAATAATGACCATTTTACCTGGATGCAATTATTATCTCTTTTATATATTTTTCTTGCTATTTTCATTGCCTAACTCCTTTACTTCTCCACTAATTGATTCTCAAATGCTCAAACCACCTGCATTTCTGGAATAAACTCCACTTGGTCATGATGTAGCAGCCATCTTTTATATCACTGAATTCAGTTGGGTAACATTTTCTTAAGAACTTGGCTCATAAGAGTTACTGGTCTATAAATTCCTATTTGTTGTACAGTTCTTTTCATGTCTTGAAGTAAAGTTTACGCAGATCTCATCAAATGTAACTGCAAGTGTTTTTCCTCTTTGCAAATATGTTTGAAGTTTGCATAAAGTTAGTGTTGTTTATTCCTTAAATATTTTAAAATAGTTACTGAAGCTAAATGAACCTGAGGTTTTGTCTTAGGAAAGCTTTATGGAATGGGCTTACTTTCTCTATGTGATGTGGAACTCTTCTTATTTTATGTTGTCAGCTTGAGTACATTGTACATTTTGAGTAACTTATTCATTACATGCAAATTTCTTTTTGTAAAGTTGTTCATAATATTTAGTATTATTTCATGCTGATAAATCTGTAACATTATAACAAAAAATATGAAATTTGTGTCACTGGAGTCTTAAAGAAAGATGACAGATGGGTGATGCCCAAAGACTGTTTGAAGGAAGATTGACTATTTTCCAAATTCGGACAAAGACTTAAATGTAAAAATTCAAGAATCTGTTCAAACCCAAACGAAGATAAATCCAAAGAAATTTTTTTTTTTTTTGAGACGAGTCTCGCACTGTCGCCCAGGCTGGAGTGCAGTGGCGTGATCTCCACTCACTGCAAGCTCCACCTCCTGGGTTCATGCCATTCTCCTGCCTCAGCCTCCCAGGTAGCTGGGACTACAGGCGCCCACCACCATGCCTGTATTTTTTAGTACAGACGGGGTTTCACCATGTTGGCCAGGATGGTCTCGATCTTCTGGCCTCCTGATCCGCCCGCCTTGGCCTCCCAAAGTGCTGAGATTACAGGCGTGAGCCAGTGCACCTGGCCAAATCCAAACAAATTTACGCCAAAAAATCTAGAAAGCAGCAAGAGAGAAATGACATCTCATGCATAGGAAAAAATAAATTAAATGACAGTAGATTGCTCATTAGAAATCATGCAGACCAGACAGAAGTGGCAGAAGATAATTTAATGGCTGAAAGTAATGTTAACCTAGAATGTATATCCATTTAAAATATTGTTATAAAATCAAGGTTCTATCATGACACTCTTTTTTTTCTTTTTCTTTTTCTTTTTTAGATGGAGTGTTGTGTCATTCAGGCTGGAGGGCAGTGGTGCAACCACAGCTCACTGCAGCCTCTGCCTCCCAGGCTCCTGGGATCCTCACACCTCAGCCTCTTCAGTAGCTGGGATTACAGACACACACCACCACGCCTGGCTAATTTTTTGTATTTTTGGCAGAGACAGAGTTTTGCCGTGTTGCCCCGGCTGGTCTCGAACTCCTGAGCTCAGGGGATCACCTGTCTTGGCCTCCCAAGGTGCTGGGATTACAAACGTGAGCCGCCTTGCCCGGCCATGACATTCTTAGAGGCAGGAAAATCAAGAAATTTGATGCTAGCTGACTTATCCTAAATCATAGGCTAAAGGAAGTGCTTGAACTGGAATAGAAATGATAATGGAGGAAAACTTGGACATCAGGAAAAAACAATAGAATGAGTAAAAATATGGGTAGATACAACAGACTTCTCTTCTTCAGTTTTTTTTATACTCAGATTTATGTTTATTATAGAGAAATTGTGCATTAAAAGCACTCAAGGAAAAAAAAACCTATAGGGAAGAGTCTGGGAGGGTTCTAAATAGGAATTTTCCACATCCTCAGAAATGTTACCCTTCTGGCATTACATATGACAATGCACTAGAGGTATTGCCTACCTGCAACTCTCACCAAACCTTTAGTGTCTATAGTTTTATTGAGGCTTCCCTATACAAACATGATTGATTGATTCATTGTCAGTGTGATTGAATGAAATCTTCAGGTCCCTCTCTCCAGAGGTGAGGCAATATCATGTGACCCAAAGCTTCAACTTCCTAATCACATGGTTGGTCTTTCTACTGTGGCCATATCCCACCCCAAGACTACTGGATGTGCCTGCCTGGTCCCACCAGACCATCAGGTTAGCACAAACTATCAGGTGTGGTCCCAGGGGTCTACTATAAACAACAAAGATACTCCTGTCACTCAGGAAATTCAGTTTTCTAAATTAATTTGATGGTTGAGGCAAAAATTACAACATTGTCAGATGTGGTTTTTGATGTAAGTAGAGAAAATAAAAAATACATATTATAGATGCAGAAGTGGAAAGGGATATAAAGGACATAAAGTTTCTACACTTTAGTCAAATTGGTAAAATGTCAGCACCAGTAGACTATGATAAGTTATGTTAATATAAACCACAAAAACTATACAGTGAGATACACCAAAAAACGGTTGATTAAAAAAAGGAATTCTAAAAATTGCTTAAGGAACACATTGAAAAACAGGAAAAGAAAACAGAGAAGCAAAAAACAAAGAAAACAAAAAGCAGATGGCAGTCGTAAGAGCTCACATATTAATAATTGCATTACATGTAAATTGTCTAAACAGACAAATGTCAGAGTGAAAAATAATGACCCATCGATATGCTACCTGTAAGAAACTTACTGCAAATAGTACAAGAGTGGAAGGCTGAAATAGAAAAATGGAAAAAAATAAACCATACAAACACTTGTCAAAGAAAGCAGAAATGGCTATAATATCAGATAACATAAAATGCACAGAGCAGAGAATATTCTGAGAGACAAATGGAAAGACTACATAATCATAAAAGTGTTATTTCAGAAAGAAGACATTTCAGCTCCGAATGTGTGTGCACCAAAAAACTGGTTACAAGTAAGTAAAGCAAAAATGGTCAGAACTGGAAGGAGAAATAGACAAATACACAGTTAAACTTTAAGACTTCATAAATCATCTCTGAAAAATTAATAAAATAACTGTACAAAAACTCAGCAAGATAATGAAACCCAACAAAACTATCCAACAGTAAGATCTAATGGACATTTGCAGACCACCACACCAAACAGCAGAATACACATTTTTTAACTCTCCATGGAATATTTACCAACATAGATCATACCCTAGACTCTAGACCATAATAGCCATAATAGGAACCTCAACAAATGTGAAAGAATTGAAATCATACAGACTGTGTTCTCTGGAAACAATGGAGTTGAACCAGAAATCAATAACATGAAGAAAATTGGTACAACTCCAAACACATGGAAATGTAATAACATACTTTTAAATTACCCGTACATCAAAAAAGAGGTCTTCAGGAAAATAAAAAAATGCATTCATCTAAGTAAAAATGAAAATACAGTGTATCAAAATGTTTGGCACATAGCTAAGCAGTGCTTTGAAAAACTATTTATAGTACAAAATGTATACACTGAAAAAAAGAAAAGGTCAGAAACCAATAATCTCAGTTCCCAACTTAAGAATTTACAAAAGTAGTCCAAAATAACCTAAAGCAAGAAGCAGTTAAAAAAAAAAAGAGAGAGAGAGAGAGAATATACGGGCAGAACTCAGTGGCTCACACCTGTAATCCCAACACTTTGAGAGGCTGAGGTGGACAGATCACCTGAGGTCGGGAGTTTGAGACCAGCCAGACCAACATGGAGAAACCCCGTCTCTACTCAAAATACAAAATTAGCCAGGCCTGGTGGCACATTCCTGTAATCTTAGCTACTCAGGAGGCTGAGGCAGGAAAATTGCTTGAATCTAGGAGGTGGAGGTTGCAGTGAGCCAAGATCGTGCCATTGCACTTCAGCCTCGGCAACAAGAGCAAAACTCCATCTCAAAACAAAAATAAAAACAAAAACAACACAAAAAAAAAAAAAAAAACAGGAAACCAGTGAAAGAAAAAGTTTGTTCTTTGAAAAGATAAATAGAACTGACAAATTTCTGGGACAAACTAAAAGGAAAAAAGGAGAAAAAAACACCAATATTGGGATTGAAACATGTTATACCACTACAGATCCTTCGACATCAATAGTACACTAAAGGAATACACCAAAAACAATCAGGTGAAATGGGAAAAAATCCTTGAAAACTACACACTATTACAACTAATTCAATAAGAAATAGATAAATTGAAAAGCTCTATAATTATAAAAGGAATTGAACTTATAATATAAAGACTGCTGAAGGAGAAATCTCTAGGCCAGAATAGTTTCACAGGAAAAATCTACCAAACATTTCAGTAGAATTACCACAAGTCTGCAAAATTTCCTCCAGAAAACAGAAGAGAAGGGAACACATCCCAACTTAACGTTATGAGACCAGCATTTCCTAAAATCAAAAGCACACAAAAATAGTACAACAAAAGAGAAGTAAAAAGCAATATACCTGCATGACTATAGATGCCAAATTCCTTAACTGAATGTTAGCAAATAAAAATCAGCCAAACTGAAAAAATATGTAAACTATGCCAAGTAGCGTTTATTCTAGGGATGCAAGTGTGGTTTAATGTTTGAAATCAATCCATGTCATCCTTATATTAACAAGTTGAAGAAGAAACATCGCATGATTCTATCAACTGATGTAGGAAAGGCCTTTGACATAATTCAACATTCATTTATGATAAAAAAAAAAAACAACCCTCAAAGTAGTAGGAATAGAGGAGGACCTCCTCAACTTGATAAATAACTTCTACAAAAATGTTGCCACTAGCCAGGTGCGGTGGCTCACGCCTGTAATACCAGCACTTTGGGAGGCCGAGGCGGGCGGATCACAAGGTCAGGAGATCAAGACGATCCTGGCTAACACAGTGAAACCCCGTCTCTACTAAAAATACAAAAAATTAGCCAGGCGTGGTGGTGTGCACCTGTAGTCCCAGCTAATCGGGAGGCTGAGGGAGAAGAATGGTGTGAACCCGGGAGGCGGAGCTTGCAGTGAGCAGAGATCGCGCCACTGCACTCCAGCCTGGGTGACAGAGCAAGACTCTGCCTCAAAAAAAAAAAATGTTGCAGCTAAATTATACTTAATAATAGAAGACTGAACGCTTTTCCTCTTTTGCTTCAGCTAATGAGGAAATTCACAAAGGTCACTGAATTCAAAATCAACCAAAAAATCAATTTTATTTGAATATATAGTATTGAAGAAATCAAAACAAATGTTAAAAATACAACATGAATTATCTTCACTCAAAAAACCTCATAAGTATAGCAACAGAACATGTACACAATACATATACTGAAATACTGATAAAGAAATACAAAATCTAAAGAAATGGAGAGATTTACTGTGTTCATAACTAGAAAACTAAATATAGTAAAGATGTCATTCCTCCCCAATTTGATATCCAGCTTTAACACAATTTCTCTCTAATTCCAGCAAGATTTGTAATAGTTGTAGACAAAGTTATTCTAAAACGTATAGGAGAAGCAGGGGAACTAGTATAGGTAAAACAAATTTCATAGGAAAAAAGAGATGGAGAAATAACTGTAACCAAATTTCAGAAGTTTTATAGCTATAGTAATCAATACTGATTGACATTAGTGCAGGGATAGACATAGATTAGTGGAGCAGTATAAAGAATCCAGAAATACACCTATGCCAACTCATTTTGACAGAGATACAAAATAATTCAATGGAGGTAATATAGTCTACAGTCTTTTCAAACAATGATCCAGGAGAAAGTGGAAATCCATAGACAAAAACAAAACCAAGCAAAAACAAATAGAAGCAGGCCAGGCGCGGTGGCTCACGCCTGTAATCCCAGCACTTTGGGAGGCTGAGGCGGGTGGATCACGACGAGGTCAGGAGTTCGAGATCAGTCTGACCAACATGGTGAAACCCCCATCTCTACTAAAAATACAAAAAAATTAGCCAGGCGTGGTGGCACGCCTATAATCCCAGCTACTCAGGAGGCTGAGGCAGGAGAATCGCTTGACCCCAGGAGGTGGAGGTTGCAGTGAGCCACGATCATGCCACTGCATTCCAGTCTGGGCGACAGAGCAAGACTGTCTCAAAAAAAAAAAAAAAAAAGGAAGCAAAGGGAAAAAGAAGCAAAAAAGAAACAACAAATTCTCACACCTTATGAAAACATTTACCCCAATTAAATCATGTCTACATGTAAAACATTTAGAAGAAAACATATGAGAAAATCCTCAGGAGCTAGGGCCCAGTGTCTGAGTTTTGAGTTCTTAGACATGACACCAAAAGCACTATGTGTAAAAAACAAAAAACAAACAAAATCAATAAATAGGGCTTTATCAAAATTTAAAACTTTTGTTCTGTAAGGTATCCTGCTAAGAAATGAAAAGTAAACTAGAGATATGGAGAAAATATTTAAAACCACATATATTACCAAGAATAAATTATCTAGAATCTATAATCAACTATAAAAGCTCTACTATAAAATCTATAGTAGACTGCAGACTATAAAATTTAATTACATAATGGGCAAAATATATGAAAAGACATTTTATCAAAGAGGATATATATACATGGCAAATAAGCACAATGAATGACATGCAAATCACTAGCCATCAGGGAAATGCAAAAGAACATGATGTAATAGCACTACACACCTCTTACTACAGCTAAAATTAAAAAAAAAATTGACAATGGTAAATGCTGGTGAGAATGCAGAAAAACTGGATTTCTCATACACTGATGGTGAGAATGTAAAATGGCACACTGCCTCTAAAAACTCGTGTCTTGAAGAACTAGACAAATATTTGCCACATGAGCCAAGAGTTACACTCTGCAATATTTATATCAGAGAAATAAAAACACATGTTCACACAAAAATCTCACACAAATGCACACAACAGCTTTATTTGTAATAGCCCTAAAATACAAACAGCCAAAATGTCCCTCAACAGGCAAATAAACTGCAGTACCTCCATCTAATGGAGTATTTCCTTAGCAATAAAACAGAGCAAATTGGGCCAGGCACAGTGGTGCACGCCTGTAATCCCAGCACTTTGGGAGGCTGAGGCGGGTGGATCATGAGATCAGGAGATCCAGACCATCCTGGCTAACACGGTGAAACCCTGTCTCTACTAAAAATACAAAAAATTAGCCAAGTGTGGTGGCAGGCGCCTGTAGTCCCAGCTACTCAGGAGGCTGAGGCAGGAGAATGGCGTGAACCCGGCAGGTGGAGCTTGCAGGGAGCCGAGATCGCACCACTGCGCTCCAGCCTGGGCGACAGAGCAAGACTCCATCTCAAAAATAAATAAATAAATAAATAAAATAAAAAAATTAAAAGGAACAAATTGTTAATACATGCAACAACTTGGATGGATCTCAAGGACATTATACTGAGGGGATAATGCCAGTCACAAAAGTCACATACTGTGTGATTCTGTTTATGTAACATTTTCAAAATGACACTATTATAGAGATTGGTGGAGAAGAGATTAGTGGTTGTTAGTTGTCAGGGTGATGGTGTGTAGGGAGTAGGGTGTGACTCTGAAGGGCAGCATGAGGGGAGATCTCTGTGGGATGGAATAGCCCTAGATTGCGTGGTGGTTACATAAATCTGCAAATATGATAAGACACAGGCATAGAACTATGGACACACATTCTACCAAAGTCAGTTTCCTGGTTTTGCTACTGTGCTAGAGCTACTTAAGATATAAACATTTGGAATAACTGGGTGAAAGGGTATGCATATTTTCTCTGTTGTGTCTTTGCAATTTCCTGTGAATCTGTAATAATTTCCAAGTAAAAAGTTTTAAAAAACATTTTTTTTTCTGGCTGAAATCCAAAACTCTTACAAAACCAAATGCTGGCAAAGATGTAGAACAACGAGAACTCAGATTCATTGATGGTGGGAATGCAAAACAGTACAGCCACTTTGGAAGACACTCTGGCTGTTTCTTACAAAGCTAAACATACTGTTACCATATAATCCAGCAATGGCACCTCTGACTATTTACCCAAATGACTGGAAAACTTATGTCCACACAAATTCTTGTGTATGGATGTTTACAACAGTTTTATTCATAATTGCCAAAAATTGGAAGCCCACAAGGTGTCCTCAATAGTTGAATGTATACAGAAATTGTGATATATCCATACCGTGGCATACTATTAAACAGTAAAGAGAAATAAGCTATCAAGTTATGAAAACACATGGAGGAAACCTATAGGGATATTGCTAAGTGGAAGGAGCCAGCCTGAAAAAGCTCTATACTGTATAATTACAACTATATGACACTGTGGAAAAGGCAAAAATACAGAGAGTAAAGAGACCATGGGTTCAGGAGGAGGAGGGATGGGTGAGTAGGTTGAGCCTCAGGCATAGTTAGGGAAACTACTTTGTATGATGTTTTCGTTACTGAAACACCATGGATTTGTCTAGCTCCTGCCAGGGCCACACACAGAGCCAATGACTGAGATGACAAGTATTGCCAAGGAAAAAGGCTTTAATCTGTAATCAGGCACTGCAGCTGAGTACATAGGAGACCAGTCTCAAATCCATCTCCCTGACTGACTAAAATTAGGGGTTTATGTAGCAAAGAAGGAATGTTACTGTGTATGGGAAAACAATAACTCTGGACAATAAGAAAACAATCATAATGAATGATGGAGAATGGCATCTCATGGTCTGGATGTGATGAGATGTGATGATCTGGTGAGTTCCAGTTATTTGATAATTTTTGAGAGACCTGAGCATCCTTTCTTGAGCAAGGACGTCAGATAAAAGTAATGTAAATTTTGGCCGGGTGCGGTGGCTCATGCCTGTAATCCCAGCACTTTGGGAGGCCGAGGTGGGTGGATCACAGGGCAGGAGTTCGAGGCTAGCCTGGCCAAGATGGTGAAACCCCGTCTCTACTAAAAATAATTTTTAAAAAATTAGCTGGGAGTGGTGGCAGGTGCCTGTAATACCAGCTACTTGGGAGGCTGAGGCAGGAGAATCACTTGAACCCAGAAGGTGGAGGTTGCAGTGAGCTGAGATCCCACCACTGAATTCCAGCCTGGGTGACAGAGTGAGACTCCATCTCAAAAAAAAAAAACTAATGTAAATTTCAAGTTTTAAGAGAAGAAGGGTCAATTTCTACGTTTATCCAAATAACTATCCATGGGACTATTGGGTTGGTTTCACTTTAATCAGAACCCACACAACTGTGTAAAAGTGAACCCTAATATAACTATGAAACTCAGTTAACAATAAGTATCAGCATTGGTTCATTAATTGTAACAAGGGTGCCACACTAATGCAGGATGTTAATAATAGGAGAAAGTGAACAGAGGGCTGTTTCAGGGAAGGATGTATGTGGGAACTTACTAAACTTTCATTAAAATATTTTTGTACACTTAAAACTACTTTAAAAATGGTCTTGCTACATGAGAGGATATGGATTTACTTTTGCTTTTCATTCCATACTTGTCTGAGTTTGAGTGTATTCTCTATTGTTCGTCTATTTATTTTATATTAAAATGGTAGATATGTTAAACGCTTACTCTATTTGCAACACTCCCAAGAGTTGGCTTTCTTTAAACCATAGAAAAAGAAACTAGTTATTTATTAGTTATGCCCCCTTGGTTTGTGCTTATTTTATTTTGCTTTTCTTAGATTTTTATCACTAGCCTGTAGAAATTTTGAGGAAAACAATTCCACAACCAATCAGAGGCCAAAATAAAATTACGAAGTTACACTCCTATGCAAGTATCTGATTGGTTGCAAAAGACAACCAATCAGAGGTACTTTCAATTTCCGATCTGCAGCTCAGAAAAGGTGGGGATTGGCAAAGGGAGTAGTCTCTGGTCTTTTTGTTACTCAGGCATTGAAAGTTATGGATTTCCTTTCAACTTAGTTATCTTCGGAAGTCAGTGGGAAACAGCCTTAGGTTCCCTGCCTCCAGACACTATTCGCCTGCCTCATCTGGAAGACACTCTGGCTGTTTCTTACAAAGCTAAACATACTCTACCATAAGATTCAGCAATTGCAATCCTAAGTATTTACCCAAATAAGTGGAAAACTTCTGTCCACACAAACAAGTGTACACGAATGTTTTAGCAGCTTTATTTATAATTACCAAAAATTCAAAGCAACCAAGATATCCTCCAGTAAGTGAGTGGATAAACAAATTCTGGTATATCCATACCATGGGTTATTATTCAACATTAAAGAGAAACAAGCCATCAAGCTATGAACAGACATAGAGAAAACCTATATGCATACTGTTTCTTCTTCTTCTTCTTTTTTTTTTTTTTTTTTTTTTTGAGACGGAGTCTAGCTCTCTGGCCCAGGCTGGAGTGCAGTGGCGTGATCTCGGCTCACTGCAACTTCAGCCTCACAGGTTCCAGCAATTCTCCTGCCTCAGCCTCCCAAGTAGCTGGGATTATAGGCACGCACCACCACACCCGGCTAATTTTTGCATTTTTTAGTAGAGATGGGGTTTCACCATATTGGCCAGGCTGGTCTCGGACTCCTGACTGCATGATCCGCCCACCTCAAGCTCCCAAAGTGCTGGGATTACAGGTGTGAGCCACCGCGCCCGGCCCCTATATGCATACTGTTAAGTGAAAGAAACCTGTCTAAAAAAAACTATATCCCTTATGATTACGACTATATCATTCTGGAAAAGGCAAAAATACAGAGACAGTAACTAGTGGTTTCCAGGGGTTCAGGAGGAAGAGGAATGGATGAGTAGGTGGAGCCTGGGAGAAATTTACTTCAATGATACTACTGCATAACATACTTTTGTTACTGAAACACCAGGTTCAGTCTAGGTGTTGCACACAAGGGCTTCAGTCTGGGTCTTGCTGCTTGCCACAGAGAAAGCCAATCACTGAGATGACAATGAGTATTGCCAAAGAAGAAGGCTTTAATCTTTCATCAGGTACTGCAGCTGAGGAAATGGGAGACCAGAGTCAAATCCATCTCTGTGAGTGACTAGGGCTTTATCTAGCAGGGAAGAAATGTAACTATGTATGGGAAAACAGGAACTAGGGAGGCCGTAAGGGAACAATCATGATGAATGAGGAACTGGGAGTCATTGTCTGGATGAGATGATCTGGTGAGTTCCAGTTCTTTGATACTTTTTGAGAGGCCTGGGGGATCTGTTTTTGGAAAGGAACTCCTATAAAACAAATATGAGTTCCAAGCTTAAAGACCCGAAGTATCCATTTCTATGTTTATTCAAACAAAAACTAAGTGACTCTTGTGTTCACTTTATCCACCATTTCACTTTAACGGTGGTTATATGGCATTATGTATTTATCAGAACCCATAGAGCTGTATAATAAGAATGAACCCAAATTCAACTATGGACCTCACTTAACAATAAGTATTAGTGTTGGTTCATCCGTTGTAACAAGTGTACCTCAATGATGCAGGATGTTAATAATAGGAGAAAATGAGCAGAGGGCTGTTTTAGGGAAGAAGGGATGTGGCAACTCCCTGAACTTTCTCTGCAATTTTTCTGTACACTTAAAACTACTTTAAAAAATGGTCTCCTTACATAGAATGATACGGATTTATTTTTGCTTTTTCATTCCATATTTGTCTGCATTTGATGGCATTCTCTATTGCTCACCTACTTATTTTATATTAAAATTGTAGATATGTTACAAAACACTTACGCCTATTCTAGCTGTAATATTCTAGAAATTCTGTTTGGATTCTCTAAACCATAGGTAGAGAAACTTGTTTTTTTTAACTTATTTTATTATTATTACACTTTAAGTTTTAGGGTACATGTGCACAATGTGCAGGTTAGTTACATATGTATACATGTGCCATGCTGGTGTGCTGCACCCATTAACTCATCATTTAGCATTAGGTATGTCTACTAATGCTATCCCTCCCCTCTTCCCCCACCCCACAACAGTCCCCAGAGTGTGAGGTTCCCCTTCCTGTGTCCATGTGTTCTCATAGTTCAATTCCCACCTCTGAGTGAGAATATGCGGTGTTTCGTTTTTTGTCCTTGCGATAGTTTACTGAGAATGATGGTTTCCATTTTCATCCGTGTCCCTACAAAGGACATGAACTCATCATTTTTTATGGCTGCATAGTATTCCATGGTGTATTTGTGCCACATTTTCTTAATCCAGTTTATCATTGTTGGACATTTGAGTTGGTTCCAAGTCTTTGCTATTGTGAATAGTGCCGCAATAAACATACGTGTGCATGTGTCTTTATAGCAGCATGATTTATAGTCCTTTGGGTATATACCCAGTAATGGGATGGCTGGGTCAAATGGTATTTCTAGTTCTAGATCCCTGAGGAATCGCCACACTGACTTCCACAATGGTTGAACTAGTTTATAGTCCCACCAACAGTGTAAAAGTGTTCCTATTTCTCCACATCCTCTCCAGCACTTGTTGTTTCCTGACTTTTTAATGAATGCCATTCTAACTGGTGTGAGATGGTATCTCATTGTGGTTTTGATTTGCATTTCTCTGATGGTCAGTGATGGTGAGCATTTTTTCATGTGTTTTTTGGCTGCATAAATGTCTTCTTTTGAGAAGTGTCTGTTCATGTCCTTTGCCCAGTTTTTGATGGGGTTGTTTGTTTTTTTCTTGTAAATTTGTTTGAGTCCATTGTAGATTCTGGATATTAGCCCTTTGTCAGATGAGTAAGTCGCGAAAATTTTCTCCCATTTTGTAGGTTGCCTGTTCATTCTGATGGTAGTTTCTTTTGCTGTGCAGAAGCTCTTTAGTTTAATTAGATCCCATTTGTCAATTTTGGCTTTTGTTGCCATTGCTTTTGGTGTTTTAGACATGAAGTCCTTGTCCATGCCTATGTCCTCAATGGTAATGCCTATGTTTTCTTCTAGGGTTTTTAAGGTTTTAGGTCTAACGTTTAAGACTTTAATCCATCTTGAATTACTTTTTGTTTAAGGTGTAAGGAAGGGATCCAGTTTCAGCTTTCTACATATGGCTAGCCAGTTTCCCCAGCACCATTTATTAAACAGGGAATCCTTTCCCCATTGCTTGTTTTTCTCAGGTTTGTCAAAGATCAGATAGTTTTAGACATGCGGTGTTATTTCTGTGGGCTCTGTTCTGTTCCATTGATCTATATCTCTGTTTTGGTACCAGTACCATGCTGTTTTGGTTACTGTAGCCTTGTAGTATAGTTTGAAGTCACGTAGCATGATGCCTCCAGCTTTGTTCTTTTGGCTTAGGATTGACTTGGCGATGTGGGCTCTTTTTTGGTTCCATATGAACTTTAAAGTAGTTTTTTCCAATTCTGTGAAGAAAGTCATTGGTACCTGGATGGGGATGGCATTGAATCTATAAATTACCTTGGGCAGTATGGCCATTTTCACGATATTGATTCTTCCTACCCATGAGCATGGAACATTCTTCCATTTCTTTGTATCCTCTTTTATTTCATTGAGCAGTGGTCTGTAGTTCTCCTTGAGGAGGTCCTTCACATCCCTTGTAAGTTGGATTCCTAGATATTTTATTCTCTTTGAAGCAATTGTGAATGGGATTTCACTCATGATTTGACTCTCTGTTTGTCTGTTATTGGTGTATAAGAATGCTTGTGATTTTTGTACATTGATTTTGTATCCTGAGACTTTGAATCAGCCTTGCATCCCAGGGATGAAGCCCACTTGATCATGATGGATAAGCTTTTTGATGTGCTGCTGGATTCAGTTTGCCAGTATTTTATTGAGGATTTTTGCATCAATGTTCATCAAGGATATTGGTCTAAAATTCTCTTTTTTTGTTGTGTCTCTGCCCGGCTTTGGTATCAGGATGATGCTGGCCTCATAAAATGAGTTAGGGAGGATTCCCTCTTTTTCTATTGATTAGAATAGTTTCAGAAGGAATGGTACCAGTTCCTCCTTGTACCTCTGGTAGAATTCGGCTGTGAATCCATCTGGTCCTGGACTCTTTTTGGTTGGTAAGCTATTGATTATTGCCACAATTTCAGAGCCTGTTATTGGTCTATTCAGAGATTCAACGTCTTCCTGGTTTAGTCTTGGGAGGGTGTATGTGTCGAGGAATTTATCCATTTATTCTAGATTTTCTAGTTTATTTGTGTAGAGGTGTTTGTAGTATTCTGATGGTAGTTTGTATTTCTGTGGAATCGGTGGTGATATCCCCTTTATCATTTTTTGTTGCGTCTATTTGATTCTTCTCTCTTTTCTTCTTTATTAGTCTTGCTAGTGGTCTATCAATTTTGTTGATCCTTTCAAAAAACCAGCTCCCGGATTCCTTAATTTTTTGAAGGGTTTTTTGTGTCTCTATTTCCTTCAGTTCTGCTCTGATTTTAGTTATTTCTTGCCTTCTGCTAGGTTTTGAACGTGTTTGCTCTTGCTTTTCTAGTTCCTTTAATTGTGATGTTAGGGTGTCAATTTTGGATCTTTCCTGCTTTCTCTTGTGGGCATTTAGTGCTATAAATTTCCCTCTACACACTGCTTTGAATGTGTCCCAGAGATTCTGGTACGTTGTGTCTTTGTTCTCATTGGTTTCAAAGAACATCTTTATTTCTGCCTTCATTTCGTTATGTACCCAGTAGTCATTCAGGAGCAGGTTGTTCAGTTTCCATGTCGTTGAGCGGTTTTGAGTGAGTTTCTTAATCCTGAGTTCTAGTTTGATTGCACTGTGGTCTGAGAGACAGTTTGTTACAATTTCTGTTCTTTTACATTTGCCGAGGAGAGCTTTACTTCCAACTATGTGGTCAATTTTGGAATAGGTGTGGTGTGGTGCTGAAAAAAATGTATATTCTGTTGATTTGGGGTGGAGAGCTCTGTAGATGTCTATTAGGTTCACTTGGTGCAGAGCTGAGTTCAATTCCTGGGTATCCTTGTTAACTTTCTGTCTTGTTGATCTGTCTAATGTTGACAGTGGGGTGTTAAAGTCTCCCATTATTAATGTGTGGGAGTCTAAGTCTCTTTGTAGGTCACTCAGGACTTGCTTTATGAATCTGGGTGCTCCTGTATTGGGTGCATATATATTTAGGATAGTTAGCTCTTCTTGTTGAATTGATCCCTTTACCATTATGTAATGGCCTCCTTTGTCTCTTTTGATCTTTGTTGGTTTAAAGTCTGTTTTATCAGAGACTAGGATTGCTACCCCTGCCTTTTTTTGTTTTCCATTTGCTTGGTAGATCTTCCTCCATCCTTTTATTCTGAGCCTATGTGTGTCTCTGCATGTGAGATGGGTTTCCTGAATACAGCACACTGATGGGTCTTGACTCTTTATCCAATTTGCCAGTCTGTGTCTTTTAATTGGAGCATTTAGTCCATTTACATTTAAAGTTAATATTGCTATGTGTGAATTTGATCCTGTCCTTATGATGTTAGCTGGTTATTTTGCTCATTAGTTGATGCAGTTTCTTCCTAGCCTTGATGTTCTTTACAATTTGGCATGATTTTGCAGTGGCTGGTACCGGTTGTTCCTTTCCATGTTTAGTGTTTCATTCAGGAGCTCTTTTAGGGCAGGCCTGGTGGTGACAAAATCTCTCAGCATTTGCTTGTCTGTAAAGTATTTTATTTCTCCTTCACTTATGAAGCTTAGTTTTGCTGGACATGAAATTCTGGGTTGAAAATTCTTTTCTTTAAGAATGTTGAATATTGGCACCCACTCTCTTCTGGCTTGTAGAGTTTCTGCCGAGAGATCTGCTGTTAGTCTGATGGGCTTCCCTTTGTGGGTAACCCGACCTTTCTCTCTGGCTGCCCTTAACATTTTTTCCTTCATTTCAAGTTTGGTGAATCTGACAATTATGTATCTTGGAGTTGCTCTTCTCGAGGAGTATCTTTGTGGTGTTCTCTGTATTTCCTGAATCTGAATGTTGTCCTGCCTTGCTAGATTGGGGAAGTTCTCCTGGATAATATCCTGCAGAGTGTTTTCCAACTTGGTTCCATTCTCCCCGTCACTTTCAGGTACACCAATCAGACGTAGATTTGGTCTTTTCACATAGTCCCATATTTCTTGGAGGCTTTGTTCATTTCTTTTTATTCTTTTTTCTCTAAACTTCCCTTCTCACTTCATTTCATTCATTTCATCTTCCATCACTGATACCCTTTCTTCCAGATGATCGCATTGGCTCCCGAGGCTTCTGCATTCTTCACGTAGTTCTCGAGCCTTGGTTTTCAGCTCCATCAGCTCCTTTAAGCACTTCTCTGTATTGGTTATTCTCTTTATACATTCGTCTAAATTTTTTTCAAAGTTTTTAACTTCTTTGCCTTTGGTTTGAATTTCCTCCTGTAGCTCGGAATAGTTTGATCGTCTGAAGCCTTCTTCTCTCAACTCATCTAAGTCATTCTCCATCCAGCTTTGTTCCGTTGCTGGTGAGGAACTGTGTTCCTTTGGAGGAGGAGAAGCGCTCTGCTTTTTAGAGTTTCCAGTTTTTCTGCTGTGTTTTTTCTCCATCTTTGTGGTTTTATCTACTTTTGGTCTTTGATGATGGTGATGTACAGATGGGTTTTTGGTGTGGATGTCCTTTCTGTTTGTTAGTTTTCCTTCTAACACACAGGACCCTCAGCTGCAAGTCTGTTGGAGTTTGCTAGAGGTCCACTCCAGACACTGTTTGCCTGGGTAACAGCAGCAGTGGCTGCAGAACAGCGGGTTTTCATGAACCGTGAATGCTGCTGTCTGGTCGTTCCTCTGGAAGTTTTGTCTCAGAGGAGTACCCAGCCGTGTGAGGTGTCAGTCTGCCCCTACTGGGGGGTGCCTCCCAGTTAGGCTGCTCGGGGGTCAGGGGTCAGGGACCCACTTGAGGAAGCAGTCTGCCCATTCTCAGATCTCCAGCTGCATGCTGGGAAAACCACTGCTCTCTTCAAAGCTGTCAGACAGGGACATTTAAGTCTGCAGAGGTTACTACTGTCTTTTCGTTTGTCTGTGCCCTGCCCCTAGAGGTGGAGCCTACAGAGGTAGGCAGGCCTCCTTGAGCTGTGGTGGGCTCCACCCAGTTCGAGCTTCCTGGCTGCTTTGTTTACCTAAGCAAGCCTGGGCAATGGCGGGCGCCCCTCCCCTAGCCTCGCTGCCGCCTTGCAGTTTGACCTCAGACTGCTGTGCTAGCAATCAGCAAGACTCCGTGGGTGTAGGACCCTCTGAGCCATGTGCGGGATATAATCTCCTGGTGCGCCGTTTTTTAAGCCCGTTGGAAAAGCACAGTATTAGGATGGGAGTGACACCATTTTCCAGGTGCCGTCTGTCACCCCTTTCTTTGACTAGGAAAGGGAACTCCCTGACCCCTTGCGCTTCCCAAGTGAGGCAATGCCTCATCCTGCTTCAGCTCGCGCATGGTGCACTGCACCCACTGTCCTGCGCCCACTGTCTGGCACTCCCTAGTGAGATGAACCCAGTACCTCAGATGGAAATGCAGAAATCACCCATCTTCTGCATCGCTCACGCTGGGAGCTATAGACCAGAGCTGTTCCTATTCGGCCATCTTGGCTGCCCCCGAAACTTGTTATTTATTAGTAAGTCTTACTAGGTCATGCTGGCTTGGTGTGTGCTTGTTTTATCCTTTATAATTAGGTTGTAGGAATTTTGAGAAAAAAAATGGAAAGCATAGTTTTTGCAATATTTTATTATCACCAAACATGGTACCTAATTACTTTGCTTACATTTTCCCTTTAATTCTGATAATAATTCAGTCCAGTAAAAAATACTATCAATATTTTTATGAGGAATCCAAGGCTAAGGTAGGCAAGATACCATTGGAAACATAGCTAGTAAATTATACAGCCCAGATGGAATCCAAATCTAACTCAATATTTATTTGCAGTCTATCACACTGTCATGGATAATTCATCTTTATGGTTTGTGGTAGATTTTCATAACCATTTTAGAAATAAATATCATCATACATTTACAGACAAATTAGCAAGGGCTCACTGTGTTTCTAATATTTTCTTCTCATCTTAATGCTGTGTCCTGCCACTGCTCCCATTACTCAGGTTTTCTACCCAAATACACATCCAAATATATGATGGTTTCAATAATGAGTCAGACTATTCTGGTAATAAAACAGGCATCCAAGGCTTTTTCTTAAAGAACAGACAGTGTTAATATTCAGTGTCTGATCTCAGTCCTCATTAAGTTTGGAGTGAGAAATGCTGATATGTAAATATTGTAACATTTGTGGGTCCTCTTCTCATTCTGCTCCCCAGTCTAACCCCTATCTCCTCCTCTCCATCTGTCTCACCAATTCTCAGAGGCCAAACCCCGGGGTTTCAGATTCACTCTACTGAAGATACAGACATGTCATTGACTTGCAGCCTCAAGAACCAAAAACTGATTCTGAGCCCCTTGCCCAGTAGAGATCTCCCAACAAACAAACCCTACTTTAGCGTTGTCCTGCTGAGGACTAGACCACAGCAACAGAATTGCCTGCACATGCTCAGAAATAGACCAAGCCCAATAAGCCTGGATATTTCTAATTAATTCTGTTACTAAGAAGTGCACGAATCCTCCATTGTTGTCTAACTTGGAAGAAAGAATTCAGCCAAGAGATGCATAGCAATGGTTGAGTAGCAGAGTTTATTGAAGGAAAATAAAGTGCATTCCTAGAGAGGAGTGGAAAACAGTTCTGACTGTTCCAGCTGGAAAAATAGTAGCAGTGTTTCTTTAAAGAGACAGTATGCTCTGAAAGAGGAGACAGAGTGGGCTGCTCAAAAGAAGAATCCAGCAGCAGCCATTGCTGCAGGACTCTCTTATGAGAATCTCACATGATTATTCATGAAGGAGCCTGAGGGAATGTCACTTGCAAGCATGTTTCAGGAGGACTCTTTGGGTGTGCATGCTCTGTTTTATACTTGCTACTACACATGTTGCATGTCTCAGTATTTAAAATCTCCACCCAGAGCTGTGTTTTTCACTACCATAATGAGCAAAAAGCTATTCTAGGGCAAGTTATTGGAGGAGTGCACGATTTCATTAGTGGAGAAAGTCCCTGCCATGGCTGTTTTAGGCTAGGGCCTGGTAAGTTCCCTCCAGGGGCGGAGGGACCAGCCAGATGTAGCCATTGTAGCCATTGCCCTTTTTGCTATTAGTGCACAGTGCTGACTATCAGTGAGCAGTGACTCCAAGACTTCTTTTCCCAGGGGCTCTCTTGCCTGCTCATTTCTGGCTATCTGCCTACTCTAACAATTCCAGAGCTTATATGATACATTCAACATTTAGACTATTCAGGATGAAGGGATCACACAAATCCTGCAGCTCCCCTCACTGCAAATAACCAGTTCAAACACCAGAAAATTCACCAAAGAACCATCAAAATGTATAGAATTTCCACAGAAATCATTATTTGAAGAAACTTGAAGCAATAAGTACATGGAGATTGTCCCTGTGGAATGTTTGGTGAGACTGGTAAATTTATAAAGGAAAAAGGTTTAATTGACTCACAGTTCTGCATGGCTGGGAAGGCCTCAAGCAACTTATAATCATGGCAGAAGGGGAAGACGCCCATCTTATACGGCAGCAGGCAAGAGAGAATGTACCCATAGGAAGAACTGTCAAACACTTATAAAACCGTCAGATCTCGTGAGAACTCACTCACTATCACAAGAACAGCATGGGGGAAACTGCACCCATGATCCAATAACCTCCAACAAGTTGCCACCCTGGACAAGTGGAGATTATGGGGATTATAATTCAAGATGAGATTTGGGTGGGGAAAGAGCCAGCCTAACCATGTCACTGTTACAGGATCATTGGCGTTTTGCTTTTCTTGCCAGAATCCTGTAACTGGTAATGCCTTTGCCTGAGTTTTGCTCGGGCCAGCTGAGTTCATTCCACCCACTTCACCTGGCAGGCTGTGCTTGGTTCACACTACTGGCCTGGATCTGACACTTGCCAAAGGTCAGGTGGTGAGGGATATGTGAGCAAGTGAGCATGGGGTCTGGCCACCGTGCAGAGCCAGGAATGTTGGCTGTGTAGGGTGGGCAGCTCTAGGCACCAGTATGGGTGCCAGCTGCCTGTGAGGCTGCAACTGGACCAGGTGCACTGCAAGCAGCTTCCACAGCTGGCACTGGGGAACATGGCGGCACCTGGAAGATTGGGAACCCCAGGAACCACAGGCCCCAAAAAGGGAGTTACAGCCCTGGCTTGGTGAGCTCCCAGGTCTGGGCTCCCTGAAGAGCCACAGCTCTTCTCTCCTTCTCTTTGCCCATAACATGGTGAGCAAGGGGCATGTTTCAGCTGTGTCTGTGTTACAGCTTTTTTAGCCTCACCATTTGGTAGATACTGGGTTCTTGTCCTGAGTCCAGGAAGAATGAGGTATGCAAACAAGTGGAGGGTGAGCAGGACCAAGAGGAGCTTTATTAAGCAATATAACAGCTCAAAGACCCTCAGTGGGCAGCTTCTCTTCATAGCCAGGTTGTCCCAACACCTGTTCAGCTCTCAGCAGAGAGGGTAGCTCCACTCTGCAGCTGATCATCCTGCCCTCTCCTCAGTTTTCAGCAGAAACCCTGGTGAGGGCAGCTCCATTCTGCCACTGAGAGGAGACCCTGGGGAGGGCAACTCCTCTCTGTAGTAGGTCATCCCTAATCTCCCCGTCCTCTCTCCTCTGCTCTCTCCATCCTCTGCTTAAGTCTGCCTGAGCCCAGGGCTTTAACAGGCCTCAGAGGGGAGGAAGTGCACATCACGGATAGCTATGGGGTAGGCCCAGAAAAGGCACAAGTTCCCACTCCTGTCAGCAGGACTGATGCCTGGCCTGCACCCTTCAGGCCCTCCCTGGGCTGCAGGAGGGGCCCCACCAGGGATCTGCCACCTTCTGCCCAGGAGGCTGCCTGCCTCCCACCACCATCCATGGCACCCAGGCTGCTAATGCTAAGGGGCACTGGTAGGCCAGCGTCAGTTGCCCTCAGCCCATCTTTCCTTGGCTTCCCCGTGGCAGAAGTGGCAGGAGGCTTGTGTGTCAATGCTGCCCTGAGAATGCACACACCTGGCCAGGATATGACAGCATGGGGGCTTGGCCCCAACTGCACTCTGAGATCACAGCGAGCACCTAGGAGCCACAAGAGGCGAGAGGAGAGGCCAGGCAGTGGAAGCAGACACTCCCGAACAGGGGCAGGAGGCCCTTCTTGGCATTGAGGGCATGGAGTGCAGAGAGGTCTGGATCCTGCTGTGGGGAGGGCAGCACTCACACCCAATCCGTGTAGCCTGCAGGTAGCCCGTCACATCTTCTCACAACCTGAGGTGGGCAACTGCCCTTGCTGGGCCCAGATCAGCATCTGGTGCAAGGGTGATGTCTCTGCAAGTTCTTCCCCTAGCACTTAGTGCCTGGATGGGGTGAGGGAGGCACATTGGGGAGCAGATCGCGGATCGGGCCTGGCCATCAGGAGTATCAGGCTCGCTGGCCACCCCCAGGGACATAACCCTGGGCAGCCTCAGGCAGAGCCTCCTCCTGAGGTGCAGGAACTGGGCACCCTCGGCAGAGTGGGACAGTGGCCTTGCCGCTGGACGGGTCCCCGAAGTGGGGCCACTCCCACTTCCCACCTCAGGCCCCTGAAGAGTGGCCCCAGCTCCATGCCCTGCCCACAGCTGCAGGGTGAGAGCAGCAACGCAGGAGTGGTGGAGGCTCTGGGCCTGGGGGTAGGTCCCACTGGCTGCTCAAGGGTTGGGACAGCGCAGTCTGCTGCCTGAGGGACACAAGGCAAGGGGGACATGGGGCACAGGGGTCCCACCGTGGCCACTGCTCCTGAAGTCACCTGGCCGCCACTGCTTGCAACTTCCCACTTCAGTGGGACACTCTGGACAGCTTGCCACTGCCATCATCCCCACCCTTTTATCCTAAAATACTAAGGCGAACCTTAGCCGGCTTTCCAAGGTTACCATCATCATGATTAGTTTCTTTTTTTTTTTTTTTCACAATTTGTTTTTTCTTTTCTTTTCTCTTTGTTTCTTTTTTTTCTTTTTTTTTTTTTTTTGGGACGGAGTCTCACTCTTATCTCACAGGCTGGAGTGAAGTGGCACAATCTGGGCTCACTGCAAACTCTGCCTCCTCGGTTCAAGCAAGCTGGGATTACAGGCTCCTGCCACGATGCTTGGCTAATTTTTGTATTTTTAGTAGAGACGGGGTTTCGTTATGTTGGCCAGGCTGGTCTCAAACACCTGACCTCAGGTGATCCACTAGCCTTGGTCTCCCAAAGTGCTGAGATTACAGGCATGAGCCACTGTGTTCAGCCTTTTTTTTTTCTTTTCTTTTCTTTTTTTTTTTTTTGACAGGATCTCCCTCTGTTGCCCAGGCTGGAATGCAGCAGCATGATCCTGGGTCACTGCAGCCTGGACCTTACAGGTTCAAGCAATCCTCCCACCTCCGGGGTACTGGGACTTAATTAGTTTCTAAGTAAATTATTATTTTCTGTTGACCAAATTAAATGTGATCTTCTGGTTGCAACTGCACAACTTCCAATAGTACTGAATTATTATTGGGGTACAGAGACATAGTTTATTCTCAAATCCAGGGACAATAGTTACTTTTACCCAAGAAATTTTGAACTTTCTGTACTAATAGAAGTGTATTTTTCCAAAGTAAATAAGGCATGTTTTTTCTTCTGTTTTGAGATGGTCAAATTTACTACTTTATGATGAGAAATCTGCAATAATAATTCTGAGCAATAGTTTATATTTAGGAATTTTGAGGCCACTGTTACCTTTAATAAGAAGGAGACTTCTCAGGAGCTATGGGTGTCATCACATAAGACAAATGCAAATCTTGTCATTTTCCAGAGGAGGCTAATAATGATGATGAGGGGAATCTTTTGAAGGAACTACAATTGCTACACAGCATCTTCCTCAAATTGTATAATGCTGCCATTCATTAAAAGAAGTAGTCTTATTGCTATGCATATCCATAAATTAAAGGGATATAAATAATTTTAATACAAGGGACATTATTCTCAGAAATAGAATGTGAAGGAGTATGATATAGTGACTGAGCTTGAGGGGTATATAATTTGGTTCAATCTATAGTGTACCATTTACTAGATTTGTATCTTTGCAAAAATTGTTTTATCTTCATCGTTTTATTCTCTCCACCAGTAAGCATGAAAAGGGTGTTTATTTTACTGATCTGATGTGAGAATTAAACAAAAATATGAAGTATAGAAAGCTTTTAGTACAATTCTGAGTACAAAGTAAAATGCTCATTTTATTTATTTATTTATTTATTTATTTATTTATTTTTGAGACAGAGTCTCGATTTGTCACCCAGGCTAAGGTGCAGTGTGGCGCAATCTCGGCTCACTGCAAACTCTGCCTCCCGGATTCACGCCATTCTCTTGCCTCAGCCTCTTGAGTAGCTGGGACTACAAGCACCCGCCACCACGCCTGGCTAATTTTTTGTATTTTTAGTAGAGACAGGGTTTCACCATGTTAGTCAGGGTGGTCTTGATCTCCTGACCTTGTGATCCTCCCGCCTCGGCCTCCCAAAGTGCTGGGATAACAAGTGTGAGCCACCGCGCCCGGCCCTACTCTGCCCCTTTATCTATCCACATTGCTTTAAATCATATTCTTCTCTCAAGGTGTAAGAGGATGATAAATAGGTGCCAAGTGGAGTACCCAAGTGTGATGAGCCCTCACAGTGGAATGGAGTGAGAAGCTTTCTGACCTCATAAAAGGAAGACTATCTTAAGTCATTGTTTTATATATTGTACGTGCATTAATCCTCACATAATCTCAAGAGGTAAATTAGTATAATTATCCTCCATTATAGGTAAGAATGTTGAGACACAGAAGAATGGAAAAACTCTTCCAGGATCAACCAGTAAAAGGCAGAACTTGGATGTGAACCAGGCAACCTGGCTTAGAAATCAGTTTTAATTAATACACTGTGTACTTTCAAAGATTTGTAAACACTTTGACAATGCATGCCAATTTCAAGCTATGAAGAAACAAACATAATTTATCACAACATCTCTCAAATCTAATGGGTCCCCACTATAAAGATTAAACTCCAGGCTGATGACACTGTGAGGCCACATGGCCAGCTGTGCTGGAGGCCTGGTCAAGGCCAGAGCCTAGGTTTACAGAGAAGCAGACAAACAAAACAGCCAAACAAGGAGACTTACTCTGTCTTCATGACTCATTCCCTCTACATTTTTTCTTCTAGTCCATCCTAAGGTGACTGTGTATCCTTTAAAGACCCAGCCCCTGCAGCACCACAACCTCCTGGTCTGCTCTGTGAGTGGTTTCTGTCCAGCCAGCATTGAAGTCAGGTGGTTCCGGAACGGCCAGGAAGAGAAGGCTGGGGTGGTGTCCACAGGCCTGATCCAGAATGGAGACTGGACCTTCCAGACACTGATGATGCTGGAAACAGTTCCTCAGAGTGGAGAGGTTTACACCTGCCAAGTGGAGCATCCAAGCATGATGAGCCCTCTCACGGTGCAATGGAGTTAGCAGCTTTCTGACTTCATAAATTTTTCACCCAGTAAGTACAGGACTGTGCTAATCCCTGAGTGTCAGGTTTCTCCTCTCCCACATCCTATTTTCATTTGCTCCATATTCTCATCTCCATCAGCACAGGTCACTGGGGATAGCCCTGTAATCATTTCTAAAAGCACCTGTACCCCATGGTAAAGCAGTCATGCCTGCCAGGCGGGAGAGGCTGTCTCTCTTTTGAACCTCCCCATGATGGCACAGGTCAGGGTCACCCACTCTCCCTGGCTCCAGGCCCTGCCTCTGGGTCTGAGATTGTATTTCTGCTGCTGTTGCTCTGGGTTGTTTGTTGTGATCTGAGAAGAGGAGAACTGTAGGGGTCTTCCTGGCATGAGGGGAGTCCAATCCCAGCTCTGCCTTTTATTAGCTCTGTCACTCTAGACAAACTACTAAACCTCTTTGAGTCTCAGGATTTCTGTGGATCAGATGTCAAAGTCATGCCTTACATCAAGGCTGTAATATTTGAATGAGTTTGAGGCCTAACCTTGTAACTGTTCAGTGTGATCTGAAAACCTTTTTTCCCCAGAAATAGCTAGTTATTTTAGTTCTTGCAGGGCAGCCTTCTTCCCCATTTTCAAAGCTCTGAATCTCAGTATCTCAATTACAGAGGTTCAATTTGGGATAAAAATCACTAAACCTGGCTTCCACTCTCAGGAGCATGGTCTGAATCTGCACAGAGCAAGATGCTGAGTGGAGTCGGGGGCTTTGTGCTGGGCCTGCTCTTCCTTGGGGCCGGGCTGTTTCTCTACTTCAGGAATCAGAAAGGTGAGGAACCTTTCGTAGCTGGCTCTCTCCATAGACTTTTCTGGAGGAGGAAATATGGCTTTGCAGAGGTTAGTTCTCAGTATATGAGTGGCCCTGGATAAAGCCTTTCTTTCCCAAAACGACCTCCAATGTCCCGCTAATCCAGAAATCATCAGTGCATGGTTACTATGTCAAAGCATAATAGCTTATGGCCTGCAGAGAGAAAAGAAAGGCTAACAAGTAGGGATCCTTTGGTTGGAGATCCTGGAGCAAATTAAGGAAGAGCCACTAAGGTTAATACAATTACACTGGATCCTATGACAGACACTTCACGCTTCAGGGGTCACGTGGTGAGTTTCTGCTCCTCTCTGCCCTGGTTCATGTAAGTTGTGGTGTTAGAGAAATCTCAGGTGGGAGATCTGGGGCTGGGATATTGTGTTGGAGGACAGATTTGCTTCCATATCTTTTTTCTTTTTTCTTTTTTTTGAGACGGAGTCTCGCTCTGTCCCCAGGCTGGAGTGCAGTGGCGTGATCTTGGCTCACTGCAACCTCCTTCTCCCGGATTCAAGTGATTCTCCTGCCTCAACCTCCCGAGTAGCTGGGACTATAGGCACCTGCCACCACGCCCAGCTAATTTTTGTATTTTTAGTAGAGATGGGGTTTCACCATGTTGGCCAAGATGGTCTCGATCTCTTGACCTTGTGATCCACCCAACTTGGCCTCCCAAAGTGCTGGGATTACAGGCATGAGCCACCGCACCCGGCCTGCTTCCATATCTTTTAAATGTGTATCTTTTCCCCTTTTTCCCAGGACACTCTGGACTTCAGCCAACAGGTAATACCTTTTCATTCTCTTTTAGAAACAGATTCGCTTTCCTAGAATGATGGTAGAGGTGATAAGGGATGAGACAGAAATAATAGGAAAGACTTTGGATCCAAATTTCTGATCAGGCAATTTACGCCAAAACTCCTCTCTACTTAGAAAAGGCCTGTGCTTGGCCAGGCGCAGTAGCTCATGCCTGTAATCTCAGCACTTTGGGAGGCTGAGGCGGGTGGATCACCTGAGGTCAGGAGTTCGAGACCAGCCTGACCAACAAGGAGAAACCTTGTCTCTACTAAAAATACAAAAAAAATTAGCCATGCGTGGTGGCGCATGCCTGTAATTCCAGCTACTGAGGAGGCTGAGGTAGGAGAATGGTTTGAAGCTGGGAGGCAGAGGTTGTGGTAAGCGCACCACTGCACTCCAGCCTGGGCAACAAGAGTGAAACTCCATCTGAAAAAATGAATAAATAAAAAATAAAAGGCCAGTGCTCTGCAGTAGTATTGGCTCAGGGAGACTTAGCAACTTGTTTTTCTTCTTCCTGTACTGCTTTCATCTGAGTCCCTGAAAGAGGGGGAAAGAAGCTGTTAGTAGAGCCATGTCTGAAAACAACACTCTCCTGTGTCTTCTGCAGGACTCCTGAACTGAAGTGAAGATGACCACATTCAAGGAGGAAACTTCTGCCCCAGCTTTGCAGGAGGAAAAGCTTTTCCGCTTGGCTCTTTTTTTTTTTTTTAGTTTTATTTATTTGTAAAATTTTAATTTTAAAATTTTCTGGGTACACAGTGGTAGTTTTATTTTAGCATTTTAAAGATGTTAGTCAGTTGTATTCTGATCTGCACTATTTATGATGGGAAGTCAATAAACATTTCTATCCTTGTTCCCTGCAGGCAATGTACGCTTTTCTTTGGCTGCTTTTAGGATTCTCTCTCTCTCTTTTTTTTTAATTATACTTTAAGTTTTAGGGTACTTGTGCACAATGTGCAGGTTAGTTACATATGTATACATGTGCCATGCTGGTGTGCTGCACCCATTAACTCGTCATTTAGCATTAGGTATATCTCCTAATGCTATCTCTCCCCCCTTCCCCCACCCCACAACAGTCCCCTGAGTGTGATGTTTCCCTTCTTGTGTCCATGTGTTCTCATTGTTCAATTCCCACCTATGAGTGAGAACATGCGGTGTTTGGTTTTTTGTCCTTGCGATAGTTCATTGAGAATGATGATTTCCAATTTCATCCATGTCCCTACAAAGGACATGAACTCATCATTTTTTATGGCTGCATAGTATTCCATGGTATATATGTGCCAAATTTTCTTAATCCAGTCTATCATTGATGGACATTTGGGTTGGTTCCAAGTCTTTGCTATTGTGAATAGTGCCGCAATAAACATACGTGTGCATGTGTCTTTATAGCAGCATGATTTATAGTCCTTTGGGTATATACCCAGTAATAGGGTGGCTGGGTCAAATGGTATTTCTAGTTCTAGATCCCTGCGGAATTGCCATACTGACTTCCACAATGGTTGAACTAGTTCACAGTCCCACCAACAGTGTAAAAGTGTTCCTATTTCTCCACATCCTCTCCAGCACCTGTTGTTTCCTGACTTTTTAATGACTGCCATTCTAACTGGTATGAGATGGTATCCCATTGTGGTTTTGATTTGCATTTCTCTGATGGTCAGCGATGGTGAGCATTTTTTCATGTGTTTTTTGGCTGCATAAATATCTTCTTTTGAGAAGTGTCTGTTCATGTCCTTTGCCCAGTTTTTGATGGGGTTCTTTGTTTTTTTCTTGTAAATTTCTTTCAGTTCATTGTAGACTCTGGATATTAGCCCTTTGTCAGATGAGTAGGTTGTGAAAATTTTCTCCCATTCTGAAGGTTGCCTGTTCACTCAGATGGTAGTTTCTTTTGCTGTGCAGAAGCTCTCTAGTTTAATTAGATCCCATTTGTCAATTTTGGCTTTTGTTGCCATTGCTTTTGGTATTTTAGACATGAAGTCCTTGCCCATGCCTATGTCCTGAATGGTATTGCCTCTGTTTTCTTCTAGGGTTTTTATGGTTTTACTTCTAACATGTAAGTCTTTAATCCATCTTGAATTAATTTTTGTATAAGGTGTAAGGAAGGGATCCAGTTTCAGCTTTCTACATATGGCTAGCCAGTTTTCCCAGTACCATTTATTAAACAGGGAATCCTTTCCCCATTGCTTGTTTTTCTCAGGTTTGTCAAAGATCAGATAGTTGCAGACATGCGGCGTTATTTCTGAGGGCTCTGTTCTGTTCCATTGATCTATATCTCTGTTTTGGTACCAGTACCATGCTGTTTTGGTTACTGTAGCCTTGTAGTATAGTTTGAAGTCAGGTAGCGTGATGCCTCCAGCTTTGTTCTTTTGGCTTAGGATTGACTTGGTGATGTGGGCTCTTTTTTGATTCCATATGAACTTTAAAGTAGTTTTTTCCAATTCTGTGAAGAAAGTCATTGGTACCTTGATGGGGATGGCATTGAATCTATAAATTACCTTGGGCAGTATGGCCATTTTCATGATATTGATTCTTCCTACCCATGAGCATGGAATGTTCTTCCATTTCTTTGTATCCTCTTTTATTTCATTGAGCAGTGGTCTGTAGTTCTCCTTGAAGAGATCCTTCACATCCCTTGTAAGTTGGATTCCTAGGTATTTTATTCTCTTTGAAGCAATTGTGAATGGGAGTTCACTCATGATTTGACTCTCTGTTTGTCTGTTATTGGTGTGTAAGAATGCTTGTGATTTTTGTACATTGATTTTGTATCCTGAGACTTTGCTGAAGTTGCTTATCAGCTTAAGGAGATTTTGGGCTGAGACGATGGGGTTTTCTAGATATACAATCATATCATCTACAAACAAGGACAATTTGACTTCCTCTTTTCCTAATTGAATACCCTTTATTTCCTTCTCCTGCCTAATTGCCCTGGCCAGAACTTCCAACACTATGTTGAATAGGAATGGTGAGAGAGGGCATCCCTGTCTTGTGCCAGTTTTCAAAGGGAATGCTTCCAGTTTTTGCCCATTCAGTATGATATTGGCTGTGGGTTTGTCATAGATAGCTCTTATTATTTTGAAATACATCCCATCAATACCTAATTTATTGAGAGTTTTTAGCATGAAGGGTTGTTGAATTTTGTCAAAGGCCTTTTCTGCATCTATTGAGATAATCATGTGGTTTTTGTCTTTGGTTCTGTTTATATGCTGGATTACATTTATTGATTTGTGTATATTGAACAAGCCTTGCATAAACTGCATCAACTAACGAGCAAAATAACCAGCTAACATCATAATGACAGAATCAAATTCACACATAACAATATTAACTTTAAATGTAAATGGACTAAACGCTCCAATTAAAAGACACAGACTGGCAAATTGGATAAAGAGTCAAGACCTGTCAGTGTGCTGCATTCAGGAAACCCATCTCACCTTCAGAGACACACATAGGTTCAAAATGAAAGGATGGAGGAAGATCTACCAAGCAAATGGAAAACAAAAAAAGGCAGGGGTAGCAATCCTAGTCTCTGATAAAACAGACTTTAAACCAACAAAGATCAAAAGAGACAAAGAAGGCCATTACATAATGGTAAAGGGATCAATTCATCAAGAAGAGCTAACTATCCTAAATATATATGCACCCAATACAGGAACACCCAGATTCATAAAACAAGTCCTGAGTGACCTACAAAGAGACTTAGACTCCCACACAATAATGATGGGAGACTTCAACACCCCACTGTCAACATTAGACAGATCAACAAGACAGAAAGTTAACAAGGATACCCAGGAATTGAACTCAGCTCTGCACCAAGTGGACCTAATAGACATCTACAGAACTCTCCACCCCAAATCAACAGAATATACATTTTTTTCAGCACCACACCACACCTATTCCAAAATTGACCACATAGTTGGAAGTAAAGCTTTCCTCAGCAAATGTAAAAGAACAGAAATTATAACAAACTGTCTCTCAGACCACAGTGCAATCAAACAAGAACTCAGGATTAAGAAACTCACTCAAAACCACTCAACTACATGGAAACTGAACAACCTGCTCCTGAATGACTACCGGGTACATAACGAAATGAAGGCAGAAATAAAGATGTTCTTTGAAACCAATGAGAACAAAGACACAACATACCAGAATCTCAGGGACACATTCAAAGCAGTGTGTAGAGGGAAATTTATAGCACTAAATGCCCACAAGAGAAAGCAGGAAAGATCCAAAATTGACACCCTAACATCACAATTAAAAGAACTAGAAAAGCAAGAGCAAACACATTCAAAAGCTAGCAGAAGGCAAGAAATAACTAAAATCAGAGCAGAACTGAAGGAAATAGAGACACAAAAAACCCTTCAAAAAAGTAATGAATGCAGGAGCTGGTTTTTTGAAAGGATCAACAAAATTGATAGACTGCTAGCAAGACTAATAAAGAAGAAAAGAGAGAAGAATCAAATAGATGCAATAAAAAATGATAAAGGGGATATCACCACTGATCCCACAGAAATACAAACTACCATCAGAGAATACTACAAACACCTCTACGCAAATAAACTAGAAAATCTAGAAGAAATGGATAAATTCCTCGACACAGACACCCTCCCAAGACTAAACCAGGAAGAAGTTGAATCTCTGAATAGACCAATAACAGGCTCTGAAATTGTGGCAATAATCAATAGCTTACCAACCAAAAAGAGTCCAGGACCAGATGGATTCACAGCCGAATTCTACCAGAGGTACAAGGAGGAACTGGTACCATTCCTTCTGAAACTATTCCAATCAATAGAAAAAGAGGGAATCCTCCCTAACTCATTTTTATGAGGCCAGCATCATCCTGATACCAAAGCCGGGCAGAGACACAACCAAAAAAGAGAATTTTAGACCAACATCCCTGATGAACATTGATGCAAAAATCCTCAATAAAATACTGGCAAACCGAATCCAGCAGCACATCAAAAAGCTTATCCACCGCTTGGCTCTTATTCTTCCACAACAGAGCGCTTTCTCAGAGCCTGGTTGCTATTGGTTCCACAACTCTGCAGAAAATATCCTCCCTTATGGCTTCCTTAGCCCCTTCACTTGGTCTGAAGTCCGAGCATTGATGGCAGTGCCTAATCTTAAGCTTTTGTGGCCCCCTTTACCTAACCCTACGGCCTCCCGTGCATCTGTACATCCTGTGTGCCACAAACACATTACGTTATTAAATTTTTCTCAAACATGGAGTTAAAAATCATCTGGTCCAACATATGCAAATCAATAAACGTAATCCATTCACATAAATAGAACCAATGACAAAAACCACATGGTTATCTCAATAGATGCAGAAAAGGCCTTGGGCAACATTCAACAACCCTTCATGCTAAAAACTCTCAATAAACTAGGCATTGATGGAACACATCTCAAAATAATAAGAGCTATTTATGACAAACCCACAGCCAATGTCATACTGAATGAGCAAAACCTAGAAGCACTCCCTTTGAAAACTGGCACAAGACAACGATGTCCTCTCTCACCACTCCTATTCAACATAGTATCGGAAGTTCTGGCCAGGGCAATCAGGCAAGAAAAAGAAATAAGGGGTATTCAATCAGGAAAAGAGGAAGTCAAATTGTCCCTGTTTACAGATGACATGATTATAAATTTAGAAAACCCCATCTCAGCCCAAAATTTCCTTAAGCTGATAAACAACTTCAGCAAAGTCTCAGGATACAAAATCAATGTGCAAAAATCACAAGCATTCCTATACACCAATAACAAACAGAGAGCCAAATCATGAGTGAGCTCCCATTCACAATTGCTACTAAGAGAATAAAATACTTAGGAATCCAACTTACAAGGGATGTGAAGGACCTCTTCAAGGAGAACTGCAAATCACCTCAAGGAAATAAGAGAGGACACAAATGGAAAAACATTCCATGTTCATAGATACGAAGAATCAATATCATCAAAATGGCCATACTGCCCAAAGTAAGTTATAGATTCAATGCTATCCCCATCAAGCTACAATTGACTTTCTTCACAATATTGGAAAAAACTACTTTAAATTTCATATGGAACCAAAAAAGAGCTGGCATATCCAAGACAATCCAAAGCAAAACGAACAAAGCTAGAGGCATCACGCTACCTGACTTCAAACTTTACTACAAGGGTATAGTCACAAAAACAGCATGGTACTGGTACCAAAACAGATATATAGACCAATGGAATAGAACAGAGGCCTCAGAAATAACGCCACACATCTACAAACATCTGATCTTTGACAAACGTGACAAAAACAAGCAACAGAAAAGGATTCCCTATTTAATAGACGATGTTGGGAAAACTGACTAGCCATATGCAGAAAGCTGAAACTGGATCCCTTTCTTACACCTCATACAAAAATTAACTCAAGATGGATTAAAAACTTAAATGTAAGACCTAAGACCATAAAAGCCTTAGAAGAAAACCTAGGCAATATCATTCAGGACATAGGCATGGGCAAAGACTTCATGATTAAAACACCAAAAGAAATGGCAACAAAAGCCAAAATAGACAAATGTGATCTGATTTAACTAAAGAGCTTATGCACAGCAAAAGAAACTAGTATCAGAGTGAACAGGCAACTTACAGAATGGGAGAAAATTTTTGCAATCTATCAATTTGACACAGGGCTAATATCCAGAATCTACAAATAACTTAAACAAATTTACAAGGAAAAACAAAATCAAAAAGTGGGTGAATGATATGAACAGACACTTCTCAAAAGAAGACATTTATGCAGCCAACAAACATGAAAAAAAGCTCATCATCACTGGTCATTAGAGAAATGCAAATCAAAACTACAATGAGATACCATCTCACACGAGTTAGAATGGCGATCATTAAAAAGTCCGGAAACAACAGATGCTGGAGAGGATGTGGAGAAATAGGAAAGTTTTTACACTGTTGGTGGGAATGTAAATTAGTTCAACCATTGTGGAAGACAGTGTGGCGATTCCTCAAGGATCTAGAACTAGAAATACCATTTGACCCAGCCATCCCATTACTGGGTATATACCCAAAGGATTATAAATCATTCTACTATAAATACACATGCACACATATGTTTATTGCAGCACTATTCGCAATAGCAAAGGCTTGGAACCAACCCAAATGCCCATCAATAATAGACTGGATAAAGAAAATGTGGCACATATACACCATGGAATACTATGCAGCATAAAAGAGGATGAGTTCATGTCCTTTGCAGGGACATGAATGACGCTGGAAACCATCATTCTCAGCAAACTAACACAAGGACAGAAAACCACACGCTGCATGTTCTCACTCATAACTAGGAGTTGAACAATGAGAACACATGGACAAAAGGAGGGGAACATCACACACACACCGGGGCTTGTCAGTGGGTAGGGGGCTAGGGGAAGGATAGCATTAGTAGCAATACGTAATGTGGATTATGGGGTGATGGGTGCAACAAACCACCATGGCACATGTATACCTGTGTAACAAACCTGCACATTCTGCACATGTAGCCCAAAACTTAAGGTATAATAATAATAATAATAATAATAATAATAATAATAATAAAAAGAAAGTGGAAAAAAATCATCTGTTCCATTTGGCTCCAAGGACAAAGAAAAAAAAAGAAAAGAAAAAGAGAAGATTATTTCCCAGTAGAATAATGGTTTTCGTGTATAAGTCATAAGTAAGTGAGGTAATGCATATGTTAAATAGCTTGATTTAGACATTCCACACTATGGGCATATATCAAAACTTCAGCTCTACAACATAAATACACTATAAAATTTTTACTTGTCAATTAAAAAAGTAAACCTAACATTTACAAAGGCAATGCTTAAAAACTGAGAAGAGACTGTAACAACCGAAAAAAAACGTGGCCAACCTGAGATGAGAAACCAGCTAGCAAGTACAAGTACATCAAAACTTTTTTTTTTTTTTTTTTTTTTTTGAGACAGAGTCACCCTCTGTTGCTCAGGCTGGAGTGCAGTGGTGCGATCTCGGCTCACTGCAAACTCTGCCTCCCGGGTTCAAGACATTCTCCTGCCTCAGCCTCCCAAGTAGCTGGGACTGCAGGCACCCACCACCACGCCCGGCTAATTTTTTGTATTTTTAGTAAAGATGGGATTTCACCGTGTTAGCCAGGATGGTCTCGATCTCCTGACCTGGTGATCCACCCACCTTGGCCTCCCAAAGTGCTGGGACCACACTCATGAGCCACCGCTCGTGGCCCAGAACTCTTTCTTAATCCCATCTACAATATTGTGTATCTATTAGTATATGGTTTTTCATTCCAGAGACTTCAGTAATATAGTATTACCGAAGGACTTGTACAGATTTCAGAGAAAGACAAATTTAGAAGATGGAGGGTTCTCCATTGTGTTCTGAGAGTCAGTCTCATATATGTCAAATCTAAAAAGTACATAATCAATGCAGAAGTCTATTTCAAAGTAATAACCATTTCAGCACAATTTCTCTACTGTCAGAGACAACTTATTTTCAATCAAATTCAATATTTATTTTATGCATATTTTATTTTAAGTTATATGTTACTTGTACATACATAGCAGTATAAGTACATATAAATCCTATAGGAACATAAATCCTATAGGAATATATTAAGCTGATAATTATGTCTGTTCTGTTTGATCCCAGAGTTGCAACAAATAGGCCTTGTTCCCTAAGTTGAGGACATGATTTGTCTCATTTTATATGAGACTTGTGGTGTAGAACTAAAATGTGTGGGATGAATATTTGAATGAAGATGCTTCTGCTGCGAATAACAAGAAATCCCATGTAGTGGGCTTTATTTTCTTTAACCCATTATCTCACATAGCCAATACATCCAAGGCTGGGCATCTCCAGGGTTGCTCAACTCATCATGCTGGTGGCATCACCAGCGATCCTGGAACTTCATAGCTCATCTCTCTATCACACAGCACGTCAGCTTTCCTGAGATGGTCGGAGGATCCCTGCAGCAGCTTTAGGTTTCTTATTCTCTAACAACAACTCCCAAAGGCGAGAAAAGGATACTCCTTCTTTCCTGTGTGCCTTTATAAGGAGCAACTACACTGTTTCAGAGTGTTCTCAGTAACCACTTTCTCACTGGAATGACCGTGGGATCACACAGACTCAGACAAGCCAGGATTCAACCTGGCTTTGTAGAGTGGGCCTGAAGCACATGGGGAGAAAAGGAGCAAAATCATATATTTTTAAAAATAAAGAAATGGTGGATGGAGTAGGAGAGGTTGATTTCAGAGTAGGGAAATGATAGATTGTGGTACTCTTAGGTTGTTAGTATTTGTAGTTAAATTTCACATGAAGGCCTAGAGATTCCTGATAGGCACCCTCCATTCAGCGTTTTGGGTCTTTTTTAATACATATGTATTGAGCATTAAATGTCTGCCATTAACTCAATTAGAATAAAACAAAAAAGCAAGGAGAAAGGATTGATTTTAGAACTCAATTAGGTATGCTGACATGTTGTTTTTACAGGGAAATTTTTGAAAAAAGTAGAATAAGGAATGACTAGCTCTATAAGGTGCTAAAACATACTATACATTTATTTTTAAAAATACATTTGTTGGCCGGGCACGGTGGCTCACGCCTATAATCGCAGCACTTTGGGAGGCCAAGGCAGGTGGATCACAAGGTCAGGAGATCAAGACCATCCTGGTTAACACGGTGAAACCACATCTCTACCAAAAATACAAAAAACAAAATTAGCCGGGCATGGTGGTGGGCACCTGTAGTCCCAGCTACTCTGGAGGCTGAGGTGGGAGAATGGCGTGAACCCGGGCAGTGGAGCTTGCAGTGAGCCCAGATCACGCCACTGCACCCCAGCCTGGGCGCCAGAGTGAGACTCCGTCTCAAAAAATATATATATACATTTGTTACTGATTCTTTATTTTTTATTAAATATGCTAGTAGAACAGAGTCTAGAATTAGAACCAGAAAGAGTTGAGATTTAGTTTCAGTTTGTGGTAAGTTGTATTCCAAAGTCATTTCTTTCACCGAATGGATCCTGGATGAATAAAAATTGAAACATCAAGAGAAAATATAAAATCCCCAAGACAGATGTTATTTCTAATACTGTCGTCATCATTATAATTATGTTTGAAGATGAATAGACTTTCTAAACCCTTACGTGTTGCTGGTGGGAGTGTATGATTTTACAAATACCTGGAAATTTGGCAATTTCTTTAAAAGTTTAACATATGTTTGCCATATGACCCAGCAATTTCACTCCTTGGAATCTACCTAAGAGACATAAAAACGTATGTCCTCACAAAGATATGTGTTCAAGTGTTCGGAACAGCCTTAGCTGTAGTTGGCCCAAACTGAAAACAATCCAAATATCCTTCAACTAGTAAATGGACAAACAAAATGGATCAACTACATCCATGCAAGGCAATATCATTCAACAATAAAAGGGAACAAAACTAGACTTATCTGGCAGAGGAGATACCATGAACATGAGGGTAGTTTTCCCAAGGCAAGTTTCAACCCTTGCACTCTAGATGATGAGAGATTACTTAATGGGTACAATGCATGTGATTTAGGTGATGGATACTGTGGAACACTGACTTCAACACTACACAATCTACGCAGGTAATAAAGCTACACTTGTACCTTATACATTTACACAAATAAAAAAAGAGAAAATAAATAAAAAGAAACGAAATGAAAAGGGACAAACTACAAACTGATGAACTTCAATAATGTTAACTAAGTGAAGGAAACTGGACACAAAAGGTTACATAACGTATGATTTCATTTACTTGAAATATGTAGAAGAGGTAAATTGATAGATGCAAAAAGCAGATCATTGGGTGCCTAGGGCTTGGGGTATCGGTGGGAATTAACTATAAATAGATAAATTTTGGACATAACAGAAATGTTAAAAAACTGGATTGTTGTGATAATTGCACAAATCTATTGATTTACTAAAATCATTAAAATTTACATATAGAATGAATGAATCTCATAGTATGTAAATTAAGCCTTAGGAATCTTGTTAAAATAATTCTTTTTTTAAAAAATAAGACTTTGTAAGCAAGACAAAATCCAGAAGACACAAATGGAAAAATATTTTAAGAAAATTACTTACTTCTTTTCCTGAAGAAAATAACAAAATTAAAAGAAGTATATGAAGCTCAGAAAAAATTTTGATCACATAAGACAGAAAATGGGCTAACTTTCTTAGGAAAATTGTTAACTGATCAATAAATTAATTAATGGAAATGCCATGGAAAGTTGGGCAAAGCATATAAACTGAGTATAGAAGAGAATATTCCAATAGTCAATAAATATTTGCTCAAACTCACCAACGAACGGAAAAATCCAAATTCAAATAGCAATTTCTCCCCCCGCCAAAACTGGAAAATACAATAGTTTGTTTTAAAATCAAGGACTTAGAAGATTCTATGGGAATAGATTCTCCTATATTATTAAGATTGTGAGTAGATGGCAGTGTGCTACTAAAACTCAAAATGCAATTGTTACGTGCTGGATGAAAACAACAAAAATCCCATTCTAAACATCTGTCTTAAGGAAACAATCCTACATGAGCCCAAAGAAATATAAAATTGGTCGTTTTGAGCCATGGTTTGCAATAACAAAAACATTTCCAAATTCTAAAAGAAAAACTGATTAATTTGTCTTGATTATAAAACTTTTGCACATCATAAAAAACCATGCAGTATGTGAAGTGACAGCACACTGCAGGATGACATTTGGTGCTGTGTGGGGCACTGTGAGCATATATTGGTGTAACCCTGTGAGTCATTTGGATAATACAGTATTTCCACTCTAAGTTTTTACAGTCTTAGTACATTTTTTCTTGTATGTCTATGATGACATATAAAAAATGAAACAGGAGAGAAAATAAACATTCTCAATATTTGGAAGAAAGGTAAATTGTGGTATAGACGTAGAAAGGAATAATATTCAGGGCTTTAAGTAAATTATGTAGGACTATCAACACGGATTGGAAAAAAATCATAGAACTTAATGCCAATTAGGAGGTAGAAAATTACAAGAATTGTCACTGTTACTATAAGAACAAAAAAAATATAAATTAGACTAAATGGATAAACTGGAAAATAATCTTATTTTTAAAATTTTAATGAGCCATAGATCAAAAAGTATAAAAATTCCAAATTCCAGAGATGAACAAATTCCACTTAGGTGAGCAGGGACAAATGTCCACTCTTATTCTTTGGTCCATCTACGGAATCTTAACATGGGGGGAAAATTGAGCCTGGCTGAGAAAGGGAGACAGGGACTGAAGACAAAGCAGCTGAGTTGTAAATAGCCCTGTGGGCTTGTGTGATAGATTACAATCTATAGAGGCCCCCTGAATAATATACATCTACTTTACCCTGCCAGCTGAGTCTCCTTCCAGAACTTTTTCTGGCTTCATGCTGGTGGTGTGGGAACTAGGGCCGTACATAGAAGACAACAAACATCTCTGTAGCTTCGTGCAAACAAAGATCAGGAAGGAAATCAAGATAGGAACAATCTTTCAACCATCTTGACTTAGCTGGCATTTATAATTGACATATATACTGATATCTGAGAACTACAGAATGTTTATTTATTTACATTGCACAAAGATTATTCATGAAATAGAACAAATACTATGACTATAAAAGTAGTCTCAATTACTTTTACAAGAATAAAATCATACAGAGTATATTATCTGAACACAGTCTTATCAAATTACAAATAAGTAAGATGAAGAACATTGCCCAAATTTTTGGAAGTAAAATAATACATTTCTAAATAGCCTGTGGCTTGTCAAATAAAATCAGAAGGAAAATTAGGACATAATTTTAAATAAAATAATACCAAAATGAATATTTAAAATTTGTCTTATGCAACCAAGGCAGTCCTTAGAAAAAATATTTAGCTTTAAATGCTTGTATTATAAAAGGATACAACATTGGAGGTTACGTTTTAACATGAGATTTGGAGGGGACAAACATCCAAACTATATCAATAACGTAATTGGTTTAATGTAGAGTGACTTTGTATCCAGCAACCTTATTTATATTTACTTATTAAATCTATGAGTTTGTCTATTATTTTTATTTTTCAAGTACCTGATTAGGTCAAGAGTAAATAATGACAATTTTACGTGGATGCAATTAGTATCTCTTTCATATGTCTTTCTTGCCATTTTCATGGTCTGACTCCTCTACTACTCCAGATATGAAAGAGACAGTTTTACATATTTCACTGCTGAGACTAATGTGTGCAATAGGTTAGCAATCACTTCTTAGATTGAAGAAATACCTTTTAAATACAAGTTCGCAAACAGATTTTTATTTATTTATTTATTTTTGAGACGGAGCTTTGCTCTTGCTGCCCAGGCTGGAGTGCAGTGGCACGATCTCAGCTCACTGCAACCTCTGCCTTCCAGGTTCAAGCGATTCTCTTGCCTCAGCCTCCCGAGTACCTGAGGCTACAGGCACGCAGCACCACGCCCGGCTAATTTTGTGTATTTGCTAGAGACAGGGTTTCGCCTTTTGGTCAGGCTGGTCTCGAACTCCCGACCTGAGGTGATCCACCCAACTCAGCCGCCCGAAGTGCTGGGATTACAGGCATGAGCCACCGCTCCTGGCCAGATTTTTAAAAAATTAAGGCCAAGTGCTGAATTCTGTCAAATAATACTTCAAGACTCTATTAAGGTGGTTGCATGTGTATTCTCCTTCCTTCAGTTAATGTAGTGAATCACACTAACTGAGTCTCAAATGTTCCAACAACCTTGAATTTCTGGGATAAACTTCACTTGGTCATGATGTAGTAGCCATCTTTTATGCCACTGAATTCAGTTGGCTAATATTTTCTTAAGAACTTGGCTGATAAGAGTTATTGGTCTATAAATTCCTATTTGTTGTAGAGTTCTTTTCAGGTCTTGAAGTAAAGTTTACACAGATCTCGTTAAACGTAACTGCAAGTATTTTTCCTTTTTTCAAATATGTTTGAAGTTTGCGTAAAGTTAGTGTTGTTTGTTCCTTAAATAGTTTAAAATAGTTACTGAAACTGGATGAGCCTGCGGTTTTGTCTTGGGAAAACTTTATGGAATGGGCTTACTTTCTCTATGAGATGTGGAACTCTTCATATTTTATGTTATTTGTCAGCTTCAGTACATTGTACATTTTGAGCAATTTATTCATTACATGCAAATTTATTTTGTAAAGTTGTTAACATTATTTCATGCTGATAAATCCATAAGATTATAACAAAAGATATGAAATTTGTGTCACTGAAGTCTTAGAGGGAGATGACAAATGGGTGATGCCCAAAGAGTGTTTGAAGGAAGATTGACTACTTTCCAAATTTGGACAAAGTCTTAAATGTAAAAATTCAAGAATCTGTGCAAACCCAAAAGAAGATAAATCCAAAGAAATTTAGACCAAAAAACTCTTTTTTTTTTTTTTTTGAGACGGAGTCTTACTCTGTCGCCCAGGCTGGAGTGCAGTGGTGCGATCTCGGCTCACTGCAAGCTCCTCCTCCTGGGTTCAAGCCATTCTCCTGCCTCAGCCTCCCCCAAAAAACTCTTGAAAGCAACAAGAGAGAAATGACATCTGATGCATAGGAGAAAATAAATTAAGTAACAGTGGATTGCTCATTAGAAATCATGCAGACCAGTCAGAAGTGGCACAAGTTATTTTAATGGCTGAAAGTAATGTTAACCTAGAATGTATAACCAGAAAAATATTATTATAAAATGAAGGTTCTATCATGACATTCTTTATTTTTGTTTGGTTTTGTTTTTAGATGGAGTCTTGCTCTTTCATCCAGGCTCAAGAGCAGTGGCGTGACCACGGCTCACTGCAGCCTCTGCCTCCCAGGCTCATGCGATCCTCACACCTCAGCGTCCTGAGTAGCTGGGATTACAGACACATACCACCATGCCTGGCTAATTTTTGTATTTTCTGCTGAGACTGGGTTTGCTCATGTAGCCCAGGCTGGTCTCAAACTCCTGAGCTCAGGGGATCCACCTACCTTGGCCTCTCAAAGTGCTGGGGTTACAGGCATGAGCCATCACACCCGACCATGACATTCTTAGAGGAAGGAAAATCAAGAGAATTTGATGCTAGCAGACTTACCCTAAAACAAGAGCTAAAGGAAGTGCTTGAATTTGAATAGAAAGGATAATGGAAGAAATCTTGGATGATCAGGAAAAAAATAAACAATAGAATGATTAAAAATATGGGTTGAGACAACAGACTTCTCTTCTTCAGTTTTGTAAATTAATTTGATTGATGGTTGAGGCAAAAATTACAACACTGTCAGATGTGGTTTTTGATGCAAGTAGAGAAAATAAAAAATGTATATTTAAATGCAAGAACGGAAAGGGATATAAAGGAGGTAAAGTTTCTACACTTTAGTCAAATTGACAAAATGTCAGCACCGGTAGACTATGATAAGTTATGTTAATAGATAGATAAATCACAAAAGCTATACAATGAGATACACCAAAAAAATGATTGATTACAAAATGGAATTCTAAAAATCGCTTAAGGAACACATCAAAAAACAGGAAAAGCAAACAAAGAAACTAAAACCAAAGGAAACAAAAAAGAAAACAAAAAGCAGATGGCATTCATAAGAACCCACATACTAATAATTGCATTACATGTAAATTGTCTGAAAAGACAAACGTCAGAGTGAAAAATAATGAACCATAGATACACTATCTATTGTGTCCAAATTTTGTTCCTTCCGGTGGGTTCATGGTCTCATTAACTTCAGTGGGGTTTGTGGTCTCACTGGCTTCAAGAATGAAGCTGTAGACCTTCGTGGTGAGTGTTACAGCTCTTAAAGTTGGCACTGACCCAAAGAGTGAGCAGTAGCAAGATTTATTGTGAAGAGCAAAAGAACAAAGCTTCCACAGTGTGGGAGGGGACCCAAGCAGGTTTCTGCTGCTGGCTGGGGTGGCCAGCTTTTATTCCCTTACTTGTCCCCACCCATGTCCTGCTGATTGGTCCATTTTACAGAGTACTGATTGGTCCATTTTACAGAGTGCTGACTGGTCCATTTTACAGAGTGCTGATTGGTCCATTTTATAAACCTCTAGCTAGCCACAGAGCGCCAATTGGTGAGTCTTTACAGAGCACTGATTGGTGCATTTTACAAACCTCTAGCTAGCCACAGAAAAGTTCTTCAAGTCCCTACCCAACCCAGAAGTCCAGCTTGCTTCACCTCTCCCTATTAGAAACTTACTGCAAATATTACAAGAGTGGAAGGTTGAAATAGAAGAATGGAAAAAAATAAACCATACAAACATCTGTCAAAGAAAGCAGAAATTGCTATAGTATCAGATAACATAAAATACACAGAGCAATGGATATTCTAAGAGACAAACAGAAACACTAAATAAAGATAAAAGTGTTGATTCAGAATGAAGACATAGCAACTCGAAATGTGTGTGCATCAAAAAACTGAGTTACAAATAAGTAGAGCAAAAATGGTCAGAACTGGAAGGAGAAATAGACAAATACACAGTTAAACTTTGAGACTTCACAAACCATCTCTGAAATATTAATAAAACAACTGTACAAAACCTCAGCCAGATAATGAAACCCAACAAAACTATCCACCAATAAGATCTAATATACCTTTACAGACCACCACACCAAATAGAAGAATACAGATTTTTAACTGTCCATGGAATATTTACCAATGTAGATCACACACTGGACCATAAAATAAACCTCAACAAATGTGAAAGAATTGAAATCATACAGACCTTGTTCTCTGGAAGCAATGGAGTTGAACCAGAAATCAATAACATGAAGAAAATCAGTACAACTGAAAACACATGGAAACAAAAAACATACTTTTAAATTACCTGTGGATCAAAAAAGATGTCTTAAGGAAAATAAAAAATGTATTCAACTAAGTGAAAATGAAAGTATAACATATCAAGATCTTTGGTACATAGCTAAAGCAGTGCTTTGAAAAACTATTTATAGTACAAAATGTACACACTGAAAAAGAGAAAAGGTCAGAAACCAATAATCTCAGTTCCCACCTCAAGAATCTAAAAAAGTAGTCCAAAATAACCTAAAGCAAGAAGGAAAAAAAAAAAAGAATATGAGAGCAGAACTCTGGCGCTCATGCCTGTAATCCCAGCATTTTGGGAGGCCAAGGCAGGCAGATCACCTGAGGTCGGGATTTCCAGACCAACCTGACCAACATAGGAAAACACCTATGCCAACTCATTTTCACAAAGAATCATAATAATTCAATGGAGGTAATATAGTCTGTAGTCTTTTCAAAATATGGTCCAGGAGAAAGTGGAAATCCATAGACAAACCAAAACCAAACAAAATAAAAAAGGAAGCAAAAGGAAAAAGACACAAGAAAGAGACTTAACAAATTCTCACATCTTATGAAAACATTTACCCCCAATTAAATCATGTCTACATGTTAAAGATTTAGAAAAAACATATGAGAAAATCATCAGGAGCTAGGGCCTGGTGTCTGTGTTCTGAGTTCATAGACATGACACCAAAAGCGCTATGTGTAAAAAACAAAAGCACAGGCTGGGCAAAAAATTAGCCAGGCACAGTAGTGGGTGCCTGTAGTCCCAGCTACTCGGGAGGCTGAGGCAGGAGAATGGCTTGAACACCGGAGGCGGTGCTTGCAGTGAGCCGAGATCATGCCACTGCGTTCCAGCCTGGGCAACAGAGCAACACTCTGTCTCAGAAAAAAAAAAAAAACACACACACACACACACAAACACAAAAAACAAACGAAATCAATAGATGGAGCTTTATCAAAATTTAAAACTGTTTTTCTGTAAGGTATCCTGCTAAAAAATGAAAAGTAAGCTAGAAATATGGAGAAAATATTTAAAACCACATATATTACCAAGAATACATTATCTAGAAAGTATAATCAACTATAAGAGCTCTACTATAAAATCTATAGCATGCAGAATTCAGGAACTAAATACCGGGCACCTGTCAGCCAGTTAAAAGTGACTAGTGCAGCTGCTGGACTAAGGACACCAGTGACAGGCTTTCCGGGAAAGGGCTCTCGAACAAACCCAACTCTTTGGAGTTGGGAGCATTGGTTTGCCTAGAACCAGCTTCTGCTTTTCCTGTACTTCCGGGCTGAGCCGAGTATCAACAGAGAGGAAAGCCATTCAGCTCTGTGGTCCCGACAACAAGTTGGTTGACCCTGCGGCCATGAGCAGAATTCTCAAAGTCATGTCGCGCAAGAGAGACTCGCCCATATATCCTATCTATCCTGACCCTTGCCTCCTGGGTCCTAACGCCTGTCAGACAAACTTCCTCTCACCTCTGTTCTCTGAGGCTAGTCCTGCTTCTAAAAACCACTCCCTGTCTCTGGTGCTTTTCTAGTTTCTCCTATAAGAATGATTTCTAGTATAAACTCCAGGACTCTATTCCCTTCTTTAGGCACCTGGACTCACCAATCAGAAAGATATAATTTTTGCCCAAAGCCCCGTCAAGGAGGGGACTCTCTGGAATTTTAGGATCCCTCCTCAGACTAGCAGACCTAACAAAAGCTATTCCTGAAGCTAGGATATGGGGAGCTTCAGAAATGGTATCTTTCCTATTCATATAAGTGAGGACAAAAAGCGTCACTCTTCCAACTCTGGAGATCCCTTCCCTCCCTCAGGGTGTGGCCCTCCACTTCATTTTTGGGGCATAACATCTTTATAGGACAGTGGTAAGATCCCAATACTAACAGGAGAATGCTTAGGACTCTAACAGGTTTTCGAGAATGCGTCAGTAAGGGCCACTAAATCTGACTTTCCTTCCTAGACCTCCTTGTGGTCTAGGAGGAAAACTAGTGTTTCTGCTGCTGCATTGGTGAGTACAACTATTCTGATCAGCAGGGTCCAGGGACCATTGAGGGTTCTTGGGCAAGAGTTGTTTTTGCTGCTGCATCAGAGAGTGTAACTATTCCAATCAGCAGGGTCCAGGGATGGTTGCAGGTTCTTGGGCAAGAGGTGTTTCTGCTGCTGCATCGTTGAGTGCAACTGTTCCAATCAGCAGGGTCCAGGGACCATTGGGGTTCTTAGGCAGGGGGAGAAACAAACAAACCAAAACCACAGGCGGTTTTGTCTTTCAGTTGGGAAACACACAGGAATCAACAGGCTCACCCTTGAAATGCATCCTAAGCCATTGGGACCAATTTGACCCACAAGCCCTGAAAAAGAGGCAGCTCATTTTTTTCTGCACTATGACTTGGCCCCAATATTCTCTCTCTGATGGGGAAAAACGGCCACCTGAGGGAAGTACAAATTGCAATACTATCCTGCAGCTTGACCTTTTCTGTAAGAGGGAAGGCAAATGGAGTGAAATACCTTATGTCTGAGCTTTCTTTTCATTGAAGGAAAATACACAACTATGCAAAGCTTGCAATTTACATCCCGCAGGAGGACCTCCCAGCTTACCCACATATCCTAGCCTCCCTATAGCTCCCCTTCCTATTAATAAGCCTTTTCCAATCTCCCCCACCCAGACGGAAACAAGCAAATAAATCTCCAAGGAACCACAAAACGCCCCTATCAGTTATGTCGCCTTCAAGCTTTAGGGGGAGGGGAATTTGGCCCAACCCAGGTACACGTCCCCTTCTCCCTCTCTGATTTAAAGCAGATCAAGGCAGACCTGGGGAAGTTTTCAGATTATCCTGTTAGGTACACAGATGTCCTACAGGGTCTAGGGCAAACCTTCGATCTCACTTGGAGAGATGTCATGCTATTGTTAGATCAAACCCTAGCCTTTAATGAAAAGAATGTGGCTTTAGCTGCAGCCTGAGAGTTTGGAGCTACCTGATATCTTAGTCAAGTAAATGATAGAATGACAGCTGAAGAAAGGGACAAATTCCCTACTGATCAGCAAGCCATCCCCAGTATGGATCCCCACTATGATCTAGACTCAGATCATGGGGACTAGAATCGTAAACATCTTTTGACCTGTGTTCTAGAAGGACTAAGGAGAATTAGGAAAAAGCCTATAAATTATTCAATGATGTCCACCATAACTCAGGGAAAAGAAGAAAATCCTTCTGCCTTCCTTGAGTGGCTATGGGAGGCCTTAAGAAAATATACTCTCCTGTCACCCACTCACTCAAGGGTCAATTGATCCTAAAAGATAAGTTTATTACCCAATCAGCCGCAGATATCAGGAGAAAGCTCCAAAAGTGAGCCCTGGGCCCTGAACAAAATCTGGAGGCATTATTAAACCTGGCAACCTTGGTGTTCTATAGTAGGGACCAAGAGGAATAGGCCAAAAAGGAATAGCGAGATCAGAGAAAGACCGCAGCTTTAGTCATGGCCCTCAGACGAATAGACCTTGGTGATTCAGAAAAGATAGAAAATGGAGCAGGCCAGTCACCTGGTAGGGCTTGTTATCAGTGTGGTTTACAAGGACACTTTAAAAAAGATAGTCCAATGAGAAAAAAGCCACCCCCTAGCCCATGTCCTCTATGCCAAAGAAGTCGCTGGAAGGTGCGCTGCCCCAGATGACAAAGTTTCTCTGGGCCAGAAGCCCCCAACCAGATGATCCAACAACAGGACTGAGGGTGCTTGGGGCAAGCACCAGCTCATGTCATCACTCTCACTGAGCCTTGGGTATGTATAACCATTGAAGGCCAGGAAATTGACTTCCTCCTGGACACTGGCGTGGCTTTCTCAGTGTTAATCTCCTGTCCTGGACAGCTGTCCTCAAGGTCCATTACTATCCAAGGAATCCCGGGAAAGGCTGTAACCAGGTATTTCTCCCACTTCCTCAGTTGTAATTGGGAGACTTTGCTCTTTTCACATGCCTTTCTTGTTATGCCTGAAAGTCCCATACCCTTATTAGGGAAGGACATATTAGCCAAAGCTGGAGCCATTATCTACATGAATGTTGGGAAAAAGTTACCCATTTCTTGTCCCCTGATTGAGGAGGGAATCAACCCTGAAGTCTGGGCACTGGAAGGAGCACACTCAAGCTCCAGCCTTAAGCCTTCCCACAGGAAAAGTCTTCTGAAATAAGACAATGCCTTTCAAACTCTTATACCAACCTCTGGAGTTGAGCAACATGGCTTCTCCCTTTCTAGGTCCCACGGCAGCCATCTTGCTATTACTCGCCTTTGGGCCCTGTATTTTTAACCTCCTTGTCAAATTTGTTTCCTCTACAATCGAGACCGTCAAGCTACAGATGGTCTTACAAATGGAACCCCAAATGAGCTCAACTAGCAACTTCTACCGAGGACCCCACCTGACCCAGAAGCCCAGCCAGCTTCACCTCTCACTAGAGCTACTTAAAATATAAACATTTAGAAAATCTGGATGAAAGGGTACACATATGTTCTCTGTTCTGTCTTTGCAATTTCCTGTGATTCTATAATGATTTCAAAGTAAAACATTTTTAGAAAGCATTTTTTAAAAATTTTATTATTATTATACTTTAAGTTTTAGGGTGCATGTGCACAATGTGCAGGTTTGTTAGATATGCACACATGTGCCATGTTGGTGTGCTGCACCCATTAACTCATCATTTAGCATTAGGTATATCTCCTAATGCTATCGCTCCCCCCTTCCCCAACCCCACAACAGTCCCCGGTGTGTGATGTTCCCCTTCCTGTGTCCATGTGTTCTCATTGTTCAATTCCTACCTATGAGTGAGAATATGCAGTGTTTCGTTTTTTGTCTTTGCTATAGTTTGCTGAGAATGATGCTTTCCAGTTTCATCCATGTCCCTACAAAGGACATGAACTCATCATTTTTTATGGCTGTGTAGTATTCCATGGTGTACATGTGCCACATTTTCTTAATCCAGTCTATCATTGTTGGACATTTAGGTTGGTTCCAAGTCTTTGCTATTGTGAATAGTGCCACAATAAACATACGTGTGCATGTGTCTTTATAGCAGCATGATTTATAGACATTTGGGTATATACCCAGTAATGGGATGGCTGGGTCAAATGGTATTTCTAGTTCTAGATCCCTGAGGAACCACCACACTGACTTCCACAATGGTTGAACTAGTTCACAGTCCCACCAACAGTGTAAAAGTGTTCCTATTTCTCCACATCCTCTCCAGCACCTGTTGTTTCCTGACTTTTTAATGATTGCCATTCTAACTGGTGTGAGATGGTATCTCATTGTGGTTTTGATTTGCATTTCTCTGATGGCCAGTGATGGTGAGCATTTTTTCATGTGTCTTTTGGCTGCATAAATGTCTTCTTTTGAGAAGTGTCTGTTCATATCCTTTGCCCACTTTTTGATGGGGTTGTTTGTTTTTTTTCTTGTAAATTTGTTTGAGTTCTTTGTAGATTCTGGATATTAGCCCTTTGTCAGATGAGTAGATTGCAAAAATTTTCTCCCATTCTGAAGGTTGCCTGTTCACTCTGATGGTAGTTTCTTTTGCTGTGCAGAAGCTCTTTAATTTAATTAGATCCCATTTGTCAATTTTGGCTTTTGTTGCCATTGCTTTTGGTGTTTTAGACATGAAGTCCTTGCCCATGCCTATGTCCTGAATGGTATTGACTAGGTTTTCTTCTAGGGTTTTTATGGTTTTAGGTCTAACATTTAAGTCTTTAATCCATCTTGAATTAATTTTTGTATAAGGTGTAAGGAATTAAAAAGCATTTTCTATTTTCTGACTGAAATCCAAAACTCTCACAGAACCAAATGCTGGCAAGGATTTAGAAAATCAAGGACTCTGATTCATTGCTGGTGGGAATGCAAAACAGTACAGCCACTTTGAAAGACTCTCTGGCTGTTTGTTACAAAGCTAAACACAATCTTACTATACAATCCAGCAATGGCACCTCTGAGCAAATGAGTGGAAAACTTATGTCCACACAAATACCCATACATGGATGTTTATAGCAGTCTTATTCATAATTGCCAAAAACTCGAAGCCCCCAAGATGTCCTCAATAGGTGAGTGGATAAAGAAATTGTGATATATCCATACCATGGGATATTGTTCAGCAGTAAAGAGAAATAAGCTACCAAGCTATGAAAACACATGGAGGAAACTTATAGGCATATTGCTAAGTGGAAGGAGCCAGCCTGAAAAAGCTCTATACTGTAAAATCACAACTATATGACACTGTAGAAAAGGCAAAAATACAGAGAGTAAATAGACCAGGAGTTCAGGAGGAGAAGAGATGCGTGAATACGTTGAGTCTCAGGCATAGTTAGGGAAATTATTTTGTATGATGCTTTTGTTACTGAAATACCGTGGATTTGTCTAGCTCCTTTTGAGACGGAGTCTTGCACTGTCACCAGGCTGGAGTGCAGTGCCAAGATCTCAGCTCACTGCAACATCCACCTCCCCCGTTCAAGCAATTCTCCTGCCACAGCTTCCCAAGTAGCTGGTATTACAGGTACCCGCCACCCCCAGCTAATTTTTATATTTTTAGTAGAGATGGGGGTTTCACCATGTTGGCCTGGATGGTCTCCATCTCTTGACCTCATGATCTGCCCGACTTGGCATCCCAAAGTGTTGGGATTACAGGCGTGAGCGACTGTGCCTGAAAGACACTCTGGCTGTTTCTTACAAAGCTAAACATACTCTGCCATAAGATTCAGCAATTGCAATCCTAAGTATTACCCAAATTAGTGGAAAATTCTGTCCACACAAACAAGTGTACACCGATGTTTATAGCAGCTTTATTCATAATTGCCAAAAATTCAAAGCAACCAAGATGTCCTCCAGTAAGTGAGTGGATAAACAAATTGTGGTAGATCCATATCATGGGTTATTATTTAAAATTACAGAGAAATAAGCTATCAAGCTATGAACAGACATGAAGAAAACCTATACGCATATCGTTAAGTGAAAGAAGCCAGTCTAAAAAAAACTATATCCCATATGATTACAACTATATAACATTCTGGAAAAGGCAAAAATACAGAGACAGTAAATAGTGGTTTCCAGGGGTTCAGGAGGAAGAGAAATGAATGAGTAGGTGGAGCCTGGGACAATTTTAGGTCAGCAAAACTACTTCGCAGGATACTTTTGTTACTGAAACACCAGGGGTTTAGTCTAGGTCTTGCACACAAGGGCTTTGGTCTGGATCTTGCTGCTCACCACACACAAAGCCAATCACTGAGATGACAATGAGTACTGCCAAAGAAGAAGGCTTTAATCTTTAATCAGGTGCTGCAGCTGAGGAGATGGGAGACCAGTGTCAAATCCATCTCTGTGACTGACTAAAATTAGGAGTTTATCTAGCAGGGAAGAAATGTAACTATGTATGGGAAAACAGGAACTAGGGAAGGGTAAGGGAACAATCATGATGAATGGGGAACCTGGAGTCTCATTGTCTGGATGAGATGATCTGGTGAGTTCCAGTTCTTTGATACTTTTTAAGAGGCCTGGGGGATCTTTTTTTGGAAAGCAATTCAGATAAGACAAATGTAAGTTTAAATTTAAGATCAGAAGTGTCCATTTAAATGCAGATTTAAAAGAAAAACTGTCTATGGGACTCGGGTCAGTTCGACTTTAATGGTGGATATATGATGTTATGTATTGATCAAAACCCACAGAGCTGTATAATATGAATGAACCCTAATTCAACTATGGACCTCAGTTAACGTAAGTATCAGTATTGGTTCATCATTTGTAACAAGCGTACCACACTGATGCAGGATGTTAATAATAGGAGAAATTGAGCAGAGGGCTGTTTTAGGGAAGAAGGGATGTGGGAAGTCCCTGAAATTTCTCCGCAATTTTTCTCTACACTTTAAACTACTTTAAAAATGGTCTTGTTACATGGAATGATATAGATTTATTTTTGCTTTTTTATTCCATATTTGTCTGCATTTGACTGCATTCTGTATTGCTCATCTACTTATTTTATATTAAAATTATAGATATGTTACAAAATATGTATGCCGATTCTATCTCTAACATTCTCAAAATTCTGCTTGGATTCTATAAACCATAGGTAGAGAAACGTGTTATTTATTAGTAAGTCTTACAAGGTCATGCCGCCTTGGTGTGTGATTGTTTTATTTTATAAAATTCGGCTGTAGAAATTTTGAGGAAAACAATGGAAAGTTTAGTTTTTGCAATATTTTATTATCACCAAACATGGTACCTAATTACTTTGCTTACATTTTTCCTTTAATTCTGATTATAATTCAATGTAGTAAAAATTAACAGCAGTATTTTTATGAGGAATCTGAGGCTAAGATAAGTAGGATACAAGTGAAAACATACCTAGTATATGATACAGCCCAGATGAAATCCAAATCTAACTCAACGTTTATTTGCAGTCTATCTCACTGTCATTGATAATTCACCTTTATGGTTTGTGGTAGGTTCTAGTAACCATTTTAGAAATAAGTATCATCATACTTTTACAGACAAATGAGCAATAGCTCACTGTTTTTCTAATATTTTCTTCTCATCTTAATGCCGTATCCTGCCACTGCTCCCATTACTCAGTTTTTCCACCCAAATACATATGTCCAAATATATGATGGTTTCAGTAATAAGTCAGACTGTTCTCCTGGTAATAAAACAGGCATCCAAGGCTTTTTCTAAAGGAACAGGCAATGTCAGTCTGCAGTGTCTAATCTCATTCCTCTTTAAGTCTGGAATGAGAAATGCTGATATGTAAATCTTGTAATATTTGTGGGTCTTCTTCTCATTCTGCTCCACAGTCTACCCCCTATCTCCTCCTCTCCATCTGTCTCACCCATTCTCAGAGGCCAAATCCCAGGGTTTCAGATTCACTACACTGAAGATACAGACATGTCTTTGACTTGCAGGCTGAAGAACTAAAAACTGATTCTGAACCGATTGCCCAATAGAGATCTCCCAACAAACAAACCTTACTTTAGCATTGTCCTGCTGAGGACTAGACCACAGCAACAGAATTGCCTGCACTTGCTCAGAAATAGACCAAGCCCAATGAGCCTGGATATTTCTAATTAATTCTGTTACTAAGAAGTGCACGAATTCTCCATTGTTGTCTAACTTGGAAGAAAGAATTCAGCCAAGAGATGCATAGCAATGGTTGAGTAGCAGAGTTTATTGAAGGAAAATAAAGTGCATTCCTAGAGAGAAGTGGAAAACAGTTCTGACTGTTCCAGCTGGAAAAATAGTAGCAGTGTTTATTTAAAGAGACAGTACGCTCTGGAAGAGGAGACAGAGTGGGCTGCTCAAAAGAAGGAGCCAGCAGCAGCCAGTGCTGACGGACTCTCTTTATGAGAATCTCACATGATTATTCATGAAGGGGCCTGAGGGGTGTCACTTGCAAGCATGTTTCAGGAGGACTCTTTGGGTGCGCATGCTCTGTCTTGTACTTGCTACTGTATATGTTGCATGTCTCAGTATTTAAAATCTCCACCCAGAGCTGTGTTTTTTACTATCATAGTGAGCAAAAGGCTATTCTAGGTAAGTTATTGGAGGAATGCACAATTTCATTAGTGGAGAAAGTCCCTGCCATGGCAATTTCTGGCTAGGACCTGATGAGTCCCCTCCAAGGCCGGATGGACCAACCACAAGGCCAGATGTAGCCAGTGTAGCCATTGCCCTTTTTGCTATTAGTGCACAGTGCTGACTGTCAGTGAGTGCTGACTCCAACACTTTTTTTCCCAGGGGCTCCCATTTCTGACTATCTGCCTTCTCTAACAATAACAGACCTTATATGATACATTCAACATTCAGACTATTCAGGATGAAGGGATCACACAAATCCTGCAGCTCCCCTCACTGCAAATAACCAGCTCAAACACCAGAAAATTCACCAAAGAACCATCAAAAATAGTATAGTATTTTGGAAAAATTACTATTTGAAGAAACTTGAAGCGATAAGTACATGAAAAATGTCCCCATAGAATGTTCAGAAAATTCCACAGTAGAAAAAGAATTCTATGTGGTATATTCCAGAAGCATTTCATGGAGACAATAAAATCATGGGAACAAGTTTTGAAAATGCTCCCATTAACCCTATTTCAGTATGTTATTGATAAACAATTACTTTTCTTTGCCACCTGTAATAGTTCATTCTTACATTGCCGTAAGAAAATACCTGAGACTGGGTAATTTATAAAGAAAAAGGGGCCAGGCGTGGTGGCTCACGTCTGTAATCCCAGCACTTTGGGAGGCCGAGGTGGGCAGATCACAAGGTCAAGAGATCGAGACCATCCTGGCCAACAAGGTGAAACCCCATCTCTACTAAAAATACAAAAAAAAAAAAATAGCTGGGTGTGGTGGCGTGCACCTGCAGTCCCAGCTACTCGGGAGGCTGAGGCAGGAGAATCACTTGAACTCGGGAGGCAGAGGTTGCAGCGAGCCAAGATCATGCCACTGCACTCCACCCTGGTGACAGAGCAAGACTCCATCTCAAAAAAACTAAAAACAAACAAACAAAAAATTTTCTTTTTTTTTTTCTTTTTCTCTTTTTTTTTTTTTTTTGAGACGGAATCTAGCTCTGTCGCCAGGCTGGAGTGCAGTGGTGCAATCTCGGCTCACTGCAACCTCTGCCTCCTGGGTTCAAGTGAGTCTCCTACCTCAGCCTCCTGAGTAACTGGGACTACAGCTGCATGCCACAATGCCTGGCTAATTTTTTTTTTTTTTTTGAGACTAGGTTTCGCTCTTGTTGTCCAGCCTGGAGTGCAATGGCACAATCTAGGCTCACCACAACATCTGCCTCCCTGGTTCAAGCAATTCTTCTGCCTCAGCCTCCTGAGTAGCTGGGATTACAGGCATGCACTACCATGCCCGGCTGATTTTTGTATTTTTTTAGTAGAGACGGGATTTCTCCATGCTGGTCAGGCTGGTCTCGAACTCCCAACCTCAGGTGATCTGCCCGCCTTGGCCTCCCAAAGTGCTGGGATTACAGGCTTGAGCCACCGCGCCTAGCCCCAGCTAATTTTTGTATGTTTAGTAGAGACAGGGTTTCACTGTGTTAGCCAGGAGGGTCTCAATCTCGTGACCTCGTAATCCACCCGCCTAGGTCTCCCAAAGTGCTGGGATTACAGGCATGAGCCACTGTGCCTGGCAGGAAAAAGGTTTAATTGACTCACAGTTCTGTATGGATGGGAAGCCCTCAGGCAACTTACAATCATGACAGAAGAGTAAGAAGACCATCTTACATGGCAGCAGGCAAGAGAGAATGTACCCATAGGAGGAACTGTCAAACACTTACAAAACCATCAGATCTCGTGAGAACTCACTCACTATCACAAGAACAGCATGAGGGAAATGGCCCCCATGATCTAATCACCTCCCATCAGGTCCCACACTGGACATGTGGAGATTATGGGGATTACAATTCAAGATGAGATTTGGGTGGGGAAACAGAGCCAGCCTAACCATGTCACTGTTACGAGATCATTGGCGTTTTGCTTTTCTTGCCAGAATCCTGTGACTGGTAATGCCTTTGCCTGAGTTTTGCTCGGGCCAGCTGAGCTCATTCCACCCACTTCGCCTGGCAGGCTGTGGTTCACACTACTGGCCTGGATCTGACACTTGCCAAAGGTCAGGTGGTGAGGGATATGTGAGCAAGTGAGCATGGGGTCCAGCCCCTGTGTAGAGCCAGGAATGTTGGCTGTGCAGGGTGGGCAGCTCTAGGCACCAGTATGGGTGCCAGCTGCCTGTGAGGCTGCAACTGGACCAGGTGCACTGCAAGCAGCTTCCACAGCTGGCACTGGGGAACATGGTGGCACCTGGAAGATTGGGAACCCCAGGAACCACAGGCCCCAAAAAGTAAGCCACAGCCCTGGCTCAGTGAGCTCCCAGGTTTGGGCTCCCTGAAGAGCCACAGCTCTTCTCTCCTTCTCTTTGCCCACAACATGGCGAGCAATGGGCATGTTTCAGCTATGTTTGTGTTACAGGTGTTTTAGCCTCACCGTTCAGCAGATCCCCAGTTCTTGTCCTGCGTCCAGGAAGAATGAGGTATGCAGACAAGCGGAGGGTGAGCAGGACAAAGAGGAGCTTTATTAAGCCATAGAACAGCTCCGAGACCTGCAGTGGGCAGCTCCTCTCCATAACCAGGTTGTCCCGACACCTGTTCAGCTCTCTGCAGAGAGGGTAGCTCCTCTCTGCAGCTGAACGTCCTATTCTCTCCTCAGTTCTCAGCAGAGAGGAGACCCTGGGGAGGGCAACTCTTCTCTGCAGCAAGTCATCCCTCATCTCCCTGTCCTCTCTCTTAGCTCTCTCCATCCTCTGCTCATGTCTGCCTGAGCCCAGGGCTTTTACAGGCCTCAAAGGGGAGGAAGTGAGGACCATGGACGGCCATGGGGAAGGCCCAGAAAAGGCACAAATTCTCACTCCTGTCAGCAGGACTGGCAGCCCAGCCTGGTGAGCAAGGCCTCACCAGGGACCTGCCTCTTTCTGACATAGAGGCTATTTGCCTCCCACCGCTATCCATGGCAACCAGGCTGCTCATGCCAAGGGGCACCTATAGGCCATGCCAGTTTCCCTCAGCCCGTCTTTCCTCAGCTTCCCCATGGCTGAGGTGGCAGGAGACTGGTATGTCAATGCAGCCCTGAGTGTGCACACACCCGGCCAGGCTGTGACAGCACTGGGGCTGGGCCCATCTCCACTCTGAGATCAGAGCGGGAGCTGGGAGAGACCAGGGGAGAGGCCAGGCAGTGGGAGCAGACACCCCGGAGCCTATAGGGACATGGAGGCCTTCTCAGCCTTGAGGGCGTGGAGTGCAGAGAGGCCTGGACCCTGCTGCGGGAGGGTCGGTCTCCTGCCCAATCCATGGAGCCTGCAGGTAGCCCCTGTCGCACCTTCTTGCAGCCTGGAGTGGGCAGCTCCACTCGCCGGGCCCAGGCTGGCATCTGGGGCAAAGGTGATGTCTCTGTAAGATCTTCTCCTAGAACTTAGGGGTGCCCAGGGACCTCCCTCGCCTGGATGGGGCTGGGGAGGCACCTTGGGGAGCAGATTGCGGCAGGACTTGGCCATGGGGAGCATCAGGCTTGGTGACCACCCCCGAGGGCACAACCCTGGGTGGCCTCAGGTACAGCCTCCTCCTGAGACCTAGGAACAGTGCTCCCTCAGCAGGGTGGGACAATGGCCTTGCTGCTGGATGAGTCCCCAAAGTGGGGCAACTCCCACTTCTCACCCCAGGCCCCTGAGAAATGGCCCCAGCTCCATGCCCTCCCCACAGCTGCAGGGTGAGAGCAGCAATGCAAGACTGGTGTAGGCTCCGGGCCTGGGGGCAGGTCCTGCCAGCTGCTCAAGGTTTGGGGCAGCGCAGTCAGCTGCTTCAGGGACACAAGGCACAGAGGACATGGGGCACAGGGGTCCCACCATGGCCACTGCTGCCACAGTCGTTCCTGCCACCACTGCTTGCAACTTCCCACTGCAACTAGCCACTCTGGAGAGCTCGCCACTGCCATCATCACCACCCTTTTATCCTAAAATGCTAAGGTGAACCTTAGATGGCTTTCCTAGATTGTCATCATCACAATTAGTTTATTTTTTTCACAAATTCTTTCTTCTTTTCTTTTTTCTTCCTTTGTGTTTTTTGTTTTTGTTTTTGTTTGTTTTTGACGGGATCTTCCTCTTGTCGATGATGATGAGGGGATTCTTTTGAAGGAACCAGAATTGCTACATAGTGGCTTTCTCAAATTATGTAATGATACCATTCATTAAAAGAAGTAGTCTTATTGCTATGCACACCCATAAATTATAGGGATATAAATAATTTTAATACAAGGAACATTATTCTCAGAAATAGAATGTGAAGGAGTATGATATAGTGGCTGAGCTTGAGGGGTAGATAATTTGGCTCACTCCATAGTGTACCTTTTACTAGCTTTGTACCTTTGGAAAAGTTGTTTTACCTCCATCTCTTTATTCTCTCCACCTGTAAGCATGAAAAGGGTGTTTATTTTACTGAGCTGATGTGAGAATGAAATAAACATATGAAGTATAGAAAGCCCTTAGTACAATTCTGAGTACAAAGTAAAATGCTTATTTCTGCTGCAGCATGGTGAGAATCCTGCCCCTGGAAACACTAAGGCACATAAGGAAGGAGTGCCTATCAGAACTGTGGTAGAGTGTGAATTAATGCAGAACTTTACATGTATAGTTGTACTATGAAGTCCATTCTGAATCTCAGATTTCACATTTATATTAATATAAAGCATAATAATTATCTAAATGTAGAATTATATGTTTAAAATTACATGAGTACATCAACTGATATAATTCATAGTTTTTCCCTAGGACTCTCTTTCCTGAACATTCTATAACGTATTAGTTAGCACAGTCTTCTTATATCTTCCCTTACGATAAAACAAGAGAAGCACAGTAGTAAAGGGCCATAGCCTCAGTCAAATGAGGAAATCCTAATGGGTACCAGGAATGAGGGATTAAACACTCTTCATGTAAAATATTAATTATTTTAAAACAGAGTTGTTCTGTCAACAGCTCACGTTGAGTCTTTGATCGATCTCTCAGCCCCCTGAATACTTGGATTGCACAGTTGACCTTATCACATTTTTAGGGTAAGTGCTGGACAAAGGCACCTTCAGAGCCTCCATTGCACATAGGTGGCCCCTGCAAGCCCCTTGCCTGTGTGTGTTCTGGAGCTGCCACTAAACTTGAGGGCAGCATCAGGAGACACACTTGAAAACAACCTTTTACTCAGATTAAATTATTAACTTTCCATTTCCTTTAACTTATTAAAGACATCCCCACCTGTAAACAGGTGCAGATTAAGCTCTCTAGTCAACAGCTGTCATTCTGTCATATCATCAGATACCCGGGGCTGCTGCTTCTTGAGGCATCCACAGAATCACAGCATTTTCCAGTATTGAAAGACCTAAAAGATCACGGTGCCTTCATTTCAACTGTGAGACATGAAATAATTTTCCCAAATCTACGACATTAAGATATGGTGCAATAAGGACCAGATTAAAGGTCTGCACATTTGCAACCATGTTCCCTCCATCTCATTTACTCCTAAACACGGTCACTGCTGCAAATACTTCTCTTGTCAAGTGGGAAATGAATGCTCTTACAAGGCTCAAACTTGTGAACACATCACTGACCAGCTCAGAGCTGGCTCACAATAGGGACCCAATTAAAATGTTTTACATGCAACTGGATCAAACCTTTTGAGTACTAAATTAAAACAATCCTTTAAAGAAGACAATTGTTTCAGAGGAGGACCTTCATACAGCATCTCTGACCAGCAACTGATGATGCTAGTGAACTCAGGTGCTGACTGGTTCTCCAACACGAGATTACCCAATCAAGGAGCAAGGAAATCAGTAACTTCCTTCCTATAATTTGGAATGTGGGTGGAGGGGGGCCATAGTTCTCCCTGATTGAGACTTGCCTGCTGCTGTGACCACTGGTCTTGTCCTCTTCTCCAGCATGGTGTGTCTGAAGCTCCCTGGAGGCTCCTGTATGGCAGCGCTGACAGTGACATTGACGGTGCTGAGCTCCCCACTGGCTTTGGCTGGGGACACCCAACGTAAGTGCACATTGTGACTGCAGAGCTACTATGGGGTGGGGGCAAAAATAGGAAGTTTTGTTAACATTGTGCCCAGGCTATGTCTCTTATGAAATTGTGACACTTTCTTCAGAGATTGCCCATCTTTATCAGATGGATCCCAAATTATTTCCACCACAAAAGGCGCTTGGCTACTTGTCCTGTCCATGAGATTTGTGTAAAGGGCCTACACACAGGTCATTTCTTCTCAAATCTCCACCAATAAAACCTATGCATCACATGTCCTCAGGGTCTTTAGAGGATTTAGAAATAAGTATGCTAAAATAATTTCCCCATACAGCACTTCCCTTTATTATGTTGACTTATGTCAGACAAAAGGAGGTTTTTACTGAAAATTTTGTGGGAGTCAAGGGAATTCAAAGGGTCTCTCCTAGACGATCCAGTGTTATGTCCTCCACAGGACCTTTGGTGTTGGCCCCTCTTCCTCATATGTGAGGATGGATCCAGTGGCCTCCCCATTATCTCCTTTCTTTTCTTTCTGAACTCCAATGTTTATAAAGCCTGTACCCCTGTTGCCTATGTAGGTTCTCTGACAAAAGTTATACTTAGTGCTCTTTCTTTCTTATGGGGAAAAATCCGTGGAACTGAAGCTGAGATCTTTAGTACGTGGAGTCACCTTACAGATATAGAGCATTTATGCGGTATTCATTGGTGCCTAAAGAACTTTAGGCATCCTCTGGAAAACCGGCCCAGGTTAGTGTTTATTATGAATCTTTTTTAACCGTTCTATACTTGTTTCTCCTACATCTCTTACGTGCTCTAACTAGACATGACAGAAGAGATTTAACTAATGTAGTATAAATTGTATGAAATTCTATTTTTGTAAGTCAAAAATAATCAAATATCAGAAATTTAATAATGTTCAAACTATATACTCTGTGTGGGGTTTTTGAGACAATGTGGACATTGTTCATGTCTCATAAGGCTGAAAGTCAATGAGCAAGTCCTGGAAACTCATTGTCTTACTGGGGTCTTGTCCTAAATTTCATAGGTTCACCCATCATGCCCTCAGCTTTCCTTAATTAGCCATGTCTGCTTACCTCTTCCTCCACTTTCTCTCTTTTCCCCAGCTATGTTGTCATCATTTCCAAAAATCTCTAAAGCTTGCACAGATCCTTAGCACTATGAGATCCATTGAAAGACATAATTTTTTTCTTTTTGAGATAGGGCCTAGCTCTGTCACCCAGGCTGTAGCTCAGTGGTGTGATCGAGGCTCACTGCAACCACTGCCTCCCATGCTCAAGCGATCTTCCCTCCTCAAGCTCCGGAATAGCTGGGAATAGAGGCAGGCAACCACGCCCAGCTAATTTTTTAATTTTGGTAGAGATGAGATTTTGCCATGTTGCCCAGGCTGGTCTTAAACTGCTGGACTCAAGCAATCCTCCTGCCTTGGCCTCCCATCGTGCTAGGATTATAGATGTGAGCCACTGTGCCCAGGCAAAAAGAAATGACTCTTAATAAAAAAATTTCCTTTTTCTTAAATCACTGTTTCTTTATCTGTGAATTCTTCTTCCAAGTAGAAGGAGGAGAAAGAAGAAGTTTGCCTGTATTTCTCACCGGGAGGAGAAGGGGTCTAGTGTGACATCAAAATGAAAGGGTGCTGGAGCTTGAGCCCCTTCTTGCTTTCCGGGATCCCCACAGTGATCAGTTCTCATACCCTGGTTTATTCGTGTAAACCACACTTATTTTTCTCAGCAGCTACTGTGTACTGGGCTCCATTCTAGGTTCAAATCATTCTATTTGAGTAAGATAGAGAGGGTCCCGACTCTCAAGGAAATTACACAACAATAGAGGAGACAGACACTAACCCAATAAGCATTTAACAAAAAAGAAAATGTTAGAGAGTCATAGTGCACTGAAGAAAAGACAACAGGTTTGTCGGAAAGATAGAAATGGATTCACCTACTTTAGTTCATATGTTTAGGGAGCCCTACCTGAGAAAGTGACATTCAGCTGAGACAACAAAGTAAGTAGACAGTTGTGAAGATCTAATGGACAAAAGTTCCAGGGAGACTGAATCGAGGGAAAGCCCTGGTGTGGGAAATTATGTGGAGGGAGAGAAAGAAGGCTAGAGGGGCTGATGTATAGGAAGCAAGGAAATAGGGGGGCAGAAGATGAGGTAGAACACAGAGAGGAAGTCAGGAGCCTCCTCATATTAGGCTCTGAAATCCACGGTAAAAAATTTGAATTTCATTTATTTATTTATTTTGAGACAGAGTTTCATTCTTGTGGCCCAGACTGGAGTGCAATGGCACAATCTCGGCTCACTGCAACCTCCGCCTCCTGGGTTCAAGTGATTCTCCTGCCTCAGCTTCCCAAGTAGCTGGGATTACAGGCACCCACCACCATACCTGGCTATTTTTTTGTATTTTTAGTGGAGATGGGGTATCACCATGTTGACCAGGCTGGTCTCGAACTCCTGACCTCAGATAATCTGTCTGCCTTGGCCTCCCAAAGTGCTGGGATTACAAGAGTGGGCCACTGTGCCCAGACTGAATTTTATTTAAATAGATATGAGAAACTACTGTACGGTTACACGGAGAGTCAATTTATATTCAATTTTGTGTGTGTGTGTTTGTGAGATCGAGTCTTGCTCTGTTGCCCAGGCTAGATTGCAGTGGCACAATCTCGGTTTACTGCAACCTCCGCCTCCCGGGTTCAAGCGATTCTATTGCCTCAGCCTCCCGAGTAACTGGGACCACAGGCGCATGCCACTACACCTGGCTAATTTTTTGTATTTTTAATAGGGATGAGGTTTCACCGTGTTAGCCAGGTTGGTCTCGATCTCCTGACCTCGTGATCTGCCCACCTTGGCCTCCCAAAGTGCTGGGATTACAGGCGTGAGCCACTGCACCCGGCCTATATTCAATTTTTAAAACTAACTCTAGCTACTCTGTAGGAATTGGATTGTTGGGGTTCAAAAGTGGTCAGGAAGACTATTTAGGAGCACAGCAGAGAATTATCCAGGGAAAACAGGCTTGTGGCTTCATGGAGTGCATTAGTGATAAAGAGAGTGAAAAAGATAAAGTGGACAGACTTGGCATGTATTTTTGCTTAGCTTGCTAATGAATTACTGTAAAGGGGTTAGAACAATCAAGCTTATTCCTAAGGATTTTGTTTTGACAAATAAGTGGGTGGTAGTGTTGTTTATTGAGATAGGAAAAACTATGGGAGGAAATGATTTGAAGTGGGTGGTTGGAAATAAAAGTTTTGTTTAAATTTGAGATGATTTATTGACATTTATGTGGAGCAATCAGAAGGTCAATGGCATTTAAGAGACTCATGGTGAGGTGAAGCTAGGGCTTCAGGTATTTATGTTGGCGGCATCAATAAGTGTAGTGTGTTAAATTCCAGGGAGTGTAAGATGATACATAGGGAGATGGATTGTGTGGAGAAAAAAGAAGAGGGTACAGGCCAGCAAAGGGGGCTGAGAAAGAGCCCAGGGAGGCTGGAGAAAACCCAAGATAACATAATGCATGTAAGTGAAGAAAAACAGATTATTTTCAAGGAGAAGGGAGAGGCCAATTGTGGTGAGTACCACTAAGAGGAGAGGGAAGTGAGAACGTGACAGAGAAGCAAGTGCTGGGTTGCTGGTTTGCTGGAGTTGATATTTGCAGTCAATGGAGTATCCAGGGAGGAAACTGGATTGGACCATTTGAAGAGCAAGTAGAAGTGAGGACGAAGTTAAGATTGACTGTTTTGAGTAGAGAGCTTCAGGGAAGGACTGTGCTCTGGGTTCAGGGAGCCAGCTGATTCTAAAGGAAAAGGCTAAAGAAGCTGAAGAGCCAGCTTTCCCAGCACCATTTATTAAATAGGGAATCCTTTCCCCATTTCTGTTTTTTGTCAGATTTATCAAACATCAGATGGTTGTAGATGTGTGGTATTATTTCTGAGGGCTCTGTTCTGTTCCATTGGTCTATATCTCTGTTTTGGTACCAGTACCATGCTGTTTTGGTTACTGTAGGCTTGTAGTACAGTTTGAAGTCAGGCAGCATGATGCCTCCAGCTTTGTTCTTTTGGCTTAGGATTGTCTTGGCAATGCGGGCTCTTTTTTGGTTCCATATGAATTTTAAAGTAGTTTTTTGCAATTCTGTGAAGAAAGTCATTGGTAGCTTGATGTGGATGGCACTGAATCTATAAATTACCTTGGGCAGTATGGCCATTTTCACGATATTTATTCTTCTTATCCATGAGCATGGAATGTTCTTCCATTTGTTTGTGTCCTCTTTTATTTAGTTGAGCAGTGGTTTGTAGTTCTCCTTGAAGAGGCCCTTCACGTCCCTTGTAAGTTGGATTCCTAGGTATTCTATACTCTTTGAAGCAACTGTGAATGGGAGTTCACTCATGATTTGGCTCTCTGTTTGTCTGTTATTGGTGTATAAGAATGCTTGTGATTTTTTGCACATATGTAGAAAGCTAAAACTGGATCCTTTCTTTACACCTCATACAAAAATTAATTCAAGATGGATTAAAGACTTAAATGTTAGACTTAAAACCATAAAAACCCTAGAAGAAAACCTAGGCAATACCATTCGGGACATAGGCATGGGCAAGGACTTCATGTCTAAAACACCAAAAGCAATGGCAACAAAAGCCAAAATGGACAAATGGGATCTGATTAAACTAAAGAGCTTCTGCACAGCAAAAGAAAATACCATCAGAGTCAACAGGCAACCTACAGAATGGGAGAAAATTTTTGCAATCTACTCATCTGACAAAGGGCTAATATCCAGAATCTACAAAGAACTCAAACAAATTTACAAGAAAAAAACAAACAACCCCATCCAAAAGTGGGCAAAGGATATGAACAGACACTTCTCAAAAGAAGACATTTATGCAGCCAACAGACACATGAAAAAATGCTCATCATCACTGGCCATCAGAGAAATGCAAATCAAAACCACAATGAGATACCATCTCACACCAGTTAGAATGGCATTCATTAAAAAGTCAGGAAACAACAGGTGCTAGAGAGGATGTGGAGAAATAGGAACACTTTTACACTGTTGGTGGGACTGTAAACGAGTTCAACCATTGTGGAAGACAGTGTGGTGATTCCTTAAGGATCTAGAACTAGAAATACTGTTTGACCCAGCCATCCCATTACTGGGTATATACCCAAAGGATTATAAATCATGCTGCTATAAAGACACATGCACACGTATGTTTATTGTGGCACTATTCACAATAGCAAAGACTTGGAACCAACCCAAATGTCCATCAATGATAGACTGGATGAAGAAAATGTGGCACATACACACCATGGAATACTATGCAGCCATAAAAAAGGATGAGTTCATGTCCTTTGTAGGGACATGGATGAAGCTGGAAACCATAATTCTCAGCAAACTATCACAAGCAGAAAAAAACCAAACACCACATGTTCTCACTCATAGGTGGGAATTGAACAATGAGAACACTTGGACACAGGAAGAGGAACATCACACACCGGGGGGAGGGGGGAGGGATAGCATTAGGAGATATGCATAATGTAAATGACGAGTTAATGGGTGCAGCACACCAACACGGCACATGTATATGTGTGTAACAAACCTGCACATTGTGCACATGTACCCTAGAACTTAAAGTATAATAAAAAATAAATAAATAAATAAATAAATAAATAAAAAGAAGCTGAAGAGAAGGAGGAGGACTTGTGAACCAGAGATGCTCAGTCATTATTAGCGAGGAAATGCTAGAGAGCCCCTGTGTGCAGTGCTGACTACTTATGCAAAAGGTCACACAGCCAATATTTAACGCAGCCAGTATTTCACACAGCCAATATTTATTAATGACATAGCATACATATACCAGTTATTACTCTAGGTCATGAGAATGGAGTGATAAATAAAATGAATCTGGTCGCCATCAGTATATGCCAGGTAACATTTTGCAGTGACTGTGTACCAGGCCTATGATTTTCAGTATGCAATTTCAATAATTATCCTGTTGTATCTGTGGTATTTAAAAAACATATACATCTCTGGAATCTAAAATTGAGAGGATATAAGTAAAACCCAGTGTTACAAATTTAGTGCTGGAAATCAGATTGCAGTTTAAATCTGAGCATGTAGAAAGTCCCTTTCTTCTATGTCAGCAGATGCCTTTTGTGTGAGGTTTAGGTATACTGCTTTATTAGACATAAACCAGTGTTTCTGCCCTATGTTTTCAGAATGACAATTCCTTATGAAACTAATAGAAGAACAGAAGACAATTGCAAAATCATGATGAAGATACTAATTGCTCTAGAATTCAGGAATACATAAAATGATGTGAGCTGCAGTTATAGGGATCATAAAAGTTAAAATGGGAATGCATTTGAGTGTTTATTATGTGATCAGTGCTAATAAGAGTCATCATTTAATTTTACACTTAACAGTAATCCTGTGAGGATTACGCTATTATTAAATGCATTTGATAGATTACAAAAAGGATTATGGTTGGTAAAAATTGCCCCAAGTAGAAGAGATCATGTTTTTTATTCAGGTTATCTGATTCTAGAGTTTGAGAGTTTGACTGACCATCATTAGTGAGTAGTGACTATATTGTGTCTGAATTATTGACAGAATTTCTGATATTCAAATGTACCAGGTTGCTTCTTAGAGTGCAGACAGAGATGCAAGGGCTGCTAGTTCCGATGTATAGGAGAAACTTTCATTCATTTCACATTTATCATTTTAAAAGTTCTGTATGTCTATAATGGTCATGTGTTGAAGAACACAAGGAAGTATTAAATCACTCCTTCTTCTGAGGTTTGACTAGCAAGTTGGGCTAGAGTTACCAAATAAAATACATGTTCCTAGTTAAATCTGAATTTCAGATACACAACCATGATTTCTTGGAAATTCAAATTTACCTGGGCATCCTCTGGTTTTATTTGCCAAATCTGTCAACCCTAAGTGAGACACATGGACATGGATTACAGTGCTAGTCATGCAAACCACAGTGACAGCAACTTCACACATGTTTATTTTTTAACTTTCTGTCTGTAAAGAAAGTACTTAGATAATTTAGGGATAAAAAGATAGACATTGTTTTATCCAGGGTGCACACCTCTCTGCCATCATTTCTAAAGGGCAAAGGGACATTTCTGCAGGTCTTGCTCACAGTCTGGGGACCTGCTCGTTTTTGCAAACTGTCTGTATGAGTATGTCATTTTCTTGGTTTCTCCCTTTCTAAGGGGACTTGACTGCAAAACCAGGAGTTCTGCCTCTGGCCAAGGCTGGAAATTTGATGCCTGCTGGTATTGTTGGGAGTGGGAGACTGAAAGAAATGAGTTAGTTGGGGCATCAAATGGGAAATAAAATAGCTGTGGTTGTGATTCATTATTACAGAAAATTAGTGGACCAGTGGCAGAGAAATTAAGAAAAAAGATGATGTGAATGATAAACGATATGATTAGTGGCTACTTGGTAAGGCAAGGAAATCATTAAATCTTGGTTCTCATCAAGTTCATTTTCTGAAAAGATAGCACTGTATTGGGACCAGAATTCTACAAAACATTCTTTTTATGTAGGACCAAGATTTTCAACAAATATTTTTCAATGCAATTCTCAGCGCTCCATAACTAATAGTAGCTTGTTCAACACAGATTTTTTCGGATGGTTCACACCTGTAGTTCTTACCCAGGGATAGTTCACCACCCCTCCCTTCCCTCCCATCATCGTTGGTGAACGGTGGCAATGTTTGGAACAATTTTTGGTTGTCACAACAGGGGTTTCTTCTGATATTCAATGAGTAGAAGCCAGGGACACTGCTAAAGAACCTACAATATTCAGAACAGCCTCTGCTATCAACAAGGAATTATCTGGTCCAAAATGTCAATAGTGCTGAGGCTAAGAGCACTGGTTCACACTGTGCTCTTTCTGAAAATTCTAGGCTCACATCTGGTATACACTCACCACACAGTTCAGTTTTTTATGGTTTATTTTTGGTTGTTTCATTATAAAAAATTAGACAGTTACATAAATTCAACCATTTTCTTGTTGAATCCATTTAGTCAATGCAAGCTTAATATTTTCATATTTATTTTTTGCCTTATGCAATATTTTTCAACATTTTCATGAGTTGTTGGTCATCACTATCTCTATTAACTTTCAACAACTTGCTCTTGTAAGTCACAAATAGTGATGCTGCTGAAACTGTTTCTCACTAACAGGCCTCAGATTTGTGTAGTGATTCTACATTTTATATTATTCACAATGTAAAATGCTACTATTTATTCATTTCACTTTTACCCACAGGATTATTTTAAGTTATTTTTTGTCATTTTCACACTTCAAACATAAAGACAAAAACATCAAAAATATATACAGTGTTTTACATATGTGTATATTTTCACATATATCTGTATGTGTGTTTATATGTATTGAAACTACAGAAGCACATGTCACCAATAAGAGCTCTGAGACACCTTTGACCACTTACCCTTATCAGATGATATTTGCCAAATGAGTTGTGGAAACAAGTTTTTTTTAACTGAATTTCAGAGCTTTGTGGATTTAGAAATTCAAAGGAAAGTTTGTGGACATTTACCGGGATCATGGTTTTATTCTCCTTAAAACTCTTCAATACTTTACCATTGTCTTTAGTTAAATCCAAAATCCTAACACCACCCACGAGGCTTTTCAATACCTGCCTTCTTGTGATTTCTCCAGCCTAATCTTTTACCTTCCTTCCCCTCAGCCTCTCTGCTTTAGTGAACTTTGTTCTAGTTTTTTGAAGAAGCTCATCAATTCAACCTTTTGTACATGGGATTTCCTAAACCTGAAAATGTGCCTCCCGTTTTGTCCAGACAGACACACAGGCTCCATCCACTCTGCCCCCTGGCTCTCACCTGCTTAACCTGTCAAGTCACATCTGAACTGTCACTCTTCAGAGGGTCCTTCTCTGGCACCCTAATGTAATTGAGATCATCCTTTTATTCTCTGTTCCAGAACTCCACACTTCTGACGTTTCTCATTCCTGTCTAAGCTCTTGTGTGTTTGGTTTTTGGCCATCACGTTCACTGCTCTTTAAGCTCCCCCAGCGGAGTGGAGAGGTCTGTTTTCCTTTGTTTGGATTCCTAGAGGCAGCGCAGACCAGGCACAAGGTCAGCACTAAGGAAGGGTTCACGGGATGAACACGGTGGGTGCTGTTGAAGGAACCGGTAAAGCGTGTGGGATGAGAGGAGCAGAGAGTGTCTTTCAGGTGAAGACTCCCAGAAGGAGGCCGCGTGGGCCGCGGTGCTGGGCGGATCCTCCTCCAGCTCCTGCTTGGAGTTCTCCAGAACAGGCTGGAGGCAGGGAGGGGGTCCCCAAAAGCCTGAGGATCAGAAGGGGTTTTCCCGCCTGGTCCCCCAGACCCCGGTTCGCCTCAGGAAGACTGAGGACGAGCCCCTGGGCTGCTGGTGGTGGGCGTTGCGGGTGGGGCCGGTTAAGGTTCCCAGCGCCCGCACCCCGCCCAGGGAGTCCGGGTTGGTGGCGTCGCTGTCAGTGTCTTCTCAGGAGGCCGCCCGTGTGACCGGATCGTTCGTGTCCCCACAGCACGTTTCTTGGAGCAGGCTAAGTGTGAGTGTCATTTCCTCAATGGGACGGAGCGAGTGTGGAACCTGATCAGATACATCTATAACCAAGAGGAGTACGCGCGCTACAACAGTGACCTGGGGGAGTACCAGGCGGTGACGGAGCTGGGGCGGCCTGACGCTGAGTACTGGAACAGCCAGAAGGACCTCCTGGAGCGGAGGCGGGCCGAGGTGGACACCTACTGCAGATACAACTACGGGGTTGTGGAGAGCTTCACAGTGCAGCGGCGAGGTGAGCATGGTGGAGGGCGGGGCCTGGGTCCCTGTGAGCGGGGAATCTGTGTATGTGTGTGTGTGTGTGTGTGTGTGAGAGAGAGAGAGAGAGAGAGAGACAGAGGAAGAGAGAGAGAGCGTGCGCCATCTGTGAGCATTTAGAATCCTCTCTATCCTTTCTTATGGCTGCGTAGTATTCCCTGGTGTATAGGTGCCACATTGTCTTAATCCAGTCTATCATTGATGGACATTAGGGTTAATTCCAAGTCTTTGCTATTGTGAATAGTGTCAGTTCATGTCCTTTGTAGGGACATGGATGCAGCTGGAAACCATCATTCTCAGCAAACTATCACAAGGACAGAAAACCAAACACCACTTGTTCTCACTCATAGGTGGGAATTGAACAATGAGAACACATGGACACAGGAAGGGGAACATCACACACAGGGGCCTGTCGTGGGGTGGGGGGAGCAGGGAGTGATAGCATTAGGAGATATACCTAATGTAAATGACTAGTTAATGGGTGCAGCATACCAACATGACACATGTGTACATATGTAACAAACCTGCACGTTGTGCACATGTATCCTAGAACTTAAAGTATAATAATAATAATTATATATATATATATATTAGAAAAACAAACAAAAAGAATCTTCTGTATCCTGAGCAAGGAGTTCTGAAGGCACAGGTGTGTGTAGAGTGTGGATTTGTCTGTGTGGCTGTTGTGGGAGGGGAAACAGGAGGGGGCTGCTTCTTATTCTTGGAGGCCTCTGTGCAGAGGTGACATGGGAGGTGGGTGTAGGGGGCTGGAGAGAGAGGAGACCTTGATTGTCCTGGGTCCTTAGAGATGCAGGGAAGGGAAGAATAAGGTGTGTGTGGTTGGGGTGAAGGTTTAGGGGAGGAGAGCTGAGGAGTGTGGAAGGTTTGGGATAATGTGAGGAGGCCAGTTCCAGACTGTCCCTGGCACACACCCTTCATGTAATCTCTGAAATAAAAGTGTGTGCTGTTTGTTTGTAAAAGCATTAGATTAATTTCTAGGGGAATTGAGGAGACCTCTGAGGCACCTCTGAAGCTTCTTTAGGTCTAAATTTCTTGCTAGTTTTTGTTTTTTTAGGGTGTATATTTTTACATAGCAGAAGTGACTGTGAAACTAACTTTTTGAATTAAAGTTTTAACACAGTTACTATTTTATTATAATGCTAATAGTTTTCTAGTAGTTACATCTTATTCTTTTGTATATAATAGTTGTGACACAACTTACCTCACTTTCCCCTTTTTGTTGACCTTTATTATGACTTTCACCAAAAGTTGAAAATGTATGTTTCTGGTTAATTTTTACTTTATATTTTTCATTTGTAATTCTTTTGAATTATTTTGACCTATTTATTGGCCAATTATAATTACTGCTGTAAGAATTCCCTATTTCATTTGGTAGGGAATGTACAATGATCTACTGTCTAATATCTTAAGGGCTTAGTATTTTTCTCAGTGACTTTGTGGGTTCTTTGTACTGTAAGATTATTAACACTTTATTGATATTTGATTCAGCATTTTCTCCAGTTTGTGGTTTGTATGTGGATTTTGAAAAGTATTTTCCATGTTAAGAATTTGAACATTTTTATTTAATAAAATATATTGCGAAATTTGTATTAATGATTTACAATCATCTTAAATCCACCATTTTGTGGTATTATTGTCTCCAGGTTTCTCCTTACTTCTAAAAAAAAACTGTATTTATTGAGAGTATGCTAGTGTCAGGGATTTTCCTGGGCATAAGCACCCCAAGTGACGAGTCCCAGACACTGCCTTAATCCAAATGTCATTCTGGAAAGAAAAATCATTTTACAATGATAGGCCTAATAATAATTAAGCTTGTGTTGCACAGGAGATACATTGATCAGCTAAATGTAAACGTAAGAACTTTCAAAACTAAAATGACATTCCTTAATCATTCTCTCTGCGTTAGGACTCATGCTTTTCTAGGAACGTAAAAATTTGAGAATCATTTCTGTCTGTCCCACCTTCCCAGGGGCAGAACCATTTCTGTGGTGTTCTAAGGTGTGAGTGCATGGTGGTAGTATTCCCAAAAATTCATACTCGGTTTCCTCATGTACCCAACTCTGTCCCTTTATCTACCCACATTGCTTTAAGTCATATTTTTCTGTCACGGTGTACAAGGATGATAAATAGGTGCCAAGTGGAGCACCCAAGTGTGATGAGCCCCCTCACAGTGGAATGGAGTGACAAGCTTTCTAACCTCATAAATTGAAGGCTATCTTCAGTCATTGTTTTATATATTTTACGTGCATTAATCCTCATATAACCCCAAGAGGTAAATTAGTATAATTATCCTTCATTGTAGGTGACAAAGTTGAGACACAGAAGAATCAAAAAACTCTTCCAGCATCAACCAGTAAAAGGCAGACCTTGGATTTCAACCAGGCAACATGGCTCAGATATCAGTTTTAATTACTACACTCTACTGTCAAAGATTTGTAAACACTTTGACAATGCATGCCAATTTCAAGCTATGAAGAAACAAACACAATTTTTCACAACATCTCTCAAATCTAATGGGTCCTCACTATCAAGATTAAATTCCAGGCTGATGACACTGTAAGGCCACATGGCCAGCTGTGCTGGAGGCCTGGTCAAGGTCAGAGCCTGGGTTTGCAGAGAAGCAGACAAACAGCCAAACAAGGAGACTTACTCTGTCTTCATGACTCATTCCCACTACCTTTTTTTTCTCCTAGTCCAACCTAAGGTGACTGTGTATCCTTCAAAGACCCAGCCCCTGCAGCACCACAACCTCCTGGTCTGCTCTGTGAATGGTTTCTATCCAGGCAGCATTGAAGTCAGGTGGTTCCGGAACGGCCAGGAAGAGAAGGCTGGGGTGGTGTCCACAGGCCTGATCCAGAATGGAGACTGGACCTTCCAGACCCTGGTGATGCTGGAAACAGTTCCTCGGAGTGGAGAGGTTTACACCTGCCAAGTGGAGCATCCAAGCATGATGAGCCCTCTCACGGTGCAATGGAGTTAGCAGCTTTCTGACTTCCTAAATTTCTCACCCACCAAGAAGGGGACTGTGCTAATCCCTGAGTGTCAGGTTTCTCCTCTCCCACATCCTATTTTCATTTGCTCCATGTTCTCATCTCCATCAGCACAGGTCACTGGGCTACTGGGGGTAGCCCTGTAGGTGTTTCTAGAAACACCTGTACCCCCTGGGGAATCAGTCACGCCTGCCAGGCGGGAGAGGCTGTCCCTCTTTTGAACCTCCCCATGATGTCCCAGTTCAGGGTCACCCACTCTCCCCAGGCTCCAGGCCCTGCCTCTGGGTCTGAGACTGCGTTTCTGGTGCTGTTGATCTGAGTTGTTTGTTGTGAGAAGAGGAGAACTCTAGGGGCCTTCCTGACATGAGGGGAGTCCAATCTCAACTCTGCCTTTTATTAGCTCTGTCACTCTAGACAAACTACTTAACCTCACTGAGACTCAGGCTTTCTGTTGATCAGATTTTGAAGTTGCGCCTTACATCAAGGCTGTAATATTTGAAATGAGTTTGATGCCTGGACCTTGTAACTGTTACAGTGTGATTTGAAAACCGTTTTTTCCCCCAGAAATGGCTAGTTATTTTAGTTCTTACAGGGCAGCCTTCTTTCCCATTTTGAAAGCTCTGAATCTTAGGGTCTCAATTACAGAGGTTCAATTTGGAATAAACACTAAACCTGGCTTCCTCTCTCAGGTGCACGGTCTGAATCTGCACAGAGCAAGATGCTGAGTGGAGTCGGGGGCTTTGTGCTGGGCCTGCTCTTCCTTGGGACAGGGCTGTTCATCTACTTCAGGAATCAGAAAGGTGAGGAGCTTTTGGGAGCTGAATCTCCATAGGCTTTTCTGGAGGAGGAACTATGACTTTGCTAGGGTTAGTTCTCAGTATATCAGTGGCCCTGGATAAAGCCTTTCTTTCCCCAAATGACCTCCAATGTCCTGATAATCCAGAAATCATCAGTGCATGGTTACTATGTCAAAGCATAATAGCTTGTGGCCTGCAGAGATAAGAGAAAGGTTAACAAGTAGGGATTCTTTGGTTGGAGATCCTGGAGCAAATTAAGGAAGAGCCACTAAGGCTAATGCAATTACGCTGGATCCTGTGACAGACACCTCATGCTTCATGGGTCACATGGTCTGTTTCTGTTCCTCTCTGCCCTGGTTGGTGTGGGTTGTGGTGTTAGAGAAATCTCAGGTGGGAGATCTGGGGCTGGGACATTGTGTTAGAAGACAGATTTGCTTCCATATCTTTTAAGTGTATATCTTTTCCTCTTTTTCCCAGGACACTCTGGACTTCAGCCAACAGGTAATACCTTTTAATCCTCTTTCAGAAAGAGATTCAGTTTCCCTAGAATGATGGCAGAGGTGATAAGGCATGAGACAGAAATAATAGGAAAGACTTTGGATCCAGATTTCTGATCAGGCAATTTACCCCAGAACTCCTCCTCTCCACTTAGAAAAGGCCTGTGCTTTGCAGGATCATTGGCTCAGGGAGACTTAGGAACTTGTTTTTCTTCTCCCTGCAGTGCTCTCATCTGAGTCGTTGAAAGCGGGGAAAAGAAGTTTTAGTAAAGCCAGGTCTGAAAACAATTTCCTCTGTCTCTGCAGGACTCTTGAGCTGAAGTGCAGATGACCACATTCAAGGAAGAACCTTCTGCCCCAGCTTTGCAAGATGAAAAGCTTTCCCACTTGGCTCTTATTCTTCCACAAGAGCTTTGTCAGGACCAGGTTGTTACTGGTTCAGCAACTCTGCAGAAAATGTCCTCCCTTGTGGCTTCCTTAGCTCCTGTTCTTGGCCTGAAGCCTCACAGCTTTGATGGCAGTGCCTCATCTTCAACTTTTGTGCTTCCCTTTACCTAAACTGTCCTGCCTCCCGTGCATCTGTACTCCCCTTGTGCCACACATTGCATTATTAAATGTTTCTCAAACATGGAGTTAAAAATTATCTGGTCCATTTGGCTGCAAGGACAAAAAATAAGAAAAAGGGAAGATTATTTCCCAATAGAATAATGGTTTTCATGTATATATAATAAGTATATGAGGTAAATGCATGTTAAATAGCTTGATTTAGACATTCCACACTATAGGCATATATCAAAACCTCATGCTCTACAACATAAATATACTATACAATTTTTACTTGTCAATTAAAAAAGTAAACCTAACATTCAAAAAGGCAATGTATAAAAATTGAGAACAGACTATAACAACTGAAACAAACTTGGCAAACATGAGATGAGAAACCAGCCAGCAAGTCAATCAGAACTTTTTCTTAACCCCATCTACAATATTGTGAATCTGTACCTTTAAATTAGTATATAGTTTTTCATTCCAGAGACTTCAATTATATAGTATTACCAAAGGACCTGTACAGATTTCAGAGAAAGACAAATTTAGAAGATAGAGGGTTCTCCATTGTGTTCTGAGAGTCAGCATCAAATATGTCAAATCTGAAAGTACATAATGAATTCAAAAGTTTACTTCAAAGTAATAATCATTTGAACGTAATTTATCTGTCAGAGACAACTGTTATTTTATTTTCAATCAAATTCAATGTTTATTTTATGCATATTTTGTTTTTAGTTATGTATTATTGTACATACATAGCAGTACATGTATGTATATATCCTATAAGAATATAAATCCTATAGGATTATATTAAGCTGATAATTATGTCTATTCTGTTTGATCCCAGAGTTGCAACAAATACGCTTTGTTGCTTAAGTTGAGGAAATGATTTGTCTCATTTTATATGAGACTTGTGGTGTGGAATTCTAAGGTAGAACTAAAATGTGTGGGATGAATATTTGAATGAAGATGCCTTCTGCTGCAAATAGCAGGAAATCCCATCTAGTGGGCTTTTCTTTTCTTTAACCCATTATCTCACATAGCCGATAGATCCGAGGCTGGGCGTCTCCAGGGTTGCTCAACTCAGCAGGCCAGTGTCATCACCAGCGATCCTGGAACTTCATAGCTCATCTCTCTATCACACACAGCACGTCAGCTTTCCTGAGATGGTAGGAGGACCCCTGCAGCAGCTTTAGGTTTCTTATTCTTTCACAACTCCCAAAGGCAGGAAAAGGATATGACTTTTTCCTGTGTGTCTTTATAAGAATCAACTAAACAGTTTCTAGAGTGTTCCCAGTACCCACTTACTCAAACAATGGAATGACCGTGGGATCACATGGGCTCAGACAAGCCAGGATTCAACCTTTGTAGAGTGGGCCTGATGCACATGGGAAGAAAAGGAGCAAAATCATATATTTTTAAAATAAAGAAATGGTGGATGGAGTAGGAGAGATTGATTTCAGGGTAGGGAAATGAAAGATTGTGGTATTATTAGGTTGTTAGTATTTGTAGTTAAATTCCACATGAAGGCCTAGAGATTCCCAATAGGCATCCTCAATTCAGGGTTTCTGGGTCTTTTTAAATACATATCTATTTATTATACATATATTTAAATATATATATTTTAAAAACATAAATATATATAATATACATACATTGAGTATTAAATGTCAGCCATTAACTCAATTACAATAAAACAAAAAAGCAAGTAAAAAGGATTGTTTTTAGAACTCAAGTATGCTGACATGTTATTTTATGAGGTAAATATATTTTCTAGGGAAATTTTTGAAAAAAAGCAGAATAAGGAATGACTAGCTCTATAAGGTGCTGTTTTAAAACACACTATACATTTATTTTTAAAAAGGCATTTGTTACTGATTTTCTTTTTCATTAAATACTAGTAAAACAGAGTCTAGAATTTAGAAAGAGTTGAGATTTAGTTTCAGTTTTTGGTAAGTTGTATTCCAAACTCATTTTTTTCACTAAATAGATGCTGGATAAATAAAAATTGAAACATAAAGAGAAAATATAAAATTAACAAGACAGATGTTATTTATTTATTTTTCTTTTTTGAGACGGGGTCTCGCTCTGTTGTCCAGGCTGAAGTGCAGTGGTGTATTCCCTGCTCCGCACAACCTTCGACTCCTGGGTTCAAGCGATTCTCCTGCCTCACCCTACCGAGTAGCTGCGACTACAGGTGCATGCCACTGTGCCTGGCTAATTTTTACGTTTTTAGCAGAGACAGGGTTTCACTGTGTTGGGCAGGCTGGTCTCGAACTCCTGACCTCGTGATCTGCCTGCTTTGGCCTCCCAAAGTGCTGGGACCACAGGCATGAGCCACCGTGTTTAGCTGACAGATGTTATTTCTAATAGTATCATCAACATTATAATTATGTTTGAAGACAAACGGACTTTCTAAACCCTTATGTAGTGCTGGTGGGAGTGTATAATTTTACAAATACCTGGAAATTGGCAATTTCCTAAAAAGTTTAACATACGTTTACCATATGACCCAGCAGTTTCACTCCTTGGAATCTACCTAAGAGACATAAAAACATATGTCCTCACAAAGATATGTGTTTGAGTGTTCAGAACAGCATTAGCCATAGTAGGCCCATACTGAAAACAATCCAAATATCCTTCAACTAGTAAATGGATAAACAAAATGGTACTATGTCCATGCAAGGCAGTATCATTCAACAATAAAAGGGGACAAAAATAGACTTATCTGACAGGGGAGATACCATGAACATGAGGATAGTTTTCCCAAGGCAAGTTTCAATGCTTGCACTGCGGATGATGAGAGATTACTTAATGGGTACAGTGCATGTGAATTGGGTGATGGATACTGCAGAAACACCGACTTCACCACTATGCAATCTATGCAGGTAACAAAACTACACTTGTACCTTATAAATTTACACAAATGAAAGAAGATAACCTGAATAAAAAGGAATGAAAAGAAAAGAAACAAAATTGATGATACATACTACAAAACTGGTGAACTTCAATAATGTTAACTAAGTGAAGGAAACTGGACACAAAAGATTACATGTTGTATGATTTCCTTTACTTAAAATACCTAGAAGAGGTAAATTATAGACACAAACAGCAGATCATTGGGTGCCTAGGACTTGGGGTATCGGTGGGAATTAACTATAAACAGAAATTTTGGATATGATAGAAATGTTATAAAACTGGATTGTTGTAATAATTGCACAAATCCATTAATTTACTAAAATCATTAAATTTTATATATACAATGAGTAAATTTTGCAGTATGTAAAGTATGCTTCAGTAAACCTGTTAAAATAATTCTTTTTTTAAAAATAAGACATTGTGGCTGGGTGTGGTGGCTCACGTCTGTAATCCCAGAACTTTGGGAGGCCAAGGCGGGTGGATCACGAGGTCAGGAGTTGAAGACCAGCCTGGCCAAGATGGTGAAACCCCGTCTCTACTAAAAATACAAAAACATTAGCAGGGCATGGTGGCAGGTGCCTGTAATCCTAGCTACTTGGGAGGCTGAGGCAGAGAATGGCATGAACCCGGGAGGTGGAGATTGCAGTGAGCCGAGATCGCACCACTGCACTCCAGCCTGGGCAACAGAGTGAGACTCTGCCTAAAAAAAAAAAAAAAAAAAACAGGGCTGTGCATGGTGGCTCACGCCTGTAGTACCAGCACTTTGGGAGGCTGAGGTGGGCAGATCACGTGGTCAAGAGTTCAAGACCAGCCTGGCCAACATAGTGAAACCCTGCCTCTACTAAAAATACAAAAATTAGCCGGACGTGGTGGTGCATGCCTGTAATCCCAGCTACTCAAGAGGCTGAGGCAGGAGAATCGCTTGTGAGCGGGAGGCGGTGGCTATGGGGAGCCAAGATCACACCATTGCACCCCAGCCTGGGAGACAGAGCAAGACTCTGTCTCAAAAACAAAAAACAACCACAACAAAAAAACAAAGAGGTGAGGAAATTGATAAAATTATTTTCTTGGTTTTGTTTTCTATTTGTTTATGGTAGAACATTATTGTGTTAGTCCATTCTTACATTGCTAAAAAGAAATACCTGAGGCTGGGTAATTCATAAAGAAAAGAGGTTTAACTGGCTCAGGGTTTTGCAGGCTGTACAGGAGGTGTGGTGCTGGCAATTGCTTCTGGTGAGGGCCTCAGGAAGCTAACAATCATGGGGGAAGGAAAGGAGAGCCCGGGTATCACATGGTGAGAGCAGGAGCACAGAGAAAGTGGGGAAGAGTCGCACTCTTTTAAACAACCAGATCTCCTGTGAACTGAGTGAGAACTCACACATTACAGCTAAGATGGCACCAAGCCATCGATGAAGGATCTGCCGCCCACCAAAATACCTCTTGCCAGGCCTCACCTCCAACACTGGAGGCTATGTTTCAACACGAGATTTGGACGGGACATACATCCAAACTATATCAATAACATGATTGCTTTAATGTATACTGACTTTGTAATCAGCAACAGTATTTAAATTCACTTATTAAAACTATGAGTTTGTTTACTAATTTTATTTTCTAAGTAGCTGATTATGTTGAGAGTAAATAATGACCATTTCACCTGGATGCAATTATCATCTCTTTTATTTATTTTTCTTGCCGTTTTCATTGCCTAACTCCTCTAGTACTCCAGATATGAAGGAGACAGTTTTAAATATTTCACTGCTGAGACTAATATGTGCAATAAGGTAGCTATCATTTCTCAGACTGAAGAAATAACTTTTTAATACGAGTTTGCAAATAGATTTTTAAAAAATTAAGGCCAAGTGCTGAATTCTGTCAAATCATATTTCAAGACTCTATCCAGGTGGTTGCATGTGTATTCTCCTTCCTTCAGTTAATGTCGTGAATCACACTAATGGATTCTCAAATGCTCAAACAACCTTGCATTTCTGGAATAAACTCCACTTGGTCATGATGTAGTAGCCATCTTTTATATCACTGAATTCAGTTGGCTATTATTTTCTTAAGAACTTGGCTCATAAGAATTATTGGTCCATAAATTCCTATCTGTTGTAGAGTTCTTTTCAGATCTTGAAGTAAATTTTACACAGATCTCATCAAACCAAACTGCAAGTGTTTTCCGCTTTTTCAAATGTTTGAAGTTTGCATAAAGTTAGTGTTGTTTGTTCCTTAAATATTTTAAAATATTTACTGAAGCTAAATGAACCTGGGGTTTCGTCTTGGGTAAGCTTTATAGAATGGGCTTTCTCTATGAGATGTGGAACTCTTCATACTTTATGTTATTTGTTAGCTTCAGTACATTGCACATTTTGAGTAATTTATTAATTACATGCAAATTTGTTTTTGTAAAGTTATTCATAATATTCAGTATTATTTCATGATGATAAATCTGTAAGACTATAACAAAAGATATGAAATTTGTGTCACTAGAGTCTTAGAGAAAGATGACAAATGGGTGATGCCCAAAGAGTCTTTGAAGGAAGATTGACTATTTTCCAAATTTGGATAAAGACTTTAAAGTAAAAATTCAAGAATCTGTGCAAATCTAAAGGAAGATGAATCCAAAGAAATTTATGTCAAAAAATCTTGATAGCAACAAGAGAGAAATGACATCTCATGTACAGGAGAAAATAAAGGACAGTGTATTCCTCATTAGAAATCATGCAGACCAGACAGAAGTGCCACAAGATATTTTAATGGCTGAAAGTAATGTTAACCTAGAATGTATATCCAGAAAAATATTATTATAAAATGAAGGTTCTATCATGACATTCTTTTTTTTCTTTTCTTTTTTTTTTGTTTTTTAGATAGAGTCTTGCTCTGTCACCCAGGCTGGAGGGCAGTGGCACAACCATGGCTCACTGCAGCCTCTGCCTCTCAGGCTCATGTGATCCTCACACCTCTGCCTCCTGAGTAGCTGGAATTACAGACACACACCACCAAGCCTGGCTAACTTTTTGTATTTTTGGCAGAGACAAGGTTTTGCCATGATGCCCAAGCTGGTCTCAAACTCCTGAGCTTAGGGGATGCGCCTGCCTTGGCCTTCAAAAGTGCTGGGATTACAGGTGTGAGCCACCGTGCCCGGCCATGACATTCTTAGAGGAAGGAAAATCAAGAGAATTTGATGCTAGCAGATTTATCCTAAAACAAGGGTAAAGGAAGTGCTTGAACTGGAATAGAAATGATAAGGGAAGAAATCTTGGACAATCAGGAAAAAAAGAAACTATAGAATGAGTAAAAATATGGGTCAATACAACAGACTTCTCTTCTTCAGTTTTATAAATTAGTTTGATGGTTGAGGCAAAAATTACAACATTGTCACATCTGCAAGTAGAGAAAATAAAAAATATATATTATAAATGCAGGAGCAAAAGGGATAAAAAGGTAAAGTTTTTACACTGCAGTCAAATTGAAAAAATCTCAGCACAAGTAGACTATAAGTTACGTTAATAGATAAATCACAAAAACTCTACAATGAGATACACCAAAAAATGATTGATTAAAAAATGGAATTCTAAATATTGCTTAAGGGACACATCAAAAAACAGGGCAAGAAAACAGAGAAGCAAAAACCAAAGGAAACAAAAAGCAAATGGCAGTCATGAGAGCTCACATATTAATAATTGCATTACATTAAATTGTCTAAAAAGACAAAATGTCAGAGTGAAAAATAATTACCCATCGATATGCTACCTATGAGAAACTTACTGCAAATATTACAAGAGTGGAAGGCTGAAACAGAAGAATGGAAAAAAATAAACCATACTAACTGTTGTCAAAGAAAGCAGAAATGGCTATAATATCAGATAACATAAAATGCACAGAGCAAAGAATATTCTGAGAGACAAATGGAAACACTACATAATCATAAAAATGTTAATTCAGGAAGAAGACATAGCAACTCTAAAGGTGTGTACACCACACAACTAAGTTACTTATAAGTAGAGCAAAAAACGGTCAGAACTGGAAGGAGAAATATACAAATACACAGTTAAACTTTGGGACTCCACAAACGAACTCTGAAAAGTTAATAAAACAACTGGACAAAAACTCAGCAAGATAATGAAACCCAACAAAACTATCCACCAATAAGATCTAATGGACATTTGCAGACCACCACACCAAACAGAAGAATACACATTTTTTAACTCTCCATGGAATATTTACCAACATCTCTCATACCCTGGACCATAAAAGGAACCTCAACAAATGTAAAGAATTGAAATCATACAGACTGTGCTCCCTGGAAACAACGGAGCTGAACCAGAAATCAGTAACATGAAGAAAATCAGTATAACTCCAAACACATGGAAACTTAGTAACATACTTTTAAATTACCCTTGGATCAAAAAAGATGTCTTGGCACTCCAGCATGGATGACAGAGTGAGACTCCGTCTCAAAAAAAAAAAAAAAAAAAAAAAAGGCCTGGTGAGGTGGCTCACGCCTGTAATCCCAGAACTTTGGGAGGCCGAAGTGGGTGGATCACGAGGTCAAGAGATCGAGACCATCCTGGCCAATATGGTGAAACCCCGTCTCTACTAAAAATACAAAAAATTAGCGGGCGTGGTGGCAGGCGCCTGTAGTCCCAGCTATTCGGGAGGCTGAGGCAGGAGAATCACTTGAACCCGGAAGGCAGAGCTTGTCTGACATCGCGCCACTGCACTCCAGCCAGAGATGCCACACGGTGGCTCACGCCTGTAATTCCAGCACTTTGGGAGGCCGAGGCAGGCGGATCACGAAGTCAGGAGATTGAGACCATCCTGGCTAACACGGTGAAACCCCGTCTCTACTAAAAATACAAAAAAAAATTAGCTGGGCGTGGTGGCGGGCACCTGTAGTCCCAGCTACTCGGGAGGCTGAGGCAGGAGAATGGAGTAAACCTGGAAGGCAGAGCTTGCAGTGAGCTGAGATCACGCCACTACACTCCAGCCTGGGCGACAGTGCAAGACTCCATCTCAAAAAAAAAGATGTCTTAAGGAAAATAAAAAGTATGTTCAACTAACTGATAATGAAAATACAACATATCAAAATGTTTGGCACATAGCTAAAGGCGCGCTTTGAAGTACTATGCGTAGTACAAAATGTATACACTGAAAAAGAGAAAACTTCAGAAACCAATAATCTCAGTTCCCACCTCAAAAATCTAGAAAAGTTGTCAAAAATAACCTAAATCAAGAAGAAGAAGGAAAAAAAAAACTAATATAAAGGCAGAACTCAATGGCTCATGCCTGTAATCCCAGCACTTTGCAAGGCTGAAGCGGGCGGATCACCTGAGGTCGGGAGTTTGAGCCTGACCAACACGGAGAAACCCCATCTCTACTAAAAATACAAAATTAGCCGAGCATGGTGGCGCATTCCTGTAATCCCAGCTACTCGGGAGGCTGAGGCAGGAGAATCACTTGAACCTGGGAGGCGGGGGTTGCAGTGAGCCGAGATCGCGCCATTGCCCTCCAGCCTGGGCAACAAGAGCAAAAACTCCAACTCAAAAAGAAAAAAAAAAAAAAAGAGAGAGAGAGAGAGAAAATCAGTGGGAAAAAAAGTTTGTTCTTTAAAAATATCAATAGAACTGACAAATTTCTAGGACAAAATAAAAGGAAAAAGGAGAAAGAAAAAACACCAATATTGGGGTGGAAACATTATATCACTACAGATTCTTTGACATCAATAGTACACCAAAGGAATACACCAAGAACACTTAGGTGAAATGGAAAAGAATCCTTTAAAAGTACACAAATACACACTATTACAACTAACTCAATATGAAATAGATACATTGAAAAGCTCTATAATTATAAAAAGAGTTGAACTTACAGGAGAAATCTCTAGGTTAGAATAGTTTCACAGGAGAAATCTACCAAACATTTCAGTAGAATTAACACAACTCTGCAAAGTTTCCTCCAGAAAGCAGAAGAGAGGGGAAGACATCCCAACTTACTTTATGAGGCCAGCATTTCCTAAAATCAAAAGCACACAAATATAGTACAGGAAAAGAAAATTAAAAAGCAATATACCTGCATGACTATACATGCAAAACTCCCTAACAAAATGTTAGCAAGTAAAAAATCAGCCAAACTAAAAATATATGTAAACTATGCCAAGTAGCGTTTATTTTAGGGATGCAAGTCTGGTTTAATGTTTGAAATCAATCAATGTCATCCATCTTATTAAGAAGCTAAAGAAGAAACATCGCACGGTTCTATCAGTTGATGTAGAGAAGGCCTTTGACATAATTCTACATTAATTTATGATTTATAAAAGCCCCTCAAAATAGTAGGAACTGAGGATGACCTCCTCAACTGGATAAATAACTTATACAAAAATGTTGCGGCTAAATTACACTTAATAGTGGAAGTCTGAATGCTTTTCCTCTTCTGTTTCAGCTACTAAGGAAATTCACAAGGTCACAGAATTCAAGATCAACAAAAAAATTAATTTTATTTGAATATACAGTAATAAAGAAATCAAAACAAATACTAAAAATACAACATGAATTATTTCCATTCAAAAAACCTCATAAGTATACCAACAGAACATGTACACAATCCATATGCTGAAATGCTGAGCCATAAAAAATGATGAGTTCACGTCCTTTGTAGGGACATGGATGAAATTGGAAATCATCATTCTCAGTAAACTATCGCAAGAACAAAAAACCAAACACCGCATATTCTCACTCATAGGTGGGAATTGAACAATGAGATCACATGGACACAGGAAGGGGAATATCACACTCTGGGGACTGTTGTGGGGCGGGGGGAGGGGGGCGGGGTAGCATTGGGAGATATACCTAATGCTAGATGACCAGTTAGTGGGTGCAGCGCACCAGCATGGCACATGTATACATATGTAACTAACCTGCACAATGTGCACATGTACCCTAAAACTTAAAGTATAAAAAGAAAAAGAAATAAAAAAATCTGAAGAAATGAAGAGATTTACTGTGTTCATCAACTAGAAAACTAAATATAGTAAAGACGTCAATTCTCCCCACTTTGATGTCCAGGTTTAACACAATTTCTCTCTAAATTCCAGCAAGATTTGTAATAGTTGTAGACAAAGTTATTCTAAAATGCATATGGAGAACCAAGGGAACTAGTATAGGTAAAACAAATTTCATAGGGAAAAAGAGATGAAGGAACTCTTACCAAATTTCAGAATTTTTATAGCTATAGTAATCAATACTGATTTAGTGCAGGGATAGACATAGATTAGTGGAGCAGCATAGAGAATCCAGAAATACACCTATACGAACTCATTTTGACAAAGATGCAAAATAATTCAATGGAGGTAATATAGGCTATAGTCTTTTCAAACAATGGTCCAGGAGAAAGTGGAAATTCATAGACAAAAACAAAAAAGAAGCAAAAGGAAAAAGAAGCAAGAAAGAAACTTAACAAATTCTCAGACCTTATGAAAACATTTATCCCAATTAAATCATGTCTACATGTAAAACGTTTAGAAGAAAACATAAGAAACATCATCAGAAGCTAGGGCCTGCTGTCTGAGTTCTGAGTTCTTAGACACGACATCAAAAGCGCTATGTGTAAAAAACAAAAAGACAAAAACAAAAACAAAAAAAATCAATAAATAAGGTTTCTTCTGTAAAGTATCCTGTTAAGAAATAAAAAGTAAGTTAGAGATACGGAGAAAATATTTAAAACCACATATATTACCAAGAATACATTGTTGAAAATATGTAATGAACTATAAAAGCTCTTCTATAAAATATATAGTAGAGTGCAGACTATAAAATTTAATTATGGCCGGGCATGGTGGCTCACGCCTGTAATCCCAGCACTCTGGGAGGCCGAGGTGGGCGGATCACGAGGTCAGGAGATGGAGACCATCCTGGCTAACATGGTGAAACCCCGTCTCTACTAAAAATGCAAAAAAAAAAAAAAATTAGCCGGGTGTTGTGGCAGGCGCCTGTAGTCCCAGCTACTCAGGAGGCTGAGGCAGGAGAATGGCATGAACCTGGGATGCAGAGTTTGCAGTGAGCTGAGATTGTGCCACTGCACTCCAGTCTGGGTGGCAGAGCGAGACTCTGTCTCAAAAAAAAAAATTGTTAATTACAAAATGGGCAAAAGATATGAAGAGACATTTTATCAAAGAGGATATATATACATGGCAAATAAGCGCAATGAATGACATGCAAATCAGTAGCCATCAGGGAAATGCAAATTAAGAACTTGGTATAATAGCACTATACAACTCCTAATACAGCTAAAATCTCTAAAAAATCTGACAATGGTAAATGCTGGTGAGAATGCAGAAAAATTGAATTTCTCATACACTGATGGGGAGAATGTAAAATGGGACAGTCCTTCTGTGTCCGGAATTTATTCCTTCCGGTGGGTTCTTGGTCTCACTGACTTCAAGAATGAAGCCACAGACCTTCGCGGTGAATGTTACAGCTCTTAAAGATGGTGTGTCCAGAGTTTGTTCCTTCAGATGTTCAGATGTGTCCGGAGTTTCTTCCTTCTGGTGGATTCGTAGTCTCGCTGACTTCAGGAGTGAAGCTGCAGACCTTCGCAGTGAGCGTTACAGCTCTTAAAGGTGGCACGTCTGGAGCTGTTTGTTCCTCCCGATGGGTTCGTGGTCTTGCTGCCTTCAGGAATGAAGCCGCAGACCCTCAGGGTGAGTATTACAGCTCATAAAGGTAGTCTGAACCCAAAGAGTAAGCGGCAGCAAGATTTATTGTGAAGAGTGAAAGAACAAAGCTTCCACAGCGTGGAAGTGGACCTGAGCCAGTTGCCACTGCCGGCTTGGGTGGCCAGCTTTTATTTCCTTATTTGGCCCTGCCCGCATCCTACTGATTAGTCCATTTTACAGCGTGCTGATTGGTCCATTTTACAGAGTGTTGATTGGTGCATTTACAATCATTTAGCTAGACACAGAGCACTGATTGGTGCATTTTTACACAGTGCTGATTGGTGCATTTACAGTCCTTTAGCTAGACACAGAGTGCTGATTGATGCATTTATAATCCTCTAGCTAAACAGAAAAGTTCTCCAAGTCCCCACCTGACCCAGAAGCCCAGCTGACTTCACCTCTCAATCCCCGCTCTAAACAGGACATGGCAACTGCTGTTGGGAATTGGGCAATGACCACTCTAGCTACTTCCTGCTGGATAGGGGTGAAGAAGGGGCCTTGCAGTTGTAGTGTCCTCCAGAGAGAAGCTCTTTAGGCCAGTAAAAGGGTCAGTGACTCATTTCAGGGGTCCTTGGTAGAAGTTGTTAGCTGAGCTCATTTGGGGTTCCCTTTGTAAGACCATCTGTAGCTTGTTGGCCTTGATCCTAGAGTAAACAAATTTGACAAGGAGGTTAAAACTACAGGGCCCAAAGGCGAGTAATAGTAAGATGGCTGTCACAGGACCTAGAAAGGGGAGAAGCCATGTCGCCCAACTCCAGAGTTTGGTATAAGAGTTTGAAAGGCATTGTCTGATTTCAGAAGCCTTTTCCTGTAAACGCTGGGCGGCATCTCATACTATCCCTGACTGGTTAGTGTAAAACAACACTCTTCCCCTAAGAAGATGCAGAGTCCTTCTTTCTCAGCAGTGAGGAGGTCTAGGCCTCGGCGATTTTGAAGAGTCACTGCTGCCAAAGAGTCTATTTGGGATTGTAGAGTAAGGATAGATTATGTTATTACTTGCAAACTGCCTGAGAAATCCTTTGAGAGTGTGGTAGTAGGATAATGAAGTAGATAAACTGGCTATTCTGGTTCCTGTAGCAGTAGCCATTCCTAACCCTGTAAGTAGAGGTATTAGTTGTATGGATGTTAATAATAAAAGAAACTGAACAGAGGGCCATTTTAGGGAAGGAGATATGTGGGAACTCCCTAAACTTTCTCTGGAAGTTTTTCATACACTTGAAACTGCTTTAAAAATGGTCTTGTTATATGGGAGGATATGGACTTACTTTTGCTTTTCATTCCATACTTGTCTGAGTTTGAGTGTATTCTCTATTGTTCACCTATTTGTTTTATATTAAAATTGTAGATATGTTAGCAAACACTTAATTCTATTTGCAACATTCTCAAGAGTCTGCTTTCTCTAAACCATAGGTAAAGAAACTTATTTATTCGTTAAGTTTTACAAGGTTATGCCACCTTGGTTTGTGCTTATTTTGCTTTTCTAGGATTTTTATCACTAGGCTGTAGAAATTTTGAGGAAAACAATTCCACAACCGATCCAAGGCCGAAATGAAGTTACAAAGCTACACTCCTATGCAAACATCTGATTGGTTGCAAAAAAACAACCAATCAGAGGTACTCTCAATTTCCCATTTGTCAAGCAGTAAAGGGGGTGTGTTACAAAGGGAGTAGTCTCTGGTCCTTTTGCTACTTAGGCATAGAAAGTTTGAGTTTTCCTCTCAATTTAGTTCAATTCGGGAGTCGACATGAAATGGCCTTAGGTTCCCTGCCTCCAGACCCTATTCTACTGGCTTATCTGGAAGACACTCTGGCTGTTTCTTACAAAGCGAAACATACTCTACCATAAGATTCAGCAATTGCAATCCTAAGTATTTGCCCAAATAAGTGGAAAACTTCTGTCCACACAAACAAGTATACACGAATGTTTATAGCAGCTTTCTTTATAATTGCCAAAAATTCAAAGCAACGAAGATGTTCTCCAGTAAGTGAGTGGATAAACAAATTGTGGTAGATCCATACCATGGGTTGTTATTCAACATTAAAGAGAAATAAGCTATCCAGCTAGGAAAAGACAGGAGAAAACCTATATGCATATTGTTATGTGAAAGAAGCCAGTCTGAAAAAAACTATATACCATATGATTACAACTGTATAACATTCTGGAAAAGGCATAAATACAGTGACAGTAAATAGTGGTTTCCAGGGATTCAGGCGGAAGAGGAGTGCATGAGTAGGTGGAGCCTGGGACAATTTTAGGTCAGCGAAACTACTTCACAGGATAATTTTGTCACTGAAACACCAGGGTTCAGTCTAGGTCTTGCACACAAGGGCTTCAGTCTGGGTCTTGCTGCTCACCACACAGAAAGCCAATCACTGAGATGACAATGAGTATTGCCAAAGAAGAAGGCTTTAATCTTTAATCAGGTGCTGAAGCTGAGGAGATGGGAGACCAGTGTCAAATCCATCTCTGTGACTGACTAAAATTAGGAATTTATCTAGCATGGAAGAAATGTAACTATGTATGAGAAAACAGGAATTGGGGGGGGGGGGGCGGTAAGGGAACAATCATGATGAATGAGGAACCTGGAGTCTCGTTGTCTGGATGAGATGTTCTGGTGAGTTCCAGTTCTTTGACACTTTTTGAGAGCCCTGGGGGAATCTTTTTTTAGAAAGGAACTCAGATAAAACAAATGTAAGTTTCAAGCTTTAAGACCACAAGTGTCCATTTCTATGTTTATTTAAAAAAAAAACTGCCTATGGGACTCTTGGGTCACTTCCACTAAATGGTGGATATATGACATTATGTATTTATCAGAACCCATAGAACTGTATAATAAGAATGATCTCTAATTTCACTATGGATCTCAGTTAACAACAAGTATCAGTATTGCTTCATCAGTAGTAACAAGTGTACCACACTGATGCAGGATGTTAATAATAGGAGAAACTGAGCAGAGGGGTGCTTTAGGGAAGAAGGGCTGTGGGGACTCCATGAACTTTCTCTGCAATTTTTCTGTCCACTTAAAACTACTTTAAAAAAATGGTCTTGTTACATGGAATGATATGGATTTATTTTTGCTTTTTCATTCCATCTTTGTCGGCATTTGACTACATTCTCTGTTGCTCATCTACACCCTGTTCATGTTACAGCTTTTTTAGCCTCATCATTAGGCAGATTCCCAGTTCTTGCCCTGCGTCCAGGAAGAATGAGGTACGCAGACAAGTAGAGGGTTAGCAGGACAAAGAGGAGCTTTATTAAGCAATAGAACAGCTCAGAGAGCCGCAGTGGGCCACTCCTATCCATAGCCAGGTTGCCTCAACACTTGTTCAGCTATCAACAGAGAGGGTAGCTCCTCTCTGCATCTGATTGTCCTGTCCTCTCCTCAGTTCTCAGCAGAGAGGAGACCCTGGTGAGGGCAGCTTCACTCTGCAGCTGAGAGGAGACCCTGGGGATGTTAAATCCTCTCCTCAGCAACTTATCCCTCATGTCCCTGTCCTGTCTCTATGCTCTCTCCATCCTCTTCTCAAGTCCACCTGAGCCCAGGGCTTTTACGGGCCTCAGAGGGGAAGAATGGATGGCCATGGGGCAGGCCCAGAAAAGGCACAAGTTCCCACTCCTGTCTGCAGGACTGGCAGCCCAACCCATAGCCTTCAATCCCTCCCTGGCCTGAAGGAGGGGCTTCATCAGGGACCTGCCCCCTTCTGCTCAGGAGACTGTCTGCCTCCCAACCCCGTCCATGGCACCTAGGCTGCTCATGGCAAAGGGCCTATAGGCCAGCACCAGTTGCCCTCAGCCCATTTTCCCTCGGCTTCCCCATGGCTGAGGTGGCAGGAGGCTGGTGTATCAACGTTGTCCTGAACATGCACACACCCAGCTAGGCTGTAACAGCACTGGGGCTTGGCCCCAAACTCCACTCTGAGATCAGAGTGGGCGCCCGGGGGCCTGGAGAAGCCAGGTGAGAAGCCAGGCAGTGGGAGCAGACACCTGCAAGCCTGCAGGGGCAGGGGGTGCTTCACGTCCTTGAGAGCATGGAGTGCAGAGAGGCCGGTATCCTGCTGCGTGGAGGGCAGGACTCCCACTCAATCCCTGGAGTCTGCAGGTAGCCCCTGTCACACCTTCACACAGCCTGGGGTGGACAGCTCCCCTCATCTGTGCCCATGCCAGCATCTGGGGCAAGGATGATGTGTCTGCAAGTTCTTCACCTACCACTCAGGGGTGCCTGGGGCTCCCCCTTGCCTGGATGGGGTGAGGGAGGCACCGTGGGGAGCAGATCAGGCCCAAGCCTGGCCGTCGGGAAAATCAGGCTTCGTGGCCACCCTGGGGACACAACCCTGGGCTGCCTCAGGCAGAACCTCTTCCTGAGGTGCAGGAACTGGGCTTCGTCAGCATGGTGGGACAGTGACCATGCCACTGGCTGGGTCCCCAGAGCAGGGCTACTCCCACTTCCAAACCGGGCCCAACAAGCCTGGCCCTAGCTCCATGCCCTCCCCACAGCTGCAGGATGAGAGCAGCAAAGCAGGAGTCGTGGAGGCTCCTGGCCTGGGGGCAGTCCCTCCGGCTGCTCAAGGGTTGGGGCAGCGCAGTTGGCTGCCTCAGGGGCGCAAGGCACAGGGGACATGGGGCACAGGGGTCCCACCATGGCCACGGCTCCCTCAGTCGTTCCTGCCACCACCGCTTGCAACTTCCCACTGCAGCCAGCCATTCTGGACAGCTCGCCACTGCCAGCATCACCACCCTTTTAACCTCAAATACTAAGCTGAACCTTAGCTGGATTTCCTAGATTACCATCATCTCAATTAGTTTCTTTTTTACACAGTTTGTTCCTTCTTTTCTTTTTTTTTGTTTTTTTTTTTCCTTTTTATTTTTATTTTTTCAGGGTCTCCCTCTGTCACCCAGGCTGGAATGCAGTGACATGATCTTGGGTCACTGCAGCGTGGACCTTCCAGGTTCTAGCAATCTACCCACCTCCTGAGTAGCTGGGACTAAATTAGTTTCTAAGTAAATTATTATTTTCTGTTGACCAAATTAAATGTGATATTCTGGTTGCAATTTCACAACTTCCAATAGTATTGAATTATTATTGGGGTATAGAGACATAGTTTATTCTCAAATCCAGGGACAATAGTGACTTTCACCCGTGAAATTTTGAACTTTCTATATTAATAGAAGTATGTTTTTCCAAAGTAAGTGAGGCACTTTTTTCTTCTATTTTGAGATGATCAAATTTACTACTTTATCATGAGAAATCTGAAATAATAATTCTGAGCAATAGTTTTTATTTAAGAATTTTGAGGTCACTATTACCTTTAATAAGAAGGAGACTTCTCAGGAGCTATGGGTGTCATCACATAAGACAAATGCAAATGTTGTCATTTCCAGGGGAGGGTAAGGATGATAATGAGGGGGTTCTTTTGAAGGAACTAGAATTGCTACACAGTATCTTCCTCAAATTGTATACTGCTGCCATTCATTAACATGAGTAGCCATATTGCTATGTGCATCCATAAATTATAGGAATATAAATAATTTTAATACATAGGACATTATTCTCAGAAATAGAATGTGAAGGATTATGATATAGTGGCTGAGCCTGAGGGGTATGTAATTTGGTTCAATCTATAGTGTACCATTTACTAGCTGTGTATCTTTGCAAAAGTTGTTTCATCTCCATTGTTTTATTCTCTCTACCTGTAAGCATGAAAAGGGTGTTTATTTTACTGAGCTGATGTGAGAATGGAATAAAAACATGAAGTATAAAAAGCGCTTAGTACAATTCTGAGTATAAAGTAAAATGCTCATTTTTATGGCAGCATGGTGAGAATCCTGCCCCTGGAAACACTAAGGCCCATAAGGAATGAGTGCCTATGTGGTAGCGTGTGAATTAATGCAGAACGCTATAAGTATAGTTGTACTTTGAAGTCCATTCTGAATCTTAGATGTTACATTTATATTAATAAAAAGCATAATAATTATCTAAATGTATATGTTTAATATTATATGGTTACATCAACTGATGTAATTCATAGTTTTCCCTAGTGTTCTCTTTCCTGAACATTCTAAAATGTATTAGTTAGCAAAGTCATCTTCTATCTTCCCTTATGATAAAACAAGAGAAACATAATAGTAAAGTGCTATAGCCTCAATCAAATGAGGAAATCATAATGGAACCAGGAATGAGGGATTGAACACTCTTCACATAAAATATTAATTATTTTAAAACAGAATTGTGGCCAGGCACGATGGCTCATGCCTGTAACCCCAGCAGTTTGGGAGGCCAAGGCAGGCAGAACACGAGGTCGGGAGATCGAGACCATCCTGGCTAACACAGTGAAACCCCATCTCCACTAAAAATACAAAAAATCAACCAAGCGTGGTGGCACGTGCCTGTAGTCAGAGTTACTCAGGAGGCTGAGGCAGGAGAATCATTTGAACTGAGGGGGCAGAGGTTGCAGTGAGCCAAGATCACACCACTGCACTCCAGCCTGGGTAACAGAGCGAGACTCCGTCTCAAAAAAAAAAGAAAAAATAGTTGTTCTGTGAACAGCTGACTTTGAGAGTCTTCGATTGATCTCTCAAACCCACAAATACTTGGATTGCAAAGTTGACCTTATCATATTTTTAGGGTAAGTGCTGTACAAAGGCACGTTCAGACCCTCCATTGCACACATGTGGCCCCTGTTAGCCCCTTGCCTGTGTGTGTTCTGGAGGTGCCACTAAACTTGGGGGCAGCATCAGGAGACATACTTGAAAAAGATATTTTTACTCAGATTAAATTATTAACAAACTGTCAATTTCCTTTAACTTATTAAAGACATCCCTACCTGTAAATAGGTATGGATTAAGCTCTCTAGTCAATAGCTGTCATCCTGTCATATTATCAGATACCCGGGGCTGCTGCTCCTTGAGGTGTCTGCAGAATCACAGCATTTTCCAGTATTGAAAGACCTGAAAGATCACAGTGTCTTCATTTCAACTGTGAGACATGAAATAATTTTCCCAAATCTACAACATTAAGATACAGTGCAATAAGGACCAGATTAAAGGTCTCCGATTTACAACCATGTTCCCTCCATCTCCTTTACTCCTAAACACACTCACACACTCACTTCTGCAAACAGTTGTCTTGTCAGGTGGGAAATGAATGCTCTTACAAGGCTCAAACTTGTGAACACATCACTGACCAGCACAGAGCTGGCTAACAATAGGGACCCAGTTAGTGTTTTACATGCAACTGGATCAAATCTTTCAAGTACTAATTTAAAACAATCCTTTAAAGAAGGAAATTCTGTTTCAGAAGAGGACATAAATACAGCATCTCTGACCAGCAACTGATGATACTATTGAACTCAGATGCTGATTGGTTCTCCAACACGAGATTACCCAACCCAGGAGGAAGGAAATCAGTAACTTCCTCCCTATAATTTGGAATGTGGGTGGAGGGGGGTCATAGTTCTCCCTGAGTGAGACTTGCCTGCTCTTCTGGCCCCTGGTCCTGTCCTGTTCTCCAGCATGGTGTGTCTGAAGCTCCCTGGAGGTTCCTACATGGCAGCGCTGACAGTGACACTGACGGTGCTGAGCTCCCCACTGGCTTTGGCTAGGGACACCTGACATAAGTGCACATTGTGGGTGCTGAGCTACTATGGGGTGCGGAAAATAGGGAGTTGTGTTAACATTGTGCCCAGGCCAGGTGCCTTAAGAAATTGTGACATTTTCTTCAGAGATTGCCCATCTTTATCATGGGATCCCAAATTATTTCCTCCACAAAAGGATCTTGACTACTTGCCCTCTCCATGAGACTGTGTAAGGGGCCTCCATACAGGTCATTTCTTCTCAAATCTTCACCAATGAAACCTTTGCATCACATGTCCTCAGGGTCCTCAGAGGATTTAGAAATAAGGATGCTAAAATAAATTCCCCATACAGCACTTCCCTTTATTATGTTGACCTATGTTAGACAAAAGGAGTTTTTTTCTGAAAATTTTCTGGGAGTCAAGGGAATTCAAAGGGTCTCTCCTAGACAATCCTGTGTTATGCCCTTGACAGAACCTGTGATATTGTCCCCTCTTCCTCATATGTGAGAATGGACCCAGTGGCCTCCCCATTACCTCCTTTCTTTTCTTTCTGAACTCCAATGTTTACCCTGTAATGTATGCAAGGTCTCTGACAGAAGTTATGCTTAGTGCTCTTTCTTCCTTATGGGGAAAAATCCTTGGAGCTGAAGCTGAGATCTTTAGTACTTGGAGTCACCCTACAGTTAAAGAGCATCTATGAGGTATTCTTTGCTGCCTAAAGGACTTAAGAACAAAGCTAGAGGCATCACGTTACCTGACTTCAAACTATACTACAAGGCTATAGTAACAAAAACAGCATGGTGCTGGTACCAAAACAGATATATAAACCAATGGGACAGAACAGAGGCCTCAGAAATAATGCCACGCATCTACATCTAAAAACGTCTGATCTTTGACAAACCTGACAAAAACAAGCAAGAGAAAAGAATTCCCTATTTAATAAATGATGTTGGGAAAACTGGCTAGTCATATGCAGAAAGCTGAAACTGGATCCCTTTCTTACACCTCATACAAAAATTAACTCAAGATAGATTAAAGACTTAAATGTAAGACCTAAAACCAGAAAAACCTTAGAAGAAAACCTAGGCAATATCATTCAGGACATAGGCATGGGCAAAGTCTTCATGTATAAAACACCAAAACAAAAAAAAAAATGGCAAGAAAAGCCAAAATAGACAAATGTGATCTGATTTAACTAAAGAGCTTCTGAATAACAAAAGAAAGTATCATCAGAGTGAACAGGCAACCTACAGAATGGGAGAAAAATTTTGCAATATATCCATTTGACAGATGGCTAATATCCAGAATCTACAAATAAACAAATTTACAAGAAAAAAACAACCCCGGCCAGGCGCAGTGGCTCACGCCTGTAATCCCAGCACTTTGGGAGGCTGAGGCGGGTGGATCACGAGGTCAGGAGGTCGAGACTATCCTGACTAACACAGTGAAACCCCGTCTCTACTAAAAATACAAAAAAATTAGCCGGGCATGGTGGTGGGCACCTGCAGTCCCAGCTACTCAGGAGGCTGAGACAGGAGAATGGCATGAACCCGGGAGGCAGAGTTTGCAGTGAGCCAAGATCACACCACTGCACTCCAGCCTGGGTGACAGAGTGAGACTCTGTCTCAAAAAAAAGGAAAAGAAAAAAAAAACCATCAAAAAGTGGGTGAATGATATGAACAGACACTTCTCAAAAGAAGACATTTATGCAGCCAACAAACATATGAAAAAAAGCTCATCATCACTGGTCATTAGAGAAAAGCAAACCAAAACCACAATGAGATACCATCTCATACCAGTTAGAATGGTGATCATTAAAAAGTTGGGAAACAACAGATGCTGGAGAGGATGTGGAGAAATAGGAAAGTTTTTACACTGTTGGTGGGAATGTAAATTAGTTCAACCATTGTGGAAGACAGTGTGGCAATTCCTCACGGATCTAGAGCTAGAAATACCATTTGACCCAGTGGTCCCATTATTGGGTATATACCCAAAGGATTATAAATCATTCTACTATAAATATACATGCACACATATGTTTATTGCAGCACTATTCTCAACAGCAAAGGCTTGGAACCAACCCAAATGCCCACCAATATTAGACTGGATAAAGAAAATGTGGCACATATATACTACGCAGCATAAAAAAGGATGAGTTCATGTCCTTTTTAGGGACATGGATGAAGCTGGAAACCATCATTCTGAGCAAATTAACACAAGGACAGAAAACCACACACTGCATGTTCTCACTCATAACTGGGAGTTGAACAATGAGAACACATGGACACAGGGAGGGGAACACCACACACTGGGGCTTGTCAGTGGGTGGGGGGCTAGGGGAGGGATAGCATTAGTAGAAATACCTAATGTAAATTATGGGGTGATGGGTTCAGCAAACCACCATGGAACATGTATACCTATGTAACAAACCTGCACGTTCTGCACATGAAGCCCAGGACTTAAGGTATAATAATAGCAAAAAAAAAAAAAACAAGAAAGTGGAAAAAAATCATCTGGTCCATTTGGCTCCAAGAACAAAAAAGGAAAAGAAAAGAAGAAGGGAAGATTATTTCCCAATAGAATAATGGTTTTTGTGTATATGTCATAAGTATGTGAGGTAATGCATATGTTTAATAGCTTGATTTAAACTTTCCACACTATAGGGATATATCAAAACTTTGGCTCTACAACATAAATACACTATAAATTTTTTACTTGTCGGTTAAAAAAGTAAACCTAACATTTACAAAGGCAATGCATAAAAACTGAGAAGAGACTGTAACAACTGAAAGAAACTTGGCCAACATGAGATTTTTTTTTTTTTTTTTTTTTTTTGAGATGGAGTCTTGCTCTGTCGCCCGGGCTGGAGTGCAGTGGCGCGATCTTGGCTCACTGCAAGCTGTACCTCTTGGGTTCACACCATTCTCCTGCCTCAGCCTCCCGAGTAGCTGGGACTGCAGGCGCCCACCACCATGCCCAGCTAATTTTTTTGTATTTTTGGTAAAGACGGGGTTTCACCGTGTTAGCCAGGATGGTCTCGATCTCCTGACCTCATGATCCACCCGCCTCGGCCTCCCAAAGTGCTGAGATTACAGGCATGAGCCACTGCATCTGGCCCAGAACTCTTTCTTAATCCCATCTACAATATTGTGTATCTATTACTGTAAATTAGTATATGGTTTTTCATTCCAGAGACTTCAGTAATATAGTATTACCAAAGGACTTGTACAGATTTCAGAGAAAGACAAATTTAGAAGATGGAGGGTTCTCCATTGTGTTCTGAGAGTCAGTATCAAATATGTCAAAACTAAAAAGTACATAATCAATGCAGAAGTCTATTTCAAAGTAATAATCATTTGAGCATAATTTCTCTACTGTCAGAGACAACTTATTTTCAAATTCAATATTTATTTATGCATATTTTATTATTAGTTATATGTTACTTGTACATACACATCAGTACAAGTACTTATAAATCCTATAAGAACATAAATCCTATAGGAATATATTAAGCTAATAATTATGTCTGTTCTGTTTGATCCCAGAGTTGCAACAAATAGGCCTTGTTCCCTAAGTTGAGGAGATGATTTGTCTTATTTTATATGAGACTTGTGGTATGGAACTAAAATGTGTGGGATGAATATTTGAATGAAGATGCTTCTGCTGTGAACAGCAGGAAATCCCATCTAGTGGGCTTTATTTTTCTTTAACCCATGATCTCACATAGGCAATAGATACAAGGGTGGGCGTCTCCAGGGTTGCTCAACTCAGCAAGCCAGTGGCATCAACAGCGATCCTGGAACTTCATAACTCATCTCTCTATCATACACAGCATGTCAGCTTTCCTGCAATGGTCGGAGGATCCCTGCAGCCGCTTTAGGTTTCTTATTCTTTCACAAAACTACCAAAGAAAGGAAAAAGATACTACTTTTTCCTGTGTGCCTTTATAAGGAGCAACTACACCGTTTCCAGAGTATTCACAGTACCCACTTTCTCATTGGAATGACCGTGGGATCACACGGGCTCAGACAAGCCAGGATTCAACCCTTGTAGAGTGGGCCTGATGCACATGGGGAGAAAAGGAGCAAAATCATATATTTTTAAAAATAAAGAAATGGTGGATGGAGTAGGAGAGGTTGATTTCAGGGTAGGGAAATGATAGATTGTGGTACTCTTAGGTTGCTAGAATTTGCAGTTAAATTCCACATGAAGGCCTAGAGATTCCTGATAGGCATCCTCCATTCAGCGTTTCAGGTCTTTTTTAATACATATGTATCGAGCATTAAATGTCTGCCATTAACTCAATTAGAATAAAACAAAAAAGCAGGAAAAAGGATTGATTTTAGAACTCAATTAAGTATGCTGACATGTTGTTTTAACGGGGGAATTTTTGAAAAAGGTAGAATAAGGAATGACTAGCTCTATAAGGTGCTAAAACATACTATACATTTATTTTAAAAAACACATTTGTTGGCCTGGCGCAGTGGCTCATGCCTGTAATCCCAGCACTTTGGGAGGCCGAGGCGGGCAGATCACGAGACCATCCTGGCTAACACGGTGAAACCACGTCTGTACTAAAAATAAAAAAAAATTAGCCGGGCATCGTGGCGGGCACCTGTAGTCCCAGCTACTCCAGAGGCTGAGGTGGGAGAATGGCGTGAACCTGGGAGGTGGAGCTTGCAGTGAGCCGAGATCTCACCACTGCACACCAGCCTGGGCGACAGAGCGAGACTCCATCTCAAAAACAAAAAAAATATATTTGTTACTGATTCTTTATTTTTTGTTAAATATGCTAGTAAAACAGAGTCTAGAATTAGAACCAGAAGGAGTTGAGATTTAGTTTCAGTTTGTGGTAAGTTGTATTCCAAAGTCATTTCTTTCACCAAATGGATCCTGGATGAATAAAAATTGAAACATCAAGAGAAAATATAAAATTAACAAGACAGATGTTATTTCTAATACTATCATCATCATTATAATTATGTTTGATGACAAACAGACTTTCTAAGCCCTTATGTGTTGCTGGTGGGAGTGTATGATTTTACAAATACCTGGAAATTTGGCAATTTCTTTAAAAGTTTAACATATGTTTGCCATATGACCCAGCAATTTCACTCCTTGGAATCTACCTAAGAGACATAAAAACGTATGTCCTCACGAAGTTACACATTCAAGTGTTCAGAACAGCGTTAGCCATAGTAGGTCTAAACTGAAAACAATCCAAATATCCTTCAACTAGTAAATGGATAAACAAAATGGATAAACTACATTCATGCAAGGCAATATCATTCAACAGTAAAAGGGAACAAAACGAGACTCATCTGGCAGGGGAGATACCATAAACATGAGGGTAATTTTCCCAAGGCAAGTTTCAACCCTTGCACTCCAGGTGATGAGAGATTGCTTAACGGGTACAATGCATGTGATTTAGGTGATGGATACTGTGGAACACTGACTTCACATACTATGCAATCTATGCATGTAATAAAACTACACTTGGACTTTATAAATTTACACAAATAAAAAAGAGAAAATAAAAAGAAAAGGGACAAAATGAAGATACATACTACAAAACTGATGAACTTAAATAATGTTAACTAAGTGAAGGAAACTGGACACAAAAGGTTACATAATGTATCATTTCATTTACTTGAAATATGTAAAAGAGGTAAATTGATTGACGCAAAAAGCAGATCACTGGGTGCCTATGGCTTGGGGTATCGGTGGGAATTAACTATAAATAGAGAAATTTTGGACATAACAGAAATGTTTAAAAAAAGCTGGATTGTTGTGATAATTGCACAAATCTATTTACTTACTAAAATCATTAAATTTTACATATAGAATGAATGAATCTCATAGCATGTAAATTAAGCCTTAGGAATCCTGTTAAAATAATTCTTTTTTAAAAAATAAGACTTTGCAAGCAAGACAAAATCCAGAAGACACAAATGAAAAAATATTTGAAGAAAATTACTGACTTCTTTGCATGAAGAAAATAACAAAATTAAAAGAAGTATATGAAGCTCAGGAAAAATTTTGATCACATAAGGCAGAAAATGGGCTTTCTTATGAAAAATTGTCAACTAATCAATAAATTAATTAATGGAAATGCCACGGAAAATTGGGCAAAGGATATAGATTGACTATAGAATCTCTTCTATAGTCAATATTGGAATCTCTTCCAATAGTCAATAAATATTTGCTCAAACTCACCAACGAATGGAAAAATCCAAATTCAAATAGCAATTTCTCCCCCTGAAAACTGGAAAATACAACAGTTTGTTTTAAAATCAAGGATTTAGAAGATTCTATGGGAATAGATTCTCCTATATTATTAGGATTGTGGGTGGATGGCAGTGTACTATTAAAACTCAAAATGCAATTGTTACGTGCTTGATGAAAACAACAAAAATCCCATTCTAAACATCTGTCTTAAGGAAACAATCCTACATGAGCCCAAAGAAATATAAAATTGGTCGTTTTGAGCCATGGTTTGCAATAACAAAAACATTGCCAAATTCTAAAAGAAAAACTGATTAATTTGTCTTGATTATAAAACTTTTGCACATCATAAAAACTATGCAGCATGTGAAGTGACAGCACACTGCAGGATGACATTTGGTGCTGTGTGTGGCACTGTTAGCATATATAGGTGTAACCCTGTGAGTAGTTGGGATAATACAGTATTACCACTCTAGGTTTTTACAGTCTCGGTACATTTTTCCTTGTACCTCCATGATGACATATAAAAAATGTAACAGGAGAGAAAAGAAACATTCTCAATATTTAGAAGAAAGGTAAATTGTGGGCCCGGCGCAGTGGCTCACGCCTGTAATCCCAGCACTTTGGGAGGCCGAGGCAGGTGGATCACGAGGTCAGGAGATCGAGACCACGGTGAAACCCCGTCTCCACTAAAAATACAAAAGTTAGCCGGGCGCGGTGGCGGGCGCCCGTAGTCCCAGGTACTCGGGAGGCGGAGGCAGGAGAATGGCGTGAATCCGGGAAGCGGAGCTTGCAGTGAGCGAGATCGCGCCACTGCATTCCAGCCTGGGCAACAGACGGAGACTCCGTCTCAAAAAAAAAAAAGAAGGGTAAATTGTGGTATAGACATAGAAAGGAATAATATACAGGGCTTTAAGTAAATTATGTAGGACTATCAACATGAATTGGAAAAAAATCATAAAACATAATGCCAATTAGGAGGTAGAAAATTACAAGAATTGTCACTGTTACTACAAGAACAAAAAAAAATAGACTAGACTAAATGGATAAACTGCAAAATAATCTTATTTTTAAAATTTTAATGAACCATAGATCAAAAAGTATAAAAATTCCAAATTCCGGAGATGAACAAACTCCACTTAGGTGAGCCAAGGACAAATGTCCACTCTTATTCTTTGGTCCTTCTATGGAATCTTTACATGGGGGGAAGATTGAGCCTGGCTGAGAAAGGGAGATAGCGACTGAGGACAAAGCAGCTGAGTTGTAAATAGCCCTGTGAGCTGGTGTGCTGCATTACAATCTATAGAGGCCCCCTGAATAATATATATCTACTTTACCCTGCCAGCTGAGTCTCCTTCCAGAACTTTTTCTGACTTCATGCTGGTGGTGTGGGAACTAGGGAGGACGATAGAAGACAACACACATCTCTAGCTTCGTGCAAACAAAGATCACGAAGGAAATCAAGATAGGAACAATGCTTTCAACCATCTTGACTTAGCTGGCATTTATAATTGACATATATACTGACATCTGAGAACTACAGAATGTTTATTTATTTACATTGCACAAAGATTATCCATGAAATAGAACAAATACTATGACTATAAAAGTAGTCTCAATTACTTTCACAAGAATAAAATCATACAGAGTATATTATCTGAACAGTCTTGTCAAATTACAAATAAATAAGATGAAGAACATTGCCCAAATTTTTGGAAGTAAAATAATACGTTTCTAAATAATCTATGGTTTGTCAAATAAAATCAGAAGGAAAATTAGAAGATAATTTTAAATAAAATAATACTAAAATGAATATTTAAAATTTTTGTTATGCAACCAAGGCAGTCCTTAGAAAAAAATATTGTTTAAAATTCTTGTATTATAAAAGGATACAACGTTGGAGGTTACATTTCAACATGAGATTTGGATAGGACAAACATCCAAACTGTATCAATAACATAATTGGTTTAATGTATAGTGACTTTGTATCCAGCAATCTTATTTATATTTATTTATTAAATCTGTGAGTTTGTCTATTATTTTTATTTTCTAAGTACCCGATTAGGTCAACAGTAAATAATGACAATTTTACCTGGATGCAATTATTATCTCTTTCATATATTTTTCTTGCCATTTTCATTGTCTGACTCCTCTACTATTCCAGATATGAAAGAGAGAGTTTTGCATATATTTCACTGCTAAGACTAATGTGTGCAATAGGTTAGCAATCATTTCTCAGATTGAAGAAATACCTTTTAAATACAAGTTTGCAAGCAGGTTTTTGTTTTTATTTTTATTTTTGTTTTTGAGACGGAGCTTTGCTCTTGTTGCCCAGGCTGGAGTGCAGTGGCATGATCTCAGCTCACTGCAACCTCTGCCTCCCAGGTTCAAGCGATTCTCTTGTCTCAGCCTCCTGAGTACCTGGGACTACAGGCACTCGCCACCACGCCCGGCTAATTTTGTATATTTACTAGAGACAGGGTTTCTCCTTTTGGTCAGGCTGGTCTTGAACTCCCGACCTGAGGTGATCCACCCAACTCAGCTGCCCAAAGTGCTGGGATTACAGGCATGAGCCACAGCGCCCGGCCAGATTTTTAAAAAATTAAGGCCAAGCGCTGAATTCTGTCAAATCATATTTCATGACTCTGCAGGTGGTTGCATGTGTATTCTCCTTCCTTCAGTTAATGTAGTGAATCACACTAATTGAGTCTCAAATGCTCAAACAACCTTGCATTTCTGGAATAAATTCCACTTGGTCATGATTTGGTAGCTATCTTTTGTATCACTGAATTCAGGTGGCTAATATTTTCTTAAGAACTTGGCTCATAAGAGTTATTGGTCCACAAATTCCTATTTGTTGTAGAGTTCTTTTCAGGTCTTGAAGTAAAGTTTACACAGATCTCATTAAATGTAACTGCAAGTATTTTTCCTTTTTTCAAATATGTTTGAAGTTTGTGTAAAGTTAGTGTTGTTTGTTCCTTAAATAGTTTAAAATAGTTACTGAAACTGGATGAGCCTGCGGTTTTGTCTTGGGAAAACTTTATGGAATGGGCTTACTTTCTCTATAAGATGTGGAACTCTTCATATTTTATGTTATTTGTCAGCTTCAGTACATTGTACATTTTGAGTAATTTATTCATTACATGCAAATTTATTTTGCAAAGTTATTCATATTATTATTATTTCATGCTGATAAATCTCTAGGACTATAACAAAAGATATGAAATTTGTGTCATTGGAGTCTTAGAGGGAGATGACAAATGGGTGATGCCCAAAGAATATTTGAAGGAAGACTATTTTCCAAATTTGGACAAAGACTTAAATGTAAAAATTCAAGAATCTGTGCAAACCCAAACGAAGATAAATCCAAAGAAATTTAGATAAAAAAACCTTTTTTTTTTTTTTTTTTTTTTTTTGAGACGGAGTCTCGCTCTGTCGCCCAGGCTGGAGTGCAGTGCTGCGATCTCAGCTCTGCCTCCTGGGCTCATGCCATTCTCCTGCCTCAGCCTCCCCCAAAAAAACTCTTGAAAGCAACAAGAGAGAAATGACCTAAATAAATCAAATAACAGCAGATTGCTCATTAGAAATCATGCAGACCAGTCAGAAGTGGCACAAGTTATTTTAATGGCTGAAAGTAATGTTAACCTAGAATGTATAACCAGAAAAATATTATTATAAAATGAAGGTTCTATCATGGCATTCTTTGTTTTTGTTTTTTTTTTTGTTTATAGATGGACTCTTGCTCTTTCATCCAGGCTTGAGGGCAGTGGCACGACCACAGCTCAGTGCAGCCTCTGCCTCCCAGGCTCATGTGATCCTCACACCTCAGCCTCCTGAGTAGCTTGGATTACAGACACGCGCCACCACGCCTGGCTAATTTTTGTATTTTTGGCCAAGACAGGGTTTGCTCATGTAGCCCAGGCTGGTCTGGAACTCTTGAGCTCACGGGATCCACCTGCATTGGCCTCTCAAAGTGCTGGGATTACAGGCATGAGCCACCACGCCAAACCATGACATTCTTAGAGGAAGGAAAATCAAGAGAATTTGATGCTAGCAGACTTATCCTAAAACAAGAGCTAAAGGAAATGCACTGGAATAGAAATGATAATGGAAGAAATCCTGGACGATCAGGAAAAAAATAAACAATAGAATGATTGAAAATATGGGTTGAGACAACAGACTTTTCCTCAGTTTTGTAAATTAATTTGATGGTTGAGGCAAAAATCACAACATTGTCAGATGTGGTTTTTGATGCAAGTATAGAAAATAAAAAATGTGTATTATAAATGCAGGAATGGAAAGGGATACAAAGGAAGTAAAGTTTCTACACTTTAGTCAAATTGACAAAATGTCAGCACCAGTAGACTATGATAAGTTATGTTAATAGATAAATCACAAAAACTATATAATGAGATATGCCAAAAAAGATTGATTACAAAATGGAATTCTAAAAATTGCTTAAGGAACACATCAAAAAACAGGAAAAGCAAACAGAGAAGCTAAAACCAAAGGAAACAAAAAAGAATACAAAAAGCAGATGGCAGTCATAAGAACTCACATATTAATAATTGCATTACATGTAAATTGTCTGAAAAGACAAACGTCAGAGTGAAAAATAATGAACCACAGATATACTACCTACTGTGTCCAGAGTTTGTTCCTTCCAGTGGGTTCGTGGTCTCACTGACTTCAACAATGGGGTTTGTGGTCTCACTGACTTCAAGAATGAAGTCGCGGACCTTCATAGTGAGCGTTATAGCTCTTAAAGTTGGCACAGACCCAAAGAGTGAGCAGCAGCAAGATTTACTGTGAAGAGCAAAAGAACAAAGCTTCCACAGTGCAGGAAGGGACCGGAGCAGCTTTCTGCTGCTGGCTGGGGTGGCCAGCTTGTATTCCCTTACTTGCCCCCACCCATGTCCTGCCGATTGGTCCATTTTACAGAGTACTGACTGGTCCATTTTACAGAGTGCTGACTGGTCCATTTTACAGAGTGCTGACTGGTCCATTTTATAAACTTCTAGCAAGCCACAGAGCACTGATTGGTGTGTTTTTACAGAGCACTGATTGGTGCATTTTACAAACCTCTAGCTAGCCACAGAAAAGTTCTTCAAGTCCCCACCCAACCCAGAAGTCCAACTGGCTTCACTTCTCACTACTAGAAACTTACTGCAAATATTACAAGAGTGGAAGGTTGAAATAGAAGAACGGAAAAAAATAAACCATACATTTGTCAAAGAAAGCAGAAATGGCTATAATATCAGATAACATAAAATACACAGAGCAATGAATATTCTAAGAGATAAACAGAAACACTAAAGATAAAAACGTTAATTCAGAACGAAGACATAGCAACTCGAAATGTGTATGCATCAGAAAACTGAGTTACAAATAAGTAGAGCAAAAATGGTCAGAACTGGAAGGAGAAATAGACAAATACACAATTAAACTTTGAGACTTCACAAACCATCTCTGAAATATTAATAAAACAACTGTACAAAAACTCAGCCAGATAATGAAACCCAACAAAACTATCCACCAATAAGATCTAATAGACATTTACAGACCACCACACCAAACAGAAGAATACACATTTTTAACTGTCCATGGAATATTTACCAATGTAGATCAAACCCTGGACCATAATAAAAACCTCAACAAATGTGAAAGAATTGAAATCATACAGACTGTGTTCTCTGGAAGCAATGGAGTTGAACCAGAAATCAATAACGTGAAGAAAATCGGTACAACTCCAAACACATGGAAACTAAATAACATACTTTTAAATTACCTGTGGATCAAAAAAGATGTCTTAAGGAAAATAAAAAATGTATTCAACTAAGTGAAAATGAAAATATAACATATCAAAATCTTTGGTCATTAGCTAAAGCAGTGCTTTGAAAAACTATTTATAGTACAAAATGTACACACTGAAAAAGAGAAAAGGTCAGAAACCAATAATCTCAGTTCCCACCTCAAGAATCTAAAAAAGCAGTCCAAAATAACCTAAAGCAAGAAGGGAAAAAAAGAATATGAGGGTAGAACTCTGGGGCTCACACTTGTAATCCCAGCATTTTGAGAGGCCAAGGCAGGCGGATCACTTGAGATCGGGATTTCCAGACCAACCTGACCAACATAGGGAAACGCCTATGCCAATTCATTTTGACAAAGAATCATAATAATTCAATGGAGGTAATATAGTCTATAGTCTTTTCAAAATACGGTCCAGGAGAAAGTGGAAATCCATAGACAAAAACAAAACCAAACAAAATAAAAAAGGAAGCAGAGGAAAAAGATGCAAGAAAGAAACGTAACAAATTCTCACATCTCATGAAAACATTTACCCCCAATTAAATCATGTCTACACGTTAAAGGTTTCGAAAAACATATGAGAAAATCGTCAGGAGCTAGGGCCTGGTGTCTGAGTTCTGAGTTTGTAGACATGACACCAAAACTCTGTGTGTAAAAAACAAAAACGCAGGCCGGGCAAAAAATTAGCCGGGCATAGTAGCGGACACCTGTAGTCCCATCTACATGGGAGGCTGAGGCAGGAGAATGGCATGAACCCGGGAGGTGGAGCTTGCAGTGAGCCAAGATTGTGCCACTGCATTCCAGCCTGGGCTACAGAGCAAGACTGTCTTGGAAAAAAACAAAAACAAAAACAAAAAAACACACAAATACAAAAAACAAACAAAATCAATAGATGGGGCTTTATCAAAATTTAAAACTGTTTTTCTGTAAGGTATCCTGCTAAGAAATGAAAAGTAAGCTAAAGACATGGAGAAAATATTTAAAACCACATATATTACCAAAAATACATTATCTAGAATATATAATCAACTATAAAAGCTTTACTATAAAATCTATAGAGTGCAGACTATGAAATTTAATTACAAAATGGGCAAAAGATATGAAGACACATTTTATCACAGAAGATATGTGTATATGGCAAATAAGCACAATGAATGACATGCAAATCACTAGCCATCAGGGAAATGCAAATTAAGAACTTGATGTAATAGCACTACACACCTCTTTTTTTTTTTTTTTTTTTTTTTTTTTTTTTAAGACAGAGTCTCCCTCTGTCGCCCAGGCTGGAGTGCAGTAGCGTGATCTCGGCCCACTGCAAGCTCCGCCTCCTGGGTTCATGCCATTCTCCTGCCTCAGCCTCAGGAATAGCTCAGACTACAGGTGCCCGTCACCACGCCCAGCTAATTTTTTGTATTGTTAATAGAGACGGGGTTTCACCATGTTAGCCAGGATGGTCTCCATCTCCTGACCTCATGATCCGCTTGCCTTGGCCTCCCAAAGTGCTGGGATTAAGGCGTGAGCCACCGCCCCTGGCCCCCCACACCTCTTAATACAGCTAAATTTTTTTAAAAAACAATGGTAAATGCTAGTGAGAATGCAGAAAAACTGGATTTCACGCACATTGATAGTGAGAATGTAAAATGGCACAGTCTTTCTAGAAAATAGTTTGGCAGTGTCTTGAAGAACTAGACATATATTTGCCATATGAGCCAAGAATTACATTCTGGGACATTTATATCAGAGAAATAAAAACACATGTTCACACAAAAATCTTGTGCAAATGTTCACATTCACAACAGCTTTATTTGTAATAGCCCCCAAACTAGAAACAGCCAAAATGTCCCTCAAAAGGCAAATAGTTAAACTTCAGTGGCTCCATCTAATGAAGTATTCCTTAGCAATAAAAAAGAGCAAATTGTTGATACATGCAACAACTTGGATGGATCTCAAGGACATTATGCTGAAGGGAAAATGCCAGTCACAAAAACCACATACTGTGTGATTCTATTTATGTAACATTTTCAAAATGACACTATTCTAGAGATTGGTGGAGAACAGATTAGTGGTTGTCAGTTGTCAGGGTGACAGTGTGTAAGGAGTAGGGCATGACTCTAAAGGGCAGCATGGTGGGAGATCTCTGTGGGATGGAATAGCTCTCCATTGGATTGTGTGGTGGTTACATAAATCTGCAAATATGATAAGACACAGGCATAGAACAATGGACACATATTATACCAAAGTCAGTTTCCTGGTTTTGCTACTGTGCTAGTGTGTCTGGAATTGGTTCCTTCCGGTGGGTTCTTGGTCTCGCTGACTTCAAGAATGAAGCCACAGACCCTTGCAGTGAGTGTTACAGTTCTTAAAGATGGTGTGTCCGGAGTTTGTTCCTTCCCCATGTTCAGATGTGTCCAGAGTTTCTTCCTTCTGGTGGGTTCGTGGTCTCGCCGACTTCAGGAGTGAAGCTGCAGACCTTCGCAGTGAGTGTTACAGCTCTTAAAGGTGGTGTGTCCAGAGCTGTTTGTTCCTCCTGGTGGGTTCATGGTCTCACTGACTTCAAGAATGAAGCCGCAGACTCTTGCGGTGAGTGTTACAGCTCATAAAGGTAGTGCGGACCCAAAGAGTGAGCAGCAGCAAGATTTATTGTGAAGAGCAAAAGAACAAAGCTTCCACAGCATGGAAGGGGACCGGAGTGGGTTGCCGCTGCTGGCTGGGGTGGCCAGTTTTTATTTCCTCATTTGGCCTCACCCACGTCCTGCTGATTGGTCCATTTTACAGAGTGCTGATTGGTCCATTTTTACAGAGTGCTGATTGGTGTGTTTACAAACCTTTAGCTAGACACAGAGCACTGATTGGTGCATTTTTACAGAGTGCTGATTGGTGCATGTACAAACATTTAGCTAGACACAGAGCACTGATTGGTGCATTTTTACAGAGTGCTGATTGGTGAGTCTGGGTGCCTAAAGAAGGGAATAAAAGTTGGCCACCTGAGTCAGCAGTGGCAACCCGCTTGGGTCCCCTTCCATGCTGTGGAAGCTTTGTTCTTTTGCTCTTCACAATAAATCTTGCTGCTGCTCACTCTTTGGGTCCACACTACTTTTATGAGCTGTAAAACTCACCACGAAGGTCTACAGCTTCATTCCTGAAGTCAGTGAGATCACGTACCCACCAGGAGGAACAAACAACTCTGGACGCTCCACCTTCAAGAGCTGTAACACTCACTGCAAAGGTCTGTGGCTTCACTCCTGAAGTCAGCAAGACCACGAACCCACCAGAAGGAAGAAACTCTGGACATATCTGAACAGTGGGAAGGAACAAACTCCGGACACACCGCGAGGGTCCATGGCCTCATTTTTGAAGTCAGCAAGACCAAGAACCCACCAGAAGGAACCAATTCTGGATACATTTTGGCAACCATGAAAGGACACATTTGGTGACCCAGATGGGACCATCGATTATCACCAAGTGGTGAGTACCATCAGACCCCTCTTGCTTGGTTTTCTGTGCTATTTTTCCTTGGAATTCGGGGGCTAAATACCAGGCACCTGTCAGCCAGTTAAAAGCAACGAGTGTGGCTGCTGGACTAAAGACACCGGTGACAGGCTTTCTGGGAAAGGGCTCTGTAACAACCCCCAACTCTTCGGAGTTGGGAGCGTTGGTTTGCCTGGAACCAGCTTCTGCTTTTACTGTACTTCCTGACTGAGCTGAGGGTTGACAGGGAGGAAAGCCATTCAGCTCCGGGGTTCCCGACAAAAAGTTGGTTGACCCTGCGGCCATGAGCGGAGCTCTCAAAGTCATGTCACCCAAGCAAGACTCGCCCATGTATCCTATCTATCCTGACCCTTGTCTCCTGGGTCCTAACGCCTGTCCAACAAACTTCCTCTTGCCTCTCTTCTCCGAGGCTAGTCTTGCTTCTAAAAACCACTCCCTGTCTCTGGTGCTTTTCTAGTTTCTCCTATAGGAATGATTTCTAGTATAAACTCCAGGACTCTATTCCCTTCTTTAGGCACCCGGACTCACCAATCAGAAAGATGTAATTTTTGCCCAAAGCCCCGTCAAGGAGGGGACTCTCTGGAATTTTAGGATCCCTCCTCAGACTAGCAGACCTAACAAAAGCTATTCCTGAAGCTAGGATATGGGGAACTTCAGAAATAGTATCTTTCCTATTCATATAATTGAGGACAAAAGGCATCACTCATCCAACTCTGGAGATCCTTTCCCTCCCTCAGGGTATGGCCCTCCATTTCATTTTTGGGGCATAACATCTTTATAGGACAGTGGTAAGATCCCAATACTAACGGGAGAATGCTTAGGACTCTAGCAGGTTTTCGAGAATGCGTCAGAAAGGGCCACTAAATCCGACCTTCCTCAGTCCTCCTTGTGGTCTAGGAGGAAAACTAGTGTTTCTGCTGCTGCATTGGTGAGCACAACTATTCTGATCAGCAGGGTCCAGGGACAATTTTGGGTTCTTGGGCAAGAGGTGTTTCTGCTGCTGTGTTGGTGAGCACAACTATTCCAATCAGCAAGGTCCAGGGACTGTTGCAGGTTCTTGGGGAGGGGGAGAAACAAACAAACCAAAACCGCGGGTGGTTTTGTCTTTCAGATGGGAAACACTCAGGCATCAACAGGCTCACCCTTGAAATACATCCTAAGCCATTAGACCAATTTGACCTTCAAACCCTGAAAAAGAGGTGGCTCATTTTTTTCTGCACTATGGCTTGGCCCCAATGTTCTCTCTCTGATGGGGAAAAATGGCCACCTGAGGGAAGTATAAATTACAATACTATCCTGCAGCTTGACATTTTCTGTAAGAGGGAAGGTAAATTGAGTGAAATACCTTATGTCCAACCTTTCTTTTCATTGAAGGAAAATACACAACTATGCAAAGATTGCAATTTACATCCCACAGAGGACCTCTCAGCTTACCACCATATCCTAGCCTCCCTATAGCTCACCTTCCTATTAATAAGCTTTTTCCAATCTCCCCCACCCATAAGGAAACAAGCAAATAAATCTCCAAGGGACCACAAAACCTCCCTGACTATCAGTTATGTCCCCTTCAAGCTTTAGGGGGAGGGGAATTTGGCCCAACCCAGGTACATGTTCCCTTCTCCCTCTCTGATTTAAAGCAGATCAAGGCAGACCCAGGGAAGTTTTCAGATGATCCTGATAGGTACATAGATGTCCTACAGGGTCTAGGGCAAACCCTCGATCTCACTTGGAGAAATGTCATGCTATTGTTAGATCAAACCATGGCATTTAATGAAAAGAATGTGGCTTTAGCTGCAGCCCTAGAGTTTGGAGATACCTGGTATCTTAGTCAAGTAAATGACAGAATGACAGCTGAAGAAATGGACAAATTCCCTACTGGTCAGCAAGCCTTCCCCAGTATGGATCCCCACTGGGATCTAGACTCAGATCATGAGGACTGGAATTGTAAACATCCATTGACCTGTGTTCTAGAAGGACTAAGGAGAATTAGGAAAAAGCCCATGAATTATTCAATGATGTCCACCATAACTCAAGGAAAGGAAGAAAATCCTTCTGCCTTCTTCAAATGGCTATGGCAGGCCTTAAGAAAATATACTTTCCTGCCACTCGGCTCACTAGAGGGTCACTTGATCCTAAAAGATAAGTTTATTACCCAATCAGCCACAGATATCAGAAGAAAGCCCCGAAAGCGAGCCCTGGGCCCTGAACAAAATCTGGAGGCATTATTAAACCTGGCAACCTCGGTGTTCTATAATAGGGATCAAGAGGAACAGGCCCAAAAGGAATGGCGAGATCAGAGAAAGGCCTCAGCCTTAGTCATGGCCCTCAGACAAATACACCTTGGTGGTTCAGAAAGGACAGAAAATGGAGCACGCCAGTCACCCAGTAGGGCTTGTTATCAGTGTGGTTTACAAGGACACTTTAAAAAAGATTGTCCAATGAGAAACAAGCTGCCCCCTCACCCATGTCCACTATGCCGAGGCAATCACTGGAAGGCGCACTGCCCCAGAGGACAAAGGTTCTCTGGACCAGAAGCTCCCAACCAGATGATCCAACAACAGGACTGAGGGTGCCCGGGGCAAGCGCCAGCTCATTTCCTCACCCTCACTGAGCCCAGGGTACGTTTAACCATTGAGGGCCAGGAAATTGACTTCCTCCTGGACGCCGGCATGGCTTTCTCAGTGTTAATCTCCGGTCCCGGACAGCTGTCCCCAAGGTCTGTTACCATCCAAAGAATCCCGGGACAGCCTGTAACCAGGTATTTCTCCCACTTCCTCAGCTGTAATTGGGAGACTTTGCTCTTTTCACATGCCTTTCTTGTTATGCCTGAAAGTCCCATACCTTTTTTAGGGAGGGACGTATTAGCCAAAGCTGGAGACATTATCTACATAAATATGGGGAAAAAGTTATCCATTTGTTGTTCCCTGATTGAGGAGGGAATCAACTCTGAAGTCTGGGCATTGGAAGGAACGAACTCAAGCTCCAGCCTTAAGCCTTCCCACAGGAAAAGGCTTCTGAAATCAGACAATGCCTTTCAAACTCTTATACCAACCTCTGGAGTTGGGCAACATGGCTTCTCCCCTTTCTAGGTCCCGTGGCAGCCATCTTGCTATTACTCGCCTTCGGGCCCTGTATTTTTAACCTCCTTGTCAAATTTGTTTCCTCTAGAATCGAGGCCATCAAGCTACAGATGGTCTTACAAATAGAACCCAAAATGAGCTCAACTAACAACTTCTACCAAGGACCCCACCTGACCCAGAAGCCCAGCCGGCTTCACCTCTCACTAGAGCTACTTAAAATATAAACATTTGGAAAATCTGGGTGAAAGGGCACACATATGTTCTCTGTTCTGTCTTTGCAATTTCTTGTGACTCTATAATGATTTCAAAGTAAAACGTTTTTAAAAAGCATTTTTTATTTTCTGGCTGAAATCCAAAACCCTCACAGAACCAAATGCTGGCAAGGATTTAGAAAAACAAGGACTCTGATTCATTGCTGGCGGGAATGCAAAACAGTACAGTCACTTTGAAAGGCTCTCTGGCTGTTTGTTACAAAGCTCAACATACTCTTACTATACAATCCAGCAATGGCACCTCTGAGCAAATGAGTGGAAAACTTATATCCACACAAATACCCATACATGAATGTTTATAGCAGTTTTATTCATAATTGCCAAAAACTTGAAGCCCCCAAGATGTCCACAATAGGTGAATTGATAAAGAAATTGTGATATATCCATACCATGGGGTATTGTTCAACAGTAAAGAGAAATAAGCTATTAAGCTATGAAGACACATGGAACAAACTTATAGGCATATTGCTAAGTGGAAGGAGCCAGGCTGAAAAGCTCTATACTGTAAAAGCACAACTATATGACACTGTGGAAAAGGCAAAAATACAGAGAGTAAATAGACCAGGGTTTCAGGAGGAGCAGAGATGGGTGAATAGGTTGAGCCTCAGGCATAGTTAGGGAAATTACTTTGTATGATGCTTTTGTTACTGAAATACCATGGATTTGTCTAGCTCCTTTTGAGATGGAGTCTTGCACTTTTGCCAGGCTGGAGTGCAGTGCCATGATCTCAGCTCACTGCAACATCCACCTCCCCCATTCAAGCAATTCTCCTGCCTCAGCTTCCCAAGTAGCTGGGATTACAGGCGCACACTGCCACCCCCGGATAATTTTTATATTTTTAGTAGAGATGGGGTTTCACCACATTGGCCTGGATGGTCTCAATCTCTTGACCTCGTGATCTGCCCGACTTGGCATCTCAAAGTGTTGGGATTACAGGAGTGAGCCACCATGCCTGGAAGACACTCTAGCTGTTTCTTACAAAGCTAAACATACTCTGCCATAAGATTCAGCAATTTCAATCCTGAGTATTACCCAAATGAGTGGAAAATTCTGTCCATACAAACAAGTGTATACGAATGTTTATAGAAGCTTTATTCATAATTGCCAAAAATTCAAAGCAACCAAAATGTCCTCCAGTAAGTGAGTGGGTGAACAAATTGTGGTATATCTATATCATGGGTTATCATTTAAAATTAAAGAGAAATAAGCTATCAAGCTATGAACAGACATGGAGAAAACCTATATGCATATTGTTAAGTGAAAGAAGCCAGCTAAAAAAAAACTATATCCCATATGATTACAACTATATAACATTCTGGAAAAGGCAAAAATACATACAGTAAATAGTGGTTTCCAGGGGTTCAGGAGGAAGAAGAATAGATGAATAGGTGGAGCCTGGGACAATTTTAGGTCAGCAAAACTACTTTGTAGGATACTTTTGTTACTGAAACACCAGGGGTTCAGTCTAGGTCTTGCACACAAGGGCTTTGGTCTGGATCTTGCTGCTCACCACACACAAAGCCAACCACTGAGATGACAATGAGCACTGCCAAAGAAGAAGGCTTTAATCTTTAATCAGGTGCTGCAGCTGAGGAGATGGGAGACCAGTGTCAAATCCATCTCTGTGACTGACTACAATTAGGAGTTTATCTAGCAGGGAAGAAATGTAACTATGTATGGGAAAACAGGAACTAGAGAGGGGTAAGGGAACAATCATGATGAATGGGGAACCTGGAGTCTCATTGTTTGGATGAGACGATCTGGTGAGTTCCAGTTCTTTGATACTTTTTAAGAGGCCTGGGGAATCTTTTTTTGCAAAGAAACTCAGATGAGACAAATATAAGTTTAAATTTAAGATCAGAAGTGTCCATTTAAATGCAGATTTAAAAGAAAAACTGTCTATGGGACTCGGGTCAGTTTGACTTTAATGGTGAATATATGATGTTATGTATTGATCAAAACCCATAGAACTGTATAATATGAATGAACCCTAATTCAACTATGGACCTCAGTTAACGTAAGTATCAGTATTGGTTCATCATTTGTAACAAGTGTACCACACTGATGCAGGATGTTAGTAATAGGAGAAACTGAGCAGAGGGCTGTTTTAGGAAAGAAGGGATGTGGGAACTACCTGAAATTTCTCCACAATTTTTCTTTACACCTAAAACTACTTTAAAAAATGGTTTTGTTACGTGGAATGATATGGATTTATTTTTGCTTTTTTATTCCATATTTGTCTGCATTTACTGCATTCTATATTGCTCATCTACTTATCTTATATTGAAATTATAGATATGTTACAAAATATGTACGCCTATTCTATCTGTAATATTCTCAAAATTCTGCTTGGATTCTATAAACCATAGGTAGAGAAACTTGTTATTTATTAGTAAGTGTTACAAGGTTGTGCCTCCTTGGTGTGTGATTGTTTTATTTTATAAAATTCGGCTGTAGAAATTTTGATGAAAACAATGGAAAGTTTAGTTTTTGCAATATTTTATGATCACCAAACATGGTACCTAATTACTTTGCTTACATTTTTCCTTTAATTCTGATAATAATTCAATGTAGTAAAAATTAACAGCAGTATTTTTATGAGGAATCTGAGGCTAAGATAAGTAGGATACAAGTGAAAACATACCTAGTACATGATACAGCCCAGATGAAATCCAAATCTAACTCAATATTTATTTGCAGTCTATCACACTGTCATTGATAATTCACCTTTATGGTTTGTGGTAGGTTCTAGTAACCATTTTAGAAATAAGTATCATCATACTTTTATAGACAAATGAGCAATAGCTCACTGTTTTTCTAATATTTTCTTCTCACCTTAATGACGTGTCCTGCCACTGCTCCCATTACTCAGTTTTTCCACCCAAATACACATGTCCAAATATATAATGGTTTCAGTAATAAGTCAGACTGTTCTCCTGGTAATAAAACAGGCATCCAAGGCTTTTTCTAAAGGAACAGGCAATGTCAATCTGCAGTGTCTAATCTCATTCCTCTTGAAGTCTAGAATGAGCAATGCTGATATGTAAATCTTGTAATATTTGTGGGTCTTCTTCTCATTCTGCTCCAGTCTACCCTCTATCTCCTCCTCTCCATCTGTCTCACCCATTCTCAGAGGCCAAATCCCGGGGTTTCAGATTCACTCTACTGAAGATACAGACATGTCATTGACCTGCAGGCTCAAGAACCAAAAACTGTTGCTGAACCAATCGCCCAGCAGAGATCTCCCAACAAACAAACCCTACTTTAGCGTTGTCCTGCTGAGGACTAGACCACAGCAATAGAATTGCCTGCACATGCTCAGAAAGAGACCAACCCAATGAGCCTGGATATTTCTGATTAATTCTGTTTCTAAGAAGTGTACAAATCTTCCATTCTTGTCTAACTTGGAAGAAAGAATTCAGCCAAGAGATGCATAGCAACGGTTGAGTAGCAGAGTTTATTGAAGCAAGATAAAGTACATTCCTAGAGAGGAGTGGAAAACAGCTCTGGGATGTTCCAGCTGGAAAAATAGTAGTAGCCGTGTTTATTTAAAGAGACAGTACGCTCTGAAAGAGGAGACAGTGTAAGCTGCTCAAAAGGAGGAGCCAGCAGCAGTCAGTGCTGAAGGAGTCTCTTTATGAGAATCTCACATGATTATTCATGAAGGGGCCTGAGGGGGTGTTACTTGCAAACATGTTTCAGGAAGACTCTTTGGGTGCGCATGCTCTGTCTTGTACTTGCTACTGCACATGTTGCATGCCTCAGTATTAAAAATCTCCACCCAGAGCTGTGTTTTTTACTATTATAGTGAGCAAAAGGCTATTCTAGGTAAGTTATTGGAGGAATGCACCATTTCATCAGTGGAGAAAGTCCCTGCCATGGCTGTTTGTGGCTAAGGCCTGTTAAGTCCCCTCCAGGGCCAGAGGAGCCCAACCACAAGGCCAGATGTAGCCAGTGTAAGCCATTGTCCTTTTTACTACTAGTGTGCAGTGCTGATTATCAGTGGGCAGTGACTCCAGGACTTCTTTTCCCAGGGACTCCCTTGCCTGCTCATTTCTGGCTCTCTGCCTACTCTTAACAATTCCAGAGCTTATATGATACATTCGACATTCAGACAATTCAGGATGAAGGGATCACATAAATCCTCTAGCTCCCTTCACTGCAAATAACCAGTTCAAACACCAGAAAATTCATCCAGGAACCATCAAAATAGTATAGTATTTCGGAAGAATTACTATTTGAAGAAACTTGAAGCAATAAGTAAATGAAAAACGTCCCCATAGAATGTTCAGAAAATTGCACAGTAGAGAAAGAATTCTATGTGGTATATTCCAGAAGCATTTCATGGAGATAATAAAATCATGGGAACAAGTTTTGAAAATGCCCCCATTAACACTATTTCAGTATGTTATTGATAAATAATTACTTTTGTTTGCTGCCTGTAATAGTTCATTCTTACATTGCCATCAGAAAATACCTGAGACTGGGTAATTTATAAAGAAAAAGGGGCCAGGCGTGGTGGCTCACACCTGTAATCCCAGCACTTTGGGAGGCCGAGGTGGGCAGATCACAAGGTCAAGAGATCGAGACCATCCTGGCCAACAAGGTGAAACCCCATCTCTACTAAAAATACAAAAAAAAAAAAAAATTAGCTGGGCGTGGTGGTGCTCATCTGTAGTCCTAGCTACTTGGGAGGCTGAGGCAGGACAGTCGCTTGAACCCACGAGGCAGAGGTTGCAGTGAGCTGAGATCATGCCATCACACTCCAGCCTGGCGACAGATCAAGACTCCATCTCAAAGAAAAAAAATTTCCTTTTTTTTTCTTTTTTTGAGATGGAATCTCGATCTGTCACCAGGCTGGAGTGCAGTGTTGCGAACTTAGCTCAATGCAACCTCTGCCTCCTGGGTTCAAGTGAGTGTCCTGCCTCAGCCTCCCAAGTAACTGGGACTACAGGCGCATGCCACAATGCCTGGTTAATTTTTTTTTTTTTTGAGACTAAGTTTCACTCTTGTTGCCCAGCCTGGAGTGCAATGGCGCAATCTCGGCTCACTGCAACGTTCGCCTCCCTGGTTCAAGCAATTCTCCTGCCTCAGCCTCCCGAGTAGCTGGGAATACAGGCATGCGCCACCATGCCCGGCTGATTTTTGTATTTTTTTAGTAGAGACAGGATTTCTCCATGCTGGTCAGGCTGGTCTCGAACTCCCAACCTCAGGTTATCTGCCCACCTTGGCCTCCCAAAGTGCTGGGATTACAGGTGTGAGCCACCACACCCAGCCCCAGCTAATTTTTGTATTTTTAGTAGAGACAGGGTTTCACCGTGTTAGCCAGGAGGGTCTTGATCCCCTGACCTCCTAATCCACCCGCCTAGGTCTCCCAAAGTGCTAGGATTACAGGCATGAGCCACTGTGTCTGGCAGGAAAAAGGTTTAATTGACTCACAGTTCTGTATGGATAAGAAGGCCTCAGGAAACTTACAATCATGGCGGAAGAGGAAGGGGGCCATCTTATACAGTAGCAGGCGAGAGAGAATGTACCCATAGGAGGAACTGTCAAACACTTATAAAAACCATCAGATCTCGTGATAACTCACTCACTATCACAAGAACAGCATGGGGGAAACGGCCCCCATGATCTAATCACCTCCCACCAGGTCCCACACTGGACATGTGGAGATTATGGGGCTTACAGTTTAAGATGAGATTTGGTGGGGGAAACAGAGCCAGGCTAACCATGTCACTGTTACGGGATCATTGGGGTGTTGCTTTTCTTCCCAGAATCCTGTGGCTGGTAATGCCTTTGCCTGAGTTTTACTCGGGCCAGCTGGGCTCATTCCACCCACATTGCCTGGCATGCAGTGCTCAGCTCACACTACCGGCCTGGATCCCACACCTGCCAAGGGTGAATCAGGTGTCGAGGGATGTGTGAGCAACTGAGCATGGGGTCCAGCCACTGTGCAAAGCCAGGCAGGTTGTCTGTGCAGGGCAGGCAGCTCTAGGTGCTGCCATGGGTGTCAGCTCCCTGTGAGGCTGCAGCTAGACCAGGCACACCACAAGCAGCTTCCACAGCTGGCACTGGGGAACAACGTGGCACCTGGAAGCTTGGAGACCCCAGGAATCACAGGCCCCAAAAAGTGAGTCACAGCCCTGGCTCAGTGAGCTCCCAGGTTTGGGCTCCCTGAAGAGCCACAGCTCTTCCCTCCTTCTCTTTGCTCACGACATGGTGAGCAAGGGGCATGTTTCAGCCGTGTTTGTGTCACAGCTTTTTTAGCCTCACCATTTGGCAGATCCCCAGTTCTTGTCCTGAGTCCAATAAGAATGAGGTATGCAGACAAGTGGAGGGTGAACAGGACAAAGAGGAGCTTTATTAAGCCATAGAACAGCTCAGAGACCTGCAGTGGGCAGCTTCTCTCCATAGCCAGGTTGTCCTGACACCTGTTCAGCTCTCAGCAGAGAGGGTAGCTCCTCTCTGCAGCTGAACATCCTATTCTCTCCTCAGTTCTCAGCAGAGAGGAGACCCTGGGGAGGGCAACTCCTCTCTGCAGCAGTTCATCCCTCATCTCCCTGTCCTCTCTCCATCCTCTGCTCAAGTCGGCCTGAGCCCAGGGCTTTTACGGACCTCAGAGGGGAGGAAGTGCACATCATGGGCGGCCATGGGGCAGGCCCAGAAAAGGCACAAGTTCCCACTGCTGTCAGCAGGACTGGCAGCCCAGCCTGGTGAGCAGGGCCTCACCAGAGACCTGCCTCTTTCTTCCCAGGAAGCTGTTTGCCTCCCACTGCTATCCATGGTGACCAGGCTGCTCATGCCAAGGGGCACCTGTAGGCCACACCAGTTTCCCTCAGCCCATCTTCCCTCAGCTTCCCCCGGCTTCCCCATGGCTGAGGTGGCAAGAGATTGATATGTCAATGCTGCCCTGAGTGTGCGCACACCTGACCAGGCTGTGACAGCAACGGGACTGGGCCCGACTCCACTTTGAGATCAGAGCGGGAGCTGGGAGAGACCAGGGGAGAGGCCAGGCAGTGGGAGCAGACACCCCGGAACCTGCAGGGACACGGAGTCCTTCTCGGCCTTGAGGGCGTGGAGCGCAGAGAGGCCTGGATCCTGCTGTGGGAGGGTGGGTCTCCCACCCAATCCGTGGAGCCGGCAGGTAGCCCCTGTCACACCTCGCAGCCTGGGGTGGGCAGCTCCACTCACTGGGCCCAGGCCGGCATCTGGGGCAAAGGTGATGTCTCTGCAAGATCTTCTCTTAGAACTCAGGGGTGCCCAGGGATCTCCCTCGCCTGGATAAGGTCGGGGAGGCATCTTGGGGAGCAGATCTCAGCAGGGCTTGGCCATGGGGAACATCAGGCTCGGTGGCCACCCCCGAGGGCACAACCCTGGGCGGCCTCAGACAGAGCCTCCTCCTGAGACCCAGGAACAGTGCTCCCTCGGCAGGGTGGGACAGTGGCCTTGCCGCTGGATGGGTCCCCAAAGTGGGGCAACTCCCACTTCTCACCCCAGGCCCCTGAGGCATGGCCCCAGCTTCATGCCCTCCCCACAGCTATAGGATGAGAGCAGGAATGCAGGACTGGTGGAGGCTCTGGGCCTGGGGGCAGGTCCTGCTGGCTGCTCAAGGGTTGGGGCAGCACAGTCAGCTGCCTAAGGGACACAAGGCACAGGGGACATGGGGCACAGGGGTCCCACCATGGCCACTGCTCCCACAGTCATTCCTGCCACCACCGCTTGCAACTTACCACTGCAACTAGCCACTCTGGACAGCTCGCCACTGCCATCATCACCACCCTTTTATCCTAAAATGCTAAGGTGAACCTTAGATGGCTTTCCTAGATTACCATCATCACCATTAGTTTCTTTTTTTCACAATTTCTTCTTTTCTTTTTTCTTTCTTTGTGTGTGTGTGTTTTTTTTTTTTTTTGACAGGATCTTCCTTGTTCATAATATTTAGTATTATTTCATGCTGATAAATCTGTAAGACTATAACAAAAGGTATGAAATTTGTGTCACTGGAGTCTTAGAGGGAAATGACAAATGGGTGATGCCCAAAGAGTGCTTGAAGGAAGACTGACTGCTTTCCAAATTTGGACAGAGGCTTAAATGTAAAAATTCAAGAATCTGTGCAAACCCAAATGAAAATAAATCCAAAGAAATTTATGCCAAAAAAAATCTCGGAAGCAACAAGAGAGAAAGGACATCTCATGCACAGGAGAAAATAAATTAAATGACAGTGGATTGCTCATTAGAAATCATGCAGACCAGACAGAAGTGGCACAAGATATTTTAACGGCTGAAAGGAATGTTAACCTAGAATGTATATCCAGTAAAAACATTATTATAAAATGTTCTATCATGACTTTTTTTTTCTTTTATTTTTCTTTTTTTGTTTGTTTTTCGTTTTTTAGATGGAGTTTTGATCCATCTTAAAAAAAAAAAACCCAGGCTGGAGTGCAGTGGCGCGACCACGGCTCACTGCAGCCTTTGCCTCCCAGGCTCGTGTGATCCTCACACCTCAGCCTCCTGAGTAGCTGGGGTTACAGACACACACCACCACGCCTGGCTAATTTTTTGTATTTTTGGCAGAGACAGGGTTTTGCCATGTTGCCCAGGCTTGTCTCGAATTCCTGAGCTCATGGGATCCGCCTGCCTTGGCCTTCCAAAGTGCTGGGATTACAGGCGTGAGCCACTGCACATGGCCATGACATACTTAGAGGAAGGAAAATCAAGAGAATTTCATGCTAGCAGACTTATGTTAAAACAAGGGCTAAAGGAAGTGCTTTAACTGGAATAGAAATGATAATGGAAGAAATCTTGGACAATTGGGAAAAAAGTAAACAGCAAATGAGTAAAAATATGGTTAGATACAACAGACTTCTTCAGTTTTGTAAATTAACTTGATGGTTGAGGCAAAAATTACAACACTGACAAGATGTGATTTTGATGCAAGTAGAGAAAATAAAACATATATATTACACATGCAGAAGTGGAAAGGATTATAAAGGAGGTAAAGTTTCCACACTTTAGTCAAATTGGTAAAATGTCAGCACCAGTAGACTATGATAAGTTATGTTAACAGACAGATAAATCACGAAAACTATACAATGAGATACACCAAAAAAAGATTGATTTAAAAATGGAATTCTAAAAATTGCTTAAGGAACACATTGGAAAATAGGAAAAGAAACCAGAGAAGAAAAAACCAAAGGAAACAAAAAAGAAAACAAAAAGCAGATGGCAGTCATAAGAGCTCACATATTAATAATTGCATTACATGTAAAGTGTGTAAAAAGACAAATGCCAGAGTGAAAAGCAATGACTCTTCGACATGCTCCCTATAAGAAACTTACTTCAAATATTACATGCCCATCTTCCCTTGGCTTCCCTGTGACTGAGGTGGCAAAAGCCTGGTGTGTCAACACTGCCCTGAACGTGCACACACCCAGCCAGTCTGTGACAGCACTGGGGCTTTGCCCCAACTCCACTCTGAGATCAGAGTGGGCACCTGGGACCCGGGTGAGGCCAAAGGAGAGGCCAGAAAGTGGGAACAGACACCCCCAAGCCTGCATGGACAGGAGGGCCTTCTCAGCCTTGAGGGAGTGGAGTGTAGAGAGGCCTGGATCGTGTTGCCTGTGGGGAGGGCCGGGAGGGTGGGGTTTCCAACCCATTCCATGGAGCCTGCAGGTATCCCCTGTCACACCTTCTGGCAGCCTGGGGTGGGCAGCTCCCCTCGCTGGGCGCAGGCCAGCATCTGGGGCAAGGGTGATGTCTCTGCAAGTTATTCTGCTAGCACTCAGGGTGCCCGGGGCTCCTTCTCGCCTGGATGGGGCGGGGGAGGCACCTTGGGGAACAGATCACAGCCCGGGCCTGGCTGTCAGGAGCATCAGGCTGGGTGGCCACCCGCGGGGACAAAACCCTGGACAGCCTCAAGCAGAGCCTCTTCCTGAGGCGCAGGAACTGGGCGCCCTTGGCAGGGCGGGTCCTCAAAGTGAGGCCACTCCCATGTCCCACCCCGGGTCACTGAAGGGTGGCCCCAGCTCCATGCTCTCCCCACGACTGCAAGGTGAGAGCAGCAACGCAGGAGTGAAGGCTCTGGGCCTGGGGGCAGTCCTGCTGGCTGTTCAAGAGTGGGGTCAGTGCAGTCAGCTGCCTCAGTGACGCGAGGCACAGGGGACATGGGGCACAAAGGTCCCACCACGGCCACTACTCCCTCAGTGGCTCCTGCCGCCACCGCTTGCAACTTCCCGCTGTAGCCGGCCACTCTGGACAGCTCGCCACTGCCAGCATCACCACCCTTTTATCCTGAAATACTAACGTGAACCTTAGCTGATTTCCTGGATTACTACTATCACAATTAGTTTCTTTTTTTCACAAATTTGTTTCTTTTTTCTTTTTCTTTTGCTTTTCCCCTTCTTTCTGAAGGAGTATGATCTAATGACTGAGCTTGAGAGGTATATAATTTGGCTCAATCTATAGTGTACCGTTTACTAGTGTATCTTGGCAAAATTTGTTTTATCTCCATCATTTTAGTCTCTCCACCTGTAAGCATGAAAACGGTGTTTATTTTACTGAGCTGATGTGAGAATTAAATAAAAATATGAAGCATAGAAAGTTTTTAGTACAATTCTGAGTACAAAGTCAAATGCTCATTTTTATCGCAGCATGGTGAGAATCCTGCTCCTGGAAACACTAAGGCACATAAGGAAGGAGTGCCTATCAGAACTGTGGTACAGTGTGAATTAATGCAGAGCTTTATATGTATAGCCGTACTTTGAAGTCCATTCTGAATCTTAGATGTCACATTTATATTAGTATAAAGCATAATAATTATCTAAATGTAGAATTATATGTTTAAAATTACATGATTACATCAGCTGATGTAATTCATAGTTTTTCCCTAGGGTTCTCTTTCCTGAACATTCTGTAACGTATTAGTTAGCACAGTCTTCTTATATCTTCCCTTATGATAAATCAAAAGAAGCATAATAGTAAAGGGCCATAACCTCAATCAAATGAGGAAATCCTAATGGGAACCAGGAATGAGGGATTGAACACTCTTCACATAAAATATTAATTATTTTACAGCAGTGTTGTTCTGTCAACAGCTGACTTTGAGTCCTTGATCAATCTCTCAGACCCCTGAATACTTCGATTGCACAGTTGACCTTATCACATTGTTAGGGTAAGTGCTATACAAAGGCACCTTCAGACCCTCCATTGCACATAGGTGGTCCCTGCAAGCCCCTTCCTGTGTGTGTTCTGGAGGTGCCACTAAACTTGGGGGCAGCATCAGGAGACACACTTGAAAACAATTTAATCTCAGATTAAATTATTAACAAACTTTCCATTTCCTTTAACTTATTAAAGACATCCCTACCTGGAAATAGGTACAGAATACCCTCTCCAGTTAACAGCTGTCATTCTGTCCTATCATCAGATACCCAGGGGCTGTTGCTACTTGAGGCGTCCACAGAATCACAGCATTTTCCAGTATTGAAAGACCTGAAAGATCGCAGTGCCTTCATTTCAACTGTGAGACATGAAGTAATTTTCCCAAATCTATGACATTAAGATATGGTGCAATAAGGACTAGATTACAGGTCTCCAGATTTACAACCATGTTCCCTCCATCTCCTTTACTCCTAAACACACTCACACACTCACTTCTGCAAACAGTTGTCTTGTCAAGTGGGAAATGAATGCTCTTACAAGTCTCAAACTTGTGAACACATCACTGACCAGCACAGAGCTGGCTCACAATAAGGACCCAGTTAAAGTGTTCTACATGCAACTGGATCAAACCTTCCAAGTACTAAATTAAAACAATCATTTAAAGGAGGAAATTGTTTCAGAAGCTGACCTTCATACTGCATCTCTGAGCAGCAACTGATGATGCTATTGAACTCAGATGCTGATTGGTTCTCCAACACGAGATTACCCAACCCAGGAGCAAAGAAATTAGTACCTTACTCCCTGTGTTGGGGATGTGAGTAGAGGGAGGTCATAGTTCTCCGTGAATGTGAGACTTGCCTGCTACCCTGGCACCTGGTCCTGTCCTGTTCTCCAGCATGGTGTGTCTGAGGCTCCCTGGAGGCTCCTGCATGGCAGCGCTGACAGTGACACTGATGGTGCTGAGCTCCCCACTGGCTTTGGCTGGGGACACCGGACCTAAGTGCACCCTGTGGTTGCTGAGCTACTATAAGGGGGTTAAAGTAGGGACCTAAATTTGTCACTGTGCCCAGGCCATGTCCCTTAAGAATTTGTGGTGTTTTCAACAGGGATTGCCCATCTTTATCACATGGATCCCAAATTACTTCCTCCACAAAAGGAGCTTGGCTACTTGCCCTCTCCATGAGACTTGTGTAAGGGGCCTCCATACAGGTCATTTCTTCTCAAATCTCTACCAATAAAACTTTGCATCACATGTCCTCAGGGTCTTTAGAGGATTTAGAAAAAGGATGCTAAAATAAATTCCCCATACAGCACTTCCCTTTATTATGTTGACTTAAGTCAGACAAAAGGAGGTTTTTTTCTCAAAATTTTGTGAGAGTCAAGGGAATTCAAAGGGTCTCTCCTAGATGATCCTGTGTTATGTCCTCCACAGGACATGTGGTATTGGCCCCTCTTCCTCATATGTGAAGATGTACCCAGTGGCCTCCCCATTATCTACTTTCTTTTCTTTCTGAAGTCCAGTCTTTATAAAGCCTGTATCCCTGTAGCTTACATAGGTTCTCTGACAAAAGTTATACTTAGTGCTCTTTCTTTCTTATGGGGAAAAATCCCTGGAGCTGAAGCCGAGATCTTTAGTACTTGGTATCACCCTACAGACAGAGAACATCTGTGGGGTGTTCTTTGGTGCCTAAAGAACTTAAGGCATCCTCTGAAAACCTGGCCCAGGATAGTGTTTATTATGAATCTCTTTTAACCTTTCTATACTAGCTTCTCCTACATCTCCTATATGCTCTAACTAGACTCCACAAGAAGAGATTCAATGAATGTAGGATAAATTATATGAAATTATATTTTTGTAAGTCAAAAATAGTGAAATATCAGAAATTTGCTAAGGTTCAAACTATATACTCTGAGTGGAGTTACCGAGACAATGTGGACATTGTTCACATCTCATAGGGCTGAAAGTCAATGAGCAAGTCTTGGAAACTCATTGTCCTACTTGGGTCTTGTCCTAAATTTTATAGGTTCACCCATCATACCCTCCGCTTTTCTTAATTAGCCATGTCCGCTTACCTCTTCCTCCAGTTTCTCTCTATTTTTCCCCAGCTATGTTGTCATTATTTCCCAAAATCCTTAAATCTTGCACAGACCTAGAGCACTATGAGGTTCATCACAAGAGATAATTTCTTCCTTTTTTGAGGCAGGGCCTGGCTCGCACCCAGGCTGTAGTGAAGTGGTGCGATAGAGGCTCACTGCAACCTCTGCCGCCAAAGCTCAAGTGATCCTCCCTCCTCAGCCTCCAGAGTAGCTGGGACTACAGGCAGGAAACCACACCCAGCTAATTATTGTAATTTTGGTAGAGACTGCATTTTGCTATATTGCCCAGGCTGGTCTTATACTCCTGGGCTCAAGCGATCCTCCTGCCTCCCAACATGCTAGGATTACAGATGAGAGCCAACATGCCCAGCCGGAAAGAGATGAATCTTAATTTAAAAAAAACAATTCCTTTTTCTTAAAATTACTCTTTCCTTGGCCAGGCTCAGTGGCTCATGCCTGTAATCCCAGCACTTTGGGATGCCGAAGTGGGCAGATCACGAGGCCACGAAATCGAGATCATCCTGGCCAACATGATGAAACCCGTCTTTACTAAAAATAAAAAAATTAGCTGGGCATGGTAGCACATGCCTGTAATCCCAGCTACTCGGGAGGCTGAGGCAGGAGAATCACTTGAACCCAGGGGGCGGAGGTTGCAGTGAGCCCAGATCACGCCACTGCACTGCAGCCTGGCGACAGAGCTAGACTCCATCCCAAAAATAAAAAAAAAAAAGAAAAAAATTAGTTTCCTTATCTGTTAATTCATCCAACTAGAAGGAGGAGAAAGAAGTAGTGTGCCTGTATTTCTCACAGGGAAGAGAAGGGGTCTAGTATGACATCAAAATGAAAGAGTGCTGGAGCTTGAGCCCCTTCTTGCTTTTCAGGATCCAAACAGTGATCAGTTCCCAGAACCCTGGTTTATTCATATAAACCACACTTATTTTTATCAGCAGCTACTGTGTACTGGCCTCCCTTCTAGGTTCAAATCATTCTATTTGAGTAAGATACAGTGGATTGGCCCCTACTCATGGAAATTACACAATCATAGAGGAGATAGACAATAACCCAATAATCATTTAACAAAGAAGAAAATTTCAGAGAGTCATTGTGCATGGAAGAAAAGACATCAGGTTTGTGGAAAGAGAGAATTGGATCCACCCAACTTTGGTTCATATGCTTAAGCAGCTCTACCTGAGAAAGTGACATTCAGCTGAGACAACAAAATAAGTAGACACTCGTGAGGATCTAAGGGACAAAATTTCCAGGGAGACAAAATGTGGGGGAAATCCTGGGGGGGAAATTATGTGCAGGGACAGAAAGAAGGCTAGAGGGGCTGACGTATAGGAAGCAAGAAAATGGAGAGGCAGAAGATGAGGTAGGATGCAGAGAGGAAGTCAGGAGCCTCATCATATTAGGCCCTGATGTTCATAGTAAGAAATTTTAATTTTATTTAAACAGATATGGGAAGCTACTGCATGGTTACAAGGAGAGTCCATTTATATTCAATTTTTAAAACTAATTCTAGTTACTTTGTGGGGATTGGATTGCTGGGGTTCACAAGTGGTCAGGAAGACTATTTAGGAGCACAGCAGGGAATCCTCAGGGAAAATAGGCTCATGGCTTCCTGGTGTGCATTAGTGACAAAGACAGTGAAAAAGATGAAGTGGACAGACTCGGCATGTAATTTGCTTAGCCTGTTAATGGATTACTGTAGAGGGGATAGAACAATCAAGCTTATTCCTAAGGATTTTGTCTTGACAAATAAGTGGATGGTGGTGGTGTTTATTGAGATAGGGAAAACTGTGGGAGGAGATTATTTGAAGTGGGTGGTTGGAAATGATTTATTGACATTTATGTGGAACAATCAGAAGGTCAAGGGAATTTAAGAGACTCACGGTGAGTTCAGGGCTGGAGGTGTTTCTGTTGACAGCATCAATACATGTACTCTGTTAAATTCCAGGGAGTGGAAGAGGATACATAGGGTAATAGCTTGTGTGTAGAAAAAAGAAGTCACAGGCCAGCAAAGGGGACTGAGAGGGAGCCCCAGGGATGTTGGAGAAAAACCAAGAGAACACAATGCATGTAAGTCAAGGAAAATAGATTTTTTTCAAGAAGGGAGAAGCCAATGAGTATCACAAAGTGGGTGAAGTGAGAATGTGAGAGAGAAGCAAGTGCTGGGTTTGCTGGAGTTGGTATTTGCAGTCAATGGAGTATCCAGGATGGAAAATGGAATGGACCATTTGAACAGCAAGTAGAAGTGAGGATGAGGTTAAGGTTGACTGTTCTGAGTAGAGAGATTCAGGGAAGGACTGCGCTCTGGGTTCAGGAAGCCAGCTGAATCTAAAGGAAAAGACTAAAAAGGCTGAAGAGAAGCAGGAGGATCTGTGAACCAGAGATGCTCAGTCATCATTGGCAAGGAAGTACGAGAGGGTCCCTGTGTGCAGTGGTGAATGTTCATGCAAAACATCACACAGCCAATATTTCACACAACCCATATTTATTAGTGACTTAGAATATGCCAGCTACTGCTCTAAGTCATGAGAATGGAGTGATGAATAAAATGAACCTGGTCTCCATCAGTACATGCCATATAACATTTTGCAGTGACTGTGTACCAGGCCTTTGATTTTCAGTATACAATTTCAATAATGATCCTATTGTATCTGTGGTGTTTAAAAACATATACATCTCTGGAATCTAAAATTGAGAAGATATAAGTAAAACCCAGTATCCCAAATGTAGTGCTAGAAATCAGATTGCAGTTTAAATCTGAGCATGTAGAAAGTCCCTTTCTCCTATGTCAGCAGATGCCTTTTGTGTGAGGTTTGTTTAGGTATACTGCATTATTAGACATAAGCTAGTGTTTCTGCCCTATGTTTTCAGAATGACAATTCTTTATGAAACTAATAGAAGAACAGAAAACAATTGCAAAATCATGATGAAGATACTAATTGCTTTAGAATCAAGGAATAAGGAAAATAATGTGAGCTGCAGTTAAAGGGATCATAAAAAATTAAAATGAAAATATTTTTGAGTGTTTATTATGTGGTCAGTGCTAAGAAGTCATTATTTAATTTTACACTTAAAAATAACCCTGTGAAGATGATGCTATTATTAAATGCATTTGATAGATTACAAAAAGGCTTTGGTTAGTAAAAATTGACCCAAGTAGAAGAGATTATGTTTCCATTCAGATTTTCTGATTCTAGAGATTGAGAGTCTGCCAATTATTAGTGAGTAGTGACCAAATTGTGTCTGAATTATTGACAGAATTCCTGATATTCATATGTATCAGGTTGTTTCTTGAAGTGGGAGCAGAGATGCAAGGGCTGCTAGTTCCAATGTATAGGAGAAACTTTCATTCATTTTGCATTTATCATTTTAAAAGTTCTATATGTCTCTCCTGGGCATGTGTTGAAGAACACAAGGAAGTATTAAATCACTCCTTGTTCTGAGGTTTGACTAGCAAGTTGGCCTGAGGTTGCCAAATAAAATACAGGTTCCTAGTTAAATCTGAATTTCAGATACACACCATAATTTATTGGAAATCCAAATTTAAGTGGGCATCCTCTGGTTTTATTTGCCAAACCTTTTGACCCTAACTGGGACACATGAGCATGGATTACAGTGCTAGTCATGCAAACCACAGTGACAGCGACTTCACACATGTTTATTTTTTAACTTTCTCTCTGTAAAGAAAGTGCTTAGATAATTTAAGAATAAAAAGACAGACATTTTTGATCCAGGGCATCGTTTCTAAAGGGCAAAGGGAGCTTTGCAAAGGTCATACTCAAAGTCTGGGGACCTGCTCATTTTTGCAAACTGCCTGTATGAGAATGTCATTTTCTTGGTTTCTCCCTTTCTGAGGGGAATTGACTACAAAACCGAGAGTTCTACCTCTGGCCAAGGCTGGAAATTTGATGCCTGTTAGTATTGTTGGGAGTGGGAGACTGAGAGAAATGAGTTAGTTGGGGCATTAAATGGGAATCAAATGGCTCTGGTTGTGATTCATTACTACAGATAATTAGTGGACCAGTGGCACAGAAATTAAGAAAGAAGATGCTATGAAAGATAAATGATATGATTTGATGACTGATTATAAAGGCAAGGAAATCAGTAAATCTTGGTTCTCCACAAGTTCATTTTCTGGAAACATAGCACTGTATTGGGACCAGAATTCTACAACATTTTCATTTTATGTAGGACCAAGATTTTCAACAGATGTTTTTCAAAGTAATTCTCAGCTGCTCCATAACTGATAGTGGCTTGTTCAACACAGATTTTTTCAGATGGTTCACACCCATGGTTCTTACCCAGGGATAGTTCACCACCCCCTCCCTTCCCTCCCATCACCCTTGGGGAACATGTGGCAATGTTTGGAGGAATTTTTGGTTGTCACAACAGGGATTTCTTCTGATATTTAATGAGTAGAAGCCAGGGACACTTCTAGAGAACCTGCAATGTACACAACAGCCTCCATCACCAACGAAGAATTACCTGGTCCAAAATGTCAACAGTGCTGAGGTTGAGAGCACTGGTTCACACTGTGCTCTTTCTGAAAAGTCTAGACTCACATCTTTTTGTTTTGTTTTGTTTTGTTTTGTTTTGTTTTGTTTTGTTTTGTTTTTTTGAGATGGAGTCTCACTCTGTCACCCAGGCTGGAGTGCAGTGGCACAATCTCGGCTCACTGCCAGCTCCGCCTCTGGGTTCATGCCATTCTCCTGCCTCAGCCTCCCGAGTAGCTGAGACTACAGGTGCCCGACACTGCACCTGGCTAATTTTTTGTATTTTTTTAGTAGAGACTGGTTTTCACCGTGTTAGCCAGGATGGTCTCGATCTTCTGACCTCGTGATCTGCCCGCCTCAGCCTCCCAAATTGCTGGGATTACAGGCGTGAGCCACCATGCCTGGCCTAGACTCACATCTTTTATACAATCACCACCCAATTCACTTCTTTATGGTTAATTTTTGCTTGTTTCATTATAAATAACTAGACAGTTGCATAAATTCAACCACTTTCTTGTTGAATCCATTCAGTGTAGAGAGCCGGAGGCTGGAGAATCATGACCAATTCAGAATTTCCACTGAGGCAATATGATCAAACAGCAAACTGTTTATCATGAATACAGAGCAGGGGCAAACTCTCCTCTGTGCTGGCCACCAGAAGGTTTGCTGAGGGCAATCACTCCCTGGTGCAGAGCTCCTTCAGGTTATCTACTGGGACATCTAGAATCTATTGTTCAAGGAATGTAGTCTTGCAAGGCTGCTCTGGAGCAAGCAGCAGACCGACAACGACCCCCTCCTTGCTATCTCTTCTCAGTAAATACGAAGGAAGCTCAAGGCTCAGGGCCTTTGTTCACAAAGAGCAAGGTGCCCCTGACCCCTTCTTCCAAATATATTCTTTTGTCTTTATTTCCATGTTCATCCTCCTTTGTTCAGTCCAACAGGGTCCATGGCATAGTGATGTTCAAACAGCGACAGGGCGACACCGTAGTGGTTTCTAAACACAGGGACATGAGAATGTGAACAAAGAAGATCTGGTGGAGCAGAGGAACTGAAATTGACAAGACGAATGGGGACCCCGAGATGAGTCTGCTGGCAGCTGATATAAGGTCAGTGCCCTAAAGAGGTACTGGGAGCAATATAAGGTCAGTGCTCTAAAGAAGTATTGGGAACGGGAAGTTTTCTAAATCAGGGTAACGTGAGGCAGAATTTGTCTATTGAAGAAAAACATTATGAGCAGTTGCTTAAAGTTTTGTTGAAATAATCTGGTGCTCAGGTTAGATCTCAGACATTAACTACAATGCTGCAGGAGGTTATTATGTATAACCCATGGTTCCCACAGACAGGCACTCTTGATATGGAAAATTGGGACAGAGCAGAAGGATTAAAATGGGCTCAGTAAAAAGGTCTCAAAGTTGATCCTTCTGTTTTCTCCACTTGGAGTTTAGTCTATACTGTCCTTCTGCCATTATCTCCTTCTTCTGCTGGACAGCAGGAGTGATGTTCTGAGTCTAAAAATCTGAAAAAATCTGTTGTCCCACCCACAGCTCCAATTGAAAATAAAAAACAGGAGAAGGAGGATAAAAATTGGCCTATACCGCCTCCTCCAATAGCAGAAACATCTGTACCGCCTCCTTCGGTAGCAAAAATAGAGACCCCAATACAGAGAATTTTACACCGTGCTGCCATAGCTGGAGAGCCCTTAGGACCTTGCACTTTTCCTATTTCTGTAAGGCCTGATCCAAATAATCCATAGCAGCTTATTCATGAACACACTCCACTAGAGTTTAAGTTGTTGAAGGAATTAAAAGGAGTGTGGTAAATAATGGTGTACACAGCCTGTTCACTTTAGGATGGCTAGTATCTGTATTTGGTGCTGTGCGCCTTCTACCCTTCGATGTAAAGAATTTGGCTTACACTTGTTTGTCTCCTAGTGCATACCTGACATGGAATTTAAATTGGCAAGAAATGTGTGCAGACCAGGCTAGACAGAATTGTGTGGCTGGACACAGAGACATTACAGAGGACATGCTCTTAGGTAATGGCCCTTATTCAGACCTGGAACATCAAATGGCACTCCCAAATGCCAGCAGTGTGCACAGGCTGCCAAATGCAACTGGGCCACAATTCCAGAAGAGGGAGTCCCAGTGCAATCCTTTTTACATATCATGCAAGGGTCGCAAGAACCTTATGCACAATTTCTTGCATGACTATAAAAGGCAATGAAGCATCAGATTTATCACACCACTGCTGCAGAGATGCTAACCTTAACTCTAGCTTTTGAGAATGCAAATGCAGATTGTAAATGTGCATCGGCACCTGTGAGGTGTACAAAAAACTTGGGAAATTTTCTCAGAGCTTGTCAAGATGTGGGAAATGAGCTTCATCGCTCTACAATATTAGTGCAGGCAATGGCTAATTTAGCAGTTGACAAATCTAAAAGGAACCAAGGGTCAAACCCTAAAATGGGAAAATGTTATAACTGTGGAAAAACTGTACTTTTTTTTTTTTTTTTGAGATGGAGTCTCGCTCTGTCGTCCAGGCTGGAGTGCAGTGGTGCAACCTCGGCTCACTGCAAGCTCCTCCTCCCAGGTTCATGCCATTCTCCTGCCTCAGCCTCCCAAGTAGCTGGGACTACAGGCGCCCGCCACTACGCCCAGCTAATTTTTTGTATTTGTTTAAGAGATGGGGTTTCACCATGTTAGCCAGGATGGTCTCGATCTCCTGACCTTGTAATCCGCCCACCTTGGCCTCCCAAAGTGCTTGGATTACAGGCATGAGCCACCATGCCCAGCCAAAACTGGACATTTTAAAAAGGAATTCCACCAGATCTCAGGACAGAAAGGACATTACGATGCAGTGCCCCACCCAGCGGAAAAAAACACCAGGACTTTGTCCTCACTGTAACAAAGGAAATCACTAGGCTAATCAGTGCCGCTCAAAATTTCATCAAAACAACATCCCCGTGTCGGGAAACTAGAAGGGGGCCTGGATCCGGGCCCCTCAAACAATGAGGGCATTTCCAGTTCAGACCACAGTCCCACTTCAGGGATGGGTCTCAGGAAAAACATTGATTCCTGGTGTTCCTCACCTCAGGAACACCAGGAAGTGCAGGATTAGATATCCCCACCAGAGAAAGAACTACATTAGTTGGAGGAGACAAACCTACAAGGTTCCCACTGGCATTTGGGGACTTTTACCAACAGGATACATAGGACTAATTTTAGGCAAAAGCCCCCTTAACTTGCAAGGCATGACTGTAGTCCCTGGAATAGTTGATTCCATTTATGAAGGAGAAATTCAAGTAGTTTTAATGTCAAAAATCTTTGCATTTTTGAACTGGGAGAATATATTGCTCAGTCGTTGCTTATTCCCTGCAAATTAAATCCTTATCCTTCTCCACGAAAGGAGAAACGAGGAAATAAAGGGTTTGGGAGCACAACTACAAGGGAAATCTATCTATCCCATCCCATAGCCCATAGGACTTATGGATAGAGGAGCTGAAGTGTCAGTAATATCCAGTAAGGACTGACCCCCAGTATGGTCTCTCAGACTAACCTCCACATCCCTAGTGGGAGGAGGAGCAGCTAAAAGTGTTCAACAGAGTGCTGACATTTTACCTTGTCTTGGTCCGGATGGACAGCCATGTACTTTTCAGCCTTATGTTGCAAATATGGCAATCAATTTATGGGATCGAGACTTACTTACAGAATGGAATATGAGACTTACAAATGAAAACTTTGATAACCCAGGATTTAAAATGTTGAAGGACATGGGATATCAGAGTGGGAAAGGTTTAGGGAAATTCCTACAAGGAAAACCTAACCCAATATCAATAACTGGAAAAAACAGATAGAAGAGGGCTAGGACGTCAGGATTTCTGATGGAGGTCATTGATATTTCTCCTCCACCCTCTGCCTTACCATTAGAATGGCCAGTGACAAACCCGTATGGGTGGATCAATGGCCCCTATCTCAGGAGAAGCTGACACAACTTCAGCAGCTAGTATAAGAACAACTGGACACAGGACATATAGAGGAGTCAGTTAGCCCCCAGAATTCACCAGTGTTTGTTATTCCAAAAAAGTCTGGAAGGTGGTGACTGCTGCATGTTTGGAGTTAATGCACAAATTGAACCAATGGGTCCATTACAGCAAGGTTTGCCAACTCCAGTGGTCATTCCTAGAGATTGGCTTCTTGTAGTAATACATCTTAAGGATTGTTTCTTCACTATACCATTACAGGAGAAGGATAAGCCTCGATTTGCCTTCTCTGTGCCTTCTATTAATCAAAAAGAACCTGTTTCTTGCTATCAATGGAGAGTTTTACCCCAAGGCATGCTTAACAGTCCTACGTTATGTCAGCATTTTGTAGGACAGGCATTAAAGGAGCCTCGAAATATGTTTCCTACTGCTTACATCATTCATTTTATGGATGACATTCTTTTGGCCGCTCCTATAGATCAAATCTTACATCGCTTATTCCAAGAAACAAAGTAGGCTTTAACTAAATGGAATGTCAAAATAGCTCCAGAAAAGGTAGAAACAACTTTGCCATACCATTACTTAGACAATATTGTTACTGAAAGAAGTGTACGGCCTCAAAAGTAGTTCTCCATAAAGACAGGTTACAGACTTTAGGCCGGCCGCGGTGGCTCACGCCTGTAATCCCAGCACTTTCGGAGGCCGAGGCAGGCAGACCACAAGGTCAGGAGATTGAGACCATCCTGGCGAACACAGTGAAACCCTGTTTCTACTAAAAATACAAAAAAATTAGCCGGGAGTTGTGGCGGGCGCCTGTAGTCCCAGCTACCCAGGAGGCTGAGGCAGGAGAATGGCATGAACCTGGGGGGCTGAGCTTGCAGTGAGCAGAGATCGCGCCACTGCACTCCAGCCTGGGCGACAGAACGAGTCTCCATCTCAAAACAAACAAACAAACAAACAAACAAAAAAAAGACAAATGAGTGCCTATGTGGTAGCATGTGAATTAATGCAGAACTTTATAAGCATAGTTGTATTCTGAAGTCCATTCTGAATCTTAGATGTTATATTTATATTAATAAAAAGCATAGTCATTATCTAAATGTATAATAATATGTTTAATATTACATAGTTACATCAACTGATGTAATTCATAGTTTTCCCTAGTGTTCTCTTTCCTGAATATTCTGAAATGTATTAGTTAGCAAAGTCGTCTTTTATCTTCCCTTATGATAAAACAAGAGAAACATAATATAAAGTGCTATAGCCTCAATCAAATGAGGAAATCATAATGGGAACCAAGAATGAGGGATTGAACACTCTTCACATAAAATATTCATTATTTTAAAACATAATGTGGCCAGGCACGATGGCTCACGCCTGTAACCCCAGCAGTTTGGGAGGCCGAGGCAGGAAGAACATGAGGTCAGGAGATCGAGACCATCTTGGCTAACACAGTGAAACCCATCTCCACTAAAAATACAAAAAATTAACCAAGCATGGTGGCAAGTGCCTGTAGTCAGAGTTACTTGGGAGGTTGAGGCAGGAGAATCTTTGAACCGAGGAGGCAGATGTTGCAGTGAGCTGAGATCGCTCCACTGCACTCCAGCCTGGGCAACAGAGACAGACTCCGTCTCAAAAAAAAAAGAGTTGTTCTATGAACAGCTAACTTTCACAGTCTTCGATCGATCTCTCAGACCCATGAATACTTGGATTGCACAGTTGACCTTATCACATTGTTAGGGTAAGTGCCATACAAAGGCACCTTCAGACCCTCCATTGCACATAGGTGGCCCCTGTTAGCCCCTTGCCTGTGTGTGTTCTGGAGGGGCCACTAAACCTGGGGGCAGCATCAGGAGACACACTTGAAAAAGATATTCTTACTCAGATTAAATTATTAACAAACTTTCAATTTCCTTTAACTTATTAAAGACATCCCTACCTGTAAACAGGTACGGATTAAGCTCTCTAGTCAATAGCTGTCATTCTGTCATATTATCAGATACCCGGGGCTGCTGCTCCTTCAGGCGTCCACAGAATCACAGCATTTTCCAGTATCGAAAGACCTGAAAGATCACAGTGCCTTCATTTCAACTGTGAGACACGAAATAATTTTCCCAAATCTACAACATTAAGATATGGTGCAATAAGGACCAGTTTAAATGTCTCCGGATTTACAACCATGTTCCTTCCATCTCCTTTACTCCTAAACACACTCACACACTCACTTCTGCAAACAGTTGTCTTGTCAAGTGGGAAATGAATGCTCTTACAAGGCTCAAACTTACGAACACATCACTGACCAGCACAGAGCTGGCTCACAATCGGACCCAATTAAAGTGTTTTACATGCAACTGGATCAAATCTTTCAAGCACTAATTTAAAAACAATCCTTTAAAGAAGGAAATTCTGTTTCAGAAGAGGACCTTCATACAGCATCTCTGACCAGCAACTGATGATGCTATTGAACTCAGATGCTGATTGGTTCTCCAACACGAGATTACCCGACCCAGGAGCAAGAAAGTCAGTAACTTCCAACCCCATAATTTGGAATGTGGGTGGAGGGGTTCATAGTTCTTCCTGAGTAAGACTTGCCTCCTCCTCTGGCCCCTGGTCCTTTCCTGTTCTCCAGCATGGTGTGTCTGAAGCTCCCTGAAGGCTCCTGCATGGCAGCGCTGACAGTGACACTGATGGTGCTGAGCTTCCCACTGGCTTTGGCTGGGGACACCCGACATAAGCGCACATTGTGGGTGCTGAGCTACTATGGGGTGGGGAAAATAGAGAGTTTTGTTAACATTGTGCCCAGGCCATGTCCCTTAAGACTTTGTGACGTTTTGGTCAGAGATTGTGCATCTGTATTATTGGATCCCAAATTATCTCCTCCACGAAAGGAGCTTGACTACTTGCTCATGACACAGTCCATAAGACTGTGTAAGGGGCCTTCGTACAGATCATTTCTTTTTAAATCTCCACCAATAAAACCTTTGCATCACATGTCCTCAGGGTGTTTAGAGGATTTGGCAATAAGGATGCTAAAATAATTTCCCCATACAGCACTTCCCTTTATTATGTTGACTTACGTCAGACAAAATGACGTTTTTACTGAAAATTTTGTGGGAGTCAAGATAATTCAAAGGGTCTCTTCTAGAGGATCCTGGGTTATGTCCTCCACAGGAACTTTGGTGTTGGCCCCTCTTCCTCAAATGTGAGGATGTACCAATGGCCTCCCCATTATCTCCTTTCTTTTTCTTTCTGAACTCCAATGTTTATAAAGCCTATATCCCTGTAGTGTATGTAGGTTCTCTGACAGAAGTTATACTTAGTGCTCTGTCTTTCTTATGGGGAAAAATCCCTGGAACTGAAGCTAAGATCTTTAGTACTTGGAGTCACCCTACAGATAAAGAGCATCTCTGGGGTGTTCTTTGGTGCCTAAAGAACTTAAGGCATCCTCGGAAAACCTGGCCCGGCTTAGTGTTTATTATGAATCTCTTCTAACCTTTCTATAGAAATTTCTCCTACATGTCCTACATGCTCTAACTAGACATAACAAGAAGATATTCAACTAACGTAAGATAAATTATATGAAATTCTATTTTTGTAAGTCAAAAACAGTCAAATATCAGAAATTTAATAATGTTCAAACTATATACTGTGTGAGGTTACAGAGACAATGCGGACATTGTTCACATCTCATAGGGCTGAAAGTCAATGAGCAAGTCCTGGGAACTCATTGTCTTACTGGGGTCTTGTCTTAAATTTCCTAGGTTCACCCGTCATGCCCTCAGCTTTCCTTAATTAGCCATGTCTGCTTACCTCTTCCTCCAGTTTTTATTTTTCCCCAGCTATGTTGTCATCATTTCCAGAAATTCCTAAAGCTTGCACAGACCCAGAGCACTATGAGATCCATTGAAAGAGATTTTTTCCTTTTTTTGAGACAAGGCCTGGCTCTGTCACCCATGCTGTAGTTCAGTGTTATGATCTAGGCTTACTGCAACCTCTGCCTCCCAGGCTCAAGCGAGCCTCCCTCCTCAGCCTCCAGAGTAGTGGAGACTACAGGCAGGAAACCATGCCCAGCTGATTTTTGTAATTTTGCTAGAGATGAGATTTTGCTATGTTACCCAGGCTGGTCTTAAACTGCTGGACTCAAGCAATCCTCCAGCCTTGACCTCCCAACATGCTAGGGTTATAGGTTTGAGCCACCGCACCCAGGCAAAAAATAGATGAATCTTAATTTAAAAATTTATTATTTCTTAAATCACTGTTAATCTTTATCTGTGAATTCTTACAACTAGAAGGAGGAGAAAGAAGAACTTTGCCTGTATTTCACACCGGGAGGAGAAGGGGTCTAGTGTGACATCAAAATGAAAGAGTGCTGGAGTTTGAGCCCCTTCTTGCTTTCCAGGATCCAAACAGTGATCAGTTCCCAGATCCCTGGTTTATTCTTGTAAACCACACTTATTTTTCTCAGCAGCTACTGTGTACTCGGCTCCATTCCAAGTTCAAATCATTGTATTTGATTAAGATAGAGAGGGTCCCGACGCTCATGGAAGTTACACAACAATAGAGGAGACAGACATTAACCCAATATGCAATTAACAAAGAAGATAACGTTAGAGAGTAATAGTGCACTGAAGAAAAGACATCAGGTTTGTGGAAAAGAGAGAAATGGATTCACCCAACTTTAGCTCATGTGTTTAGAAAGCTCTGCCTGAGAAAGTGACATTCAGCTGAGACAACAAAATAAGTAGAGAGCCATGTGAAGATCTAAGGGACGAAAGTTCCAGGGAGACAGAATGTGGGGGCAGGGGGGGCGGGAAGCCCTGGGGTGGGAAATTACGTGCAGGGACAGAAAGAAGGCTAGAGACACTGAACTATAGCATTCAAGGAAATGCAGAGGCAGAGGGTGAGGTAGGAAGCAGAGAGGAAGTCAGGAGCCTCATTATATTAGGCTCTGATGTCCATGGTAAGAAATTTGAATTTTATTTTATTTATTTTCATTTTTTTATTTCATTATTTATTTTTTGAGATGGAGTTTCGTTCTTGTTGCCCAGGCTGGATGCAATGGAGTGGCCTCGGCTCACTACAACCTCTGCCTCCTGGGCTCACGTGATTTTCCTGCCTCAGCCTCCCGAGTAGCTGGGACTACAGGCGCCTGCCACCATGCCAGGCTAATTTTTTAGTATTTTTAGTAGAGACAGGGTTTTACCATGTTGGCCACGCTGGTCTCGAACTCCTGACCTCCGGTAATCTGCCTGCCTTGGCTTCCCAAACTGCTGGGATTACAATCATTAGTCTCCGTACCCAGCCTGAATTTTATTTAAATAGATGTGAGACACTACTGGATGGTTACAAGGAGAGTCAATTCATGTTCAGTTTTAGAAACTAATTCTGGCTTTAAAGTAGAGGGAAATTTATAGCACTAAATGCCCACAAGAGAAAGCAGGAAAGATCTAAAACTGACAACCTAACATCAAAATTAAAATAACTAGAGAAGCAAGAGCGATCACATTCAAAAGCTAGCAGAAGGCAAGAAATAACTAAGATCAGAGCAGAACTGAAGGAAATAGAGACACAAAAAACCCTTCAAAAAAGTCAATGAATCCAGGAGCTTGTTTTTTGAAAAGATCAACAAAACTGATAGACCGCTAATAAGACTAATAAAGAAGAAAAGAGAGAAGAATCAAATAGATGCAATAAAAAATGATAAAGGGGTATCACCACCGATCCCACAGAAATACAAACTACCATCAGAGAATACTATAAACACCTCTACACAAATAAACTTGAAAATCTAGAAGAAATGGATAAATTCCTCGACACATACACTCTCCCAAGACTAAACCAGGAAGAAGTTGAATCTCTGAATAGACCAATAACAGGCTCTGAAATTGAGGCAATAATTAATAGCTTACCAACCAAAAAAGTCCAGGACCAGACAGATTCACAGCCGAATTCTATCAGAGGTACAAGGAGGAGCTGGTACCATTCCTTCTGAAACTATTCCAATCAATAGAAAAAGAGGGAATCCTCCCTAACTCATTTTATGAGGCCAGCATCATCCTGATACCAAAGCCGGGCAGAGACACAACGAAAAAAAAGAGAATTTTAGACCAATATCCCTGATGAACATCGATGCAAAGATCCTCAATAAAATACTGGCAAACCGAATCCACCAGCACATCAAAAAGCTTATCCACCATGATCAAGTGGGCTTCATCCCTGGGATGCAAGGCTGGTTCAACAAATGCTAATCAATAAAGGTAATCCAGCACATAAACAGAACCAACGACAAAAACCACATGATTATCTCAATAGATGAAGAAAAGGCCTTTGACAAAATTCAACAACCCTTCATGCTAAAAACTCTCAATAAATTAGGTATTGATGGGATGTATCTCAAAATAATAAGAGCTATTTATGACAAACCCACAGCCAATATCATACTGAATGGGCAAAAACTGAAAGCATTCCCTTTGAAAACGGGCACAAGACAAAGATGCCCTCTCTCACCACTCCTATTCAACATAGTGTTGGAAGTTCTAGCCAGGGCAATCAGGCAGGAGAAGGAAATAAAGGGTATTCAATTAGGAAAAGAGGAAGTCAAATTGTCCCTGTTTGCAGATGACATGATTGTATATCTAGAAAACCCCATCGTCTCAGCCCAAAATCTCCTTAAGCTGATAAGCAACTTCAGCAAAGTCTCAGGATAAAAAATCAATGTGCAAAAATCACAAGCATTCTTATACACCAATAACAGACAGAGAGCCAAATCTTGAGTGAACTCCCATTCACAATTGCTTCAAAGAGAATAAAATATCTAAGAATCCAACTTACAAGGGATGTGAAGGATCTCTTCAAGGAGAACTACAAACTGCTGCTCAACGAAATAAAAGAGGACACAAACAAATGGAAGAATATTCCATGCTCATGGGTAGGAAGAATCAATATCATGAAAATGGCCATACTGCCCAAGGTAATTTATAGATTCAATGCCATCCCCATCAAGCTACCAATGACTTTCTTCACAGAATTGGAAAAAACTACTTTAAAGTTCATATGGAACCAAAAAAGAGCCCTCATTGCCAAGTCAATCCTAAGCCAAAAGAACAAAGCTGGAGGCATCATGCTACCTGACTTCAAACTATACTACAAGGCTACAGTAACCAAAACAGAGATAGAGATCAAGGGAACAGAACAGAGCCCTCAGAAATAATGCCACATATGTACAACCATCTGATCTTTGACAAACCTTACAAAAACAAGAAATGGGGAAAGGATTCCCTATTTAATAAATGGTGCTGGGAAAACTGGCTAGCCATATGTAGAAAGCTGAAACTGGATCCCTTCCTTACACCTTATACAAAAGTTAATTCAAGATGGATTAAAGACTTACATGTTAGACCTAAAACCATAAAAACCCTAGAAGAAAACCTAGGCAATACCATTCAGGACATAGGCATGGGCAAGGACTTCATGTCTAAAACACCAAAAGCAATGGCAACAAAAGCCAAAATGGACAAATGGGATCTAATTAAACTAAAGAGCTTCTGCACAGCAAAACAAACTACCATCAGAGTGAACAGGCAACCTACAGAATGGGAGAAAATGTTTGCAATCTACTCATCTGACAAAGGGCTAATATCCAGAAACTACAAAAAACACAAACAAATGTACAAGAAAAAAACAAACAACCCAAGCAACATGTGGGTGAAGGATATGAACAGACACTTCTCAAAAGAAGACATTTATGCAGCCAAAAGACACATGAAAAAATGCTCATCAACACTGGCCATCAGAGAAATGCAAATCAAAACCACAATGAGATACCATCTCACACCTGTTAGAATGGAGATCATTAAAAAGTCAGGAAACAACAGGTGCTGGAGAGGATGTGGAGAAATAGGAACACTTTTACACTGTTGGTGGGGCTGTAAACTAGTTCAACCATTGTGGAAATCAGTGTGGCGATTCCTCAATGATCTAGAACTAGAAATACCATTTGACCCAGCAATCCCATTACTGGATATATACCCAAAAGATTATAAATCATGCTGCTATAAAGACACATGCACATGTATGTTTATTGTGGCACTATTCACAATAGCAAAGACTTGGAACCAACCCAAATGTCCAACAATGATAGACTGGATTAAGAAAATGTGGCACATATACACCATGGAATACTATGCAGCCATAAAAAAGGATAAGTTCATGTCCTTTGCAGGGGCATGGATGAAGCTGGAAACCATCATTCTCAACAAACTATTGCAAGGACAAAAAACCAAACACCGCATGTTCTCACTCATAGGTGGGAATTGAACAATGAGAACACATGGACACAGGAAGGGGAACTTCACACATGGGGCCCGTTGTGGGGTGGAGGAAGGGGGGAGGGATAGCATTAGGAGATATACCTAATGTAAATGAAGAGTTAATGGGTGCAGCACACCACGTGGCACATGTATACATATGTAACAAACCTGCACATTGTGCACATGTACCCTAGAACTTAAACTATTAAAAAAAAAACCGATAATTCTTTTTTTTTTTTTTTTGAGATGGAGTCTCACTCTGTTGCCCAGGCTGGAGTGCAATGGTGCAGTCTCAGCTCACTGCAACCTCCACCTCCCAGGTAATTTTTGTATTTTTAGTAGAGACGGGGTTTCACCATGTTGGCCAGGCTGTTCTCAAACTCCTTACCTCATGATCCGCCTGCCTCAGCCTCCCAAAGTGCTAGGATTACAGGCGTGAGCCACTGCGCCCGGCAGAAAAGAGGTAATTCTTAATGAAAATTTTTTTCTTTCTTACAATCACTGTTTCCTTATCTGTGAATCCTTCTTCCAACTAGAAAGAGGAGAGAAAGGAAGTTTGCCTTAATTTCTCACAGGGAGGAGAAGGGATATAGCATGTCATTAGAATGAAAGGGTGCAGGAGCTTGAGCCCTTTTCTGCTTTCTAGAATACCCAGAGTGATCAGTTCCCAGAACTTCGGTTTATTCATTTAGACCACAGGTATGTTTCTGAGCAAAAGTTTTGTTCTGGTCTCTGTTCTAGGCTGAGAGATTTCTACTTGAATAGGATAAAAAAGATCCCTACTCTCATGGAACTCAATACCAGAGGAGACAGACAATATCCCAATAAATATTTAACAAAAAAGAAAAATTCAGAGAGCAATAATGCCTTTAAAAAAAGACATCAGGGTGATAGGACAGAGAGAATTGGATTCACCCAACTTCACATTGGATTCACAGGTAGTTTGGGAGCCCTCCCTGAGGAGAGCTCACATTTAGCTGAGACAAGAACAATAAGACAGCCATGTGAAGATCTAAGGGACAAGTGTTCCAGACAGACAGAAAAGGGGAAAGGCCAAGGAATGGGAAGGCGTGTGCTGTGTTGAAGAGACAGAAAGAAGGTTAGAGGGGCTGAAGGATGGAAAGCAAGGGGTGGAGTGGCAGAAGATGAGGTAAGAGAGAGAGAAAGTCAGGAGCTGCATCATATTCGGCCTTGGTGGCCATAGTAAGGAATTAAGTTTTATTTAAACATATTTGAAGCTCCTGGAAGGTTACAAGGAGAGTCCATTAATATTATGTTGCGGGAAGTCAGGGACCCCAAACAGAGGGACCGGCTGAAGCCAGAACAGAAGAATGTGGATTGTGAAGATTTTATGTACATTTATTAGTTCCCCAAATTAATACTTTTGTAATTTCTTATGCCTGTCTTTACTGCAATCTCTAAACATAAATTGTAAAGATTTCATGAACACTTATCACTTTCCCAGTCAATACCCTTGTGATTTCCTATGCCTGCCTTTACTTTAATCTCTTAATCCTATCAGCCGAGGAGGATGTACGTCGCCTCAGGACTATGTGATAATTGCATTAACTGCACAAATTGTATAGTATGTGTGTTTGAGCAATATGAAATGTGGGCACCTTGAAAAAAGAACAGGATAACAGCAATTGTTCAGGGAATAAGAGAGATAACCTTAAACTCTGACTGCTGGTGAGCCAGGCAGAACAGAGCCATATTTCTCTTCTTTCAAAAGCAAATGGGAGAAATATTGCTGAATTCTTTTTCTCAGCATGGAATGTCCCTGAGAAAGAGAATGCACACCTAGGGGTAGGTCTCTGAACTGGCCCCCCCGGGGCGTACCTATCTCTTATGGTTGAGATTGCAGAGGTGAGATAGATTCCAGTCTCCCATAGCGCTCCCAGGCTTATTAGGAAGAGGAAATTCCCACCTAATAAATTTTGGTCAGATCGGTTGATCTCAAAACCATGTCTCCTGATAAGATGTTATTGATGACAATGGTGCCTGAAACTTCATTAGCAATTTTAATTTCGCCTCGGTCCTGTGGTCCTGTGATCTCGCCCTGCCTCCACTTACCTTGTGATATTCTATTACCCTGTTAAGTACTTGATGTCTGTCACCCACACCTATTCGCACACTCCCTCCCCTTTTGAAAATCCCTAATAAAAACTTGCTGGTTTTTGTGGCTTGTGGGGCACCGTGGATCCTACCAACGTGTGATGTCTCCCCCAGCTTTAAAATTTCTCTCTTTTGTACTCTGTCCCTTTATTTCTCAAGCCGGCCGATGCTTAGGAAAATAGAAAAGAACCTACGTGATTATCGGGGCAGGTCCCCCGATAATATTCAATTTTAAAAATAATTCTAGCTACTATGTGGAGATTGGATTGTTGGGGTTCACAAGTGGACAACAGCAGAATTCTCCAGGGAAGAAAAATTTTTGGCTTCATGTAGTGTAGTAGTGACAAAGACAGATCCAGATAAAGTGAACAGACTTGGGATGTCTTTTTGCATGACTTGTTAATGGATTAAACGTAACTTATTTCTAAGTATTTTGCCTTGATAAATAGGTGGATGGTGGTGCTGCTTATTGAAATAGGGAAGAATAATGGGAGGAAATGATTTGAAGTGGGTGATTAGAAATGACAATTGTGTTTATTAAAATTGAGATGATTTTTGAACTCACATGAAGCAATCAGGAAGTCAACTGAATATAAGAGAGGAGTTCAGGGTGAGGCCAGGGCTGGAGGTATTTATGTTGGGGTCAATGCAGGTTCTGTGTTAAATTCCAGGGAAGTGGAAGAGGTTGCAGAGGGAGATAGATTTTTGTGTAGAAAAAATATCAGAGGGCCACAGGACAGCATAAGGGACTGAGAAGATTCCCCAGAGATGCTGGAGAAAAAAAACCCAAGGAATGTGATGCATGGGAATCAAAGAAAAATGATTTTTTCGAGGCGAGGGAGTGGCCAGTTGTGGTGAGAACCACTGACAGGTGAGTGAAGTAAGAACGTGACAGAGACGCAAGTACTGGGTTTGGAGGAGTTGATATTTGCAGTCAGTGGAGTATCCAGGATGGAAAGTGGATTGGACCATTTGAAGAGCGGGTGGAAGAAGTGAGGGCTGGATGAAGTTTGACTCTTTTGAGTAGCGAGCCTCAGGGAAAGACTATGCTCTGGGATCAGGGAGCCAGCTGGATCTAAAGAAAATGAACAAAGAAGCTGGATGACCTGTGAACCAGAGACAGATGCTCAGTCATTGGCAATGAAGCACTAGAAGGCCCCTGTGTACAGTGGTGACAGGTTATGCAAAAGGCTATTAGTTCATACAGCCAATATTTATTAGTGACTTAGAATATACTAGTTATTACCTTGGGTGATGAGAATGGAGTAATAAACAAAGCAAATCTGGTCTGTATTAGCGCGGAGTATTGTAATATTTTGCAGTGACTAATTACCAGGCTTATAAATTTTGGTATGGAAATCTAATACCTATCCTATCATATCTTTGGTATTTAAAAGCATATAGATCTTTGGAATCTAAAATTCAAAGGGTATAATGAACTTACCCACTGTCACAAAGTTAGTGCTAGAAATCCGATTGCAATTTAAATCTGAGTATATATGAAGTCCCTCTCTTCGATATCAGCAATCTCCTTTTGTGTGAGGTTTAGGCATATGAATTATTATATATAAACCAGTGTTTCTGTCCTCATGTGCTTAAAATGGTAATTAGTGATAAATTAATAAAAGACAATTGCCAAATCATGATGTAGACGTTACTTGCTTTAGAAGTTAAGGAATAGAAAAATAATGAAGCTTTCCTTTATAGGGATTGTAAAAATAAAATGGTAATATATTAGAGTGATTATTATATTATCAGCACTAAGAAGAGCCACTGCTTAGTTTTACCCTCAACAATAATCCTGTGAGGAATATATTACTGTTGGATCCATTTTATATATTTTTTTAAAGGTTAATGGTTGTTAAAATTAACCCTAGTAGAAGGGGTCATGTTTAAATTCAGATTTCCTGATTCTAGAGCCTGAGCTTACAACCACCATTGGTGAATAGTGACTAGACTGAGTCTGAATTATTGATAGAATTTCTTATGTACAGGGTGTGTCTCAGGGTGGGAGAGAGATGCAAGGTCTGCTAGTCCCAATGTAAAGGAGAAACTTTCATTCATTTTGCATTTATCATTTGAAAACTTCCCTATGTGCACGCTGTCATAGGCATGTGTTAAAGAACACAAAGAAGTATTAAATTCACTCCTTCTGAGCATTATTAGCAAGTTGGGCTAAGGTTGCCAAATAAAGTACAGGATACCCAGTTAAATCCGAACTTCAGATAAACAACAATAATGTATTTGAAATCCAAATTTAACTAGGCACCCTCTATTTTTATTTGCTAAATATGGCAATCTAAGCTTGGCACATGAGCATAGACTGCAGTGCTAACCATGCAAGCTACAGTGACGGCAATTTCACATATTTTTATTTTTCAACATTCTTATCTGTGAAGAAGGTGCTCAGAGAATTTAGGAATAATAAGATAGACCTTATCTCATCCAAAGTGCTCTCCTCTCTGCTATCATTTCTGAAGGGTGAAGGGAGCTTGTGAAAGTCTCTACGCAAAATCTGGGGACTTGCTCGTTTTTTGGAAACTATCTATGAGAGAATGCCATCTTCTTAGTTTCTCCCTGTATTAGTCTGTTTTCAGGCTGCGGATAAAGACATACCCAAGACTGGATAATTTATAAGGAAAAAGGGCTATAATAGACTCACAGTTCCATGTGGCTGGGGAGATCTCACAATCACAGCGGAAGGTGAAAGGCATGTCTCACATGATGGCAGGCAAGAGAAGAATGACAGCAAGCGAAAGGGTTTTTCCCTTTATAAAACCATCAGATCTCATAAGACTTATTCACTGTCATGAGAACAGCATGGGGAAAGACCTGCCCCCATGACTCAACTATCTCCCACCTGGTCCCTCCCACAACACGTGGGAATTGTGGGAGCTACAATTCAAGACAAGATTGAAATGCTTACGCAGCCAAACCATAGCACTCCCCTTCTGAGAAGGCTTAACTACAGAAATGAGAGTTCTGCCTCTGTCCAAGGTTGGTAATTTGATGCCTCCTTGTATTGTTGGGAGTAGGAAACTGAAAGTTAGAAAATGAATTAGCTGAGGCAGTGAGTAGTGGACCAGTGACACAGAAATTAAGAATATGACTTGGCGACTGGGAAGGCAAATAAATCAGTAAACCTTGGTTCTGAATGTATTAATTTTGCTAGAAAAATAGCTCTGCACTGGGACCAGATTCCTAAAAATCCTAAGTTTTATGTAGGACCAAGATTTTAAATAGATAGAATATTGGCAGAGTTTTCAGTGTAAATCTCAAATATTCCATAATTAATAGCGGCTTTTTAACCATAGATTTTTCAGATGGTTACACTAGTGGGTCTCACCCAGGGATAGTTCACCACCCCTCTGTCCCTCCCTTCCCTCTCCCAACTCCCTAGGGAACATTTGGCAATGTCTGGAGCCATTTTTGGTTGTCACACCAGGAGTTTCTTCTGACATGTAACAAGTAGAAGCTAGGGACCCTAGTAGACAGCTCCTCTCACCAAGAAAATATTATCTAGTCCAAAATGTCAATAGTGCCAAGGCTGAGAACACTGGTTTACATTGTGTTTCTTCTAAAAATTCTAGACTCACACTTTTAAAACACATTTATCTCTTAGTTCAGCTCTTCATGGCTTAGTTTTGCTTGTTTCATTACCAAAAAAAAAAAAAAAACTAGACAGTTGCATAAATTCACTGCTTTCTTGATGAATCCATTCAGTCAATGCAGGTTCAAGATTTTCATTTTTACTTTTTTGCGTTATGCAGTTTATTTCAAAATTTTGATGTGTTCTTGATAATTACTATCTCTATTAACTTTCAACAACTGGTAATTGTAAGTCATAAATGGTGACGACTATCCCAAATATTTTTCAGTAAAATGCCTCAGATTTCTGCAGTAATTCTACATTTTATACTACTGATAATGTAAGATGCTTTCTATTCACTGTGGTACATATACACCACGGAATACTATGCAGCCATAAAGAGGAATGAGATCACGTCCTTTGCAGAGACATGGATGAAGCTGGAAGCCATTATCCTCAGCAAATTAACACAGAAACAGGAAACCAAACACCGCATGTTCTCACATATAAATGGGAGCTAAACAATGAGAACACATGGACACAGGGAGGAGAACAACACTTACTAGGGTCTGCTGGGGGAGGGCAGAGTTGGGGAGAACATTAGGGAAAAGAGCTAATGCGTGCTGGGCTTAATACCTAGGTAATGCGTTGATAGCTGCAGCAAACCACCATGGCACATGTTTACCTGTGTAACAAACCTGTACATCCTGCACATGTACCCAGAACTTAAAAAAAAAACTATTATTTTAAAAATGCTTTCTATTCATCTCATTTTATTAAACACAAGGATTTTTCTTTATTTTTTATTTTTCATAGTTCATTTAAACATAAATACAAAAACATCAAAAATATATACATGCACAGTATTTGAAATCTGTGTATATTTACACATGCATACGTATGTTTGTATGTTTATATATATTGAAACTACAGATGCACATGTCACCAGTAAGAGCTCTGTGACACTTTTGAGTCCTTACCTCTTCAGATCAGATTTGCCAAATGAGTTTCGGCAACAAATTAAAAACAACAGCAAGTGAATTCGTGAGTTTTCTGGATTTAGAAAGTCCAAAAAAAAAAGTTTGTGGACCTGTGTTGGGGTCATGGACTCTTCAACTGCTTCCCATTACATTTAGTATAAATCGAAATCCTAACATGACAATGATTTTAATTGTTTCCTTCTTGTGATTTCTCCAGTTTAATCTTTTCCCCTCCTTTCCTTCATGCTGTGCTTTAGTGAACTTTTTTCTGGTTTCTTGAAGAAGTTCATCAATTCTTTCAAGCTTTTGTACATGATATTATGCTTACCTGAAATGTGCCTCCCTTTTTGTCCAGAGACACACACGGGCTCCACTCTGCCCCCTGGCTCACACCCACTAAACCTGTAAGGTCACATTTGAGCTGTCACTCTCAGAGTCCTTCTCTGGCACCCTAATGTAATTTAGATCATCCTATTCTTTCTTCTAGAACTCCACACTTCTCTTAACATTTTTCGTTCCTGTATAAGGTGTTGCGTGTTTGGTTTTTTGCCATCAATTTCACTTCTCTTTAAGCTCCTCCAGCGGAGGGATGAGGTCTATTTTTCCCGTTTGGATTCCCAGGAGACAGCACAGATGAGACACAAGGTAAGCACTAAGGAAGCATTTACAGAATGGAGGCAGTGGGTCTTGTTTAAGGAATGAGTAGAGTGTGGCATGATAGGAGGGAGCAGAAGTGTCTTTTGGATGGAGGCTCCCAGGAGGAGGAAGCGCAGGAGACAGTGATGAGGAAGGTGATTCTGATCCAGAGCCTTGCAAAGAGGCGTCCAGCTCATCTCGGAAATGGGTAGCAGATCCCAAATGGTATTCCACGCCCCTCGCAGCCTCCCTCCGCCTCAGGCAGATGGAAGAGGAACCCCTAGGTGGTCGGGGGTGGCTGGTGGGGGCCAGTCAAGGTGTTCCGCCCCTCGCCCTGCTGATTGTGGGCATAGCCATCACTCTTTTCCTAGGATGCCGCCCAAGAAACCGGTTCTTCATGTCCCTGCGGCACATTTCTTGGAGCAGATTAAACACGAGTGCTATTTCTGCAATGGGACAGAGCGGATGCGGTTTGTGCAGAGACTCGTCCACACCGGAAGGAGTATGCGCGCTTCCATAGGGACGTCAGAAAGTTCCGGGCGGTGGCGGAGCTGGAGCGGAGAAGAGTCCAGGAATGCAAACAGCCAGAAGAACCTCTTGGGCTGCTTGCGGGGTCTGTTGGACACCTACTGCAGACACAACTACGGGGTTTTTGAGAGCTTCTCCATGCACAGGCGAGGTGAGCAAGGCGGGTGGGGGAGGGGAGTAGGGTCCCTGAGAACAGGGAGTGTGTGTGTATGCACACGTAAGCACCCTGTGGGAGGGTGTAGGATTGTGAGCCAGAAGGAATTAGGAGGGCTCAGGTAGGTGAGTGTAGAGTGGGGATTTGTCTGTGTGTCTGCTGTGGGAGGGAACACAGGAGGGAGCTTCAGCTTGTCCTTCCAGCCTTCTGGGCAGAGATGAGATGAGATGGGGGTGGGAATGGTGGTGCAGGGGGCTGGAGAAGGAGACCTTAATCGCCCTGAATCATTAGAGATGCAGGAAAGGGAAACTTACCTAGTCTGCTGTTGGCATGAAAGTTTAGGGGAGAAGAGATGAGAAATGATAATGTGAGGGATAATGTGAGGAGGCTAGTCACAAACTGTCCTTGGTACACACCCTTTATGATCCCGAAATCTCTGAAATAAAAGTGTATGATATTTGTTTGCATAAGCATTTCACTGAGAAAAAAGTATTCAACTAATTTCTTTCTTTTTTATTTTAAACTTTTATTTTAGTTTTAGGGATACATGTACAGGTTTGCTCTATAGGTAAACTGCATGTCAGGTGTGTTTGATGTACAGATAATTTCATCACCAAGGTAATAAGCATAGTATCTCACAGGTATTTTTCCTGATCCTTTCCCTCCTCCTATCCTTCACCCTCAAGTAGGTCCCCATATCTACTGTTCTCTTCTTTGTATCCATGTGTACTCAATGTTTAGTTCCCACTTATAAGTGAGAACATGTGGTATTTGGTTTTTTGTCCCTATGTTAGTTTGCATAAGATAATGGCCTCCAGCTCCATCCATGTTCCTGCAAAGGACATGATCTTGAGAGGTGACGCTGGCTGGGCTTCTGGGTTGGGCAGGGACTTGGAGAACTTTTCTGTCTAGCTAAAGGATTGTAAAAGCACCAATCAGCACTCTGTGAAAACACACCAATCAGCACTCTGCATCTAGCTAAAGGTTTGTAAACGCACCAATCAGCACTCTGTAGAAATGCCCCAATCAGTGCTCTGTGTCTAGCTAAAAGTTTGCAAACGTGCCAATCAGCACTCTGTAAAATGGACCAATCAGCAGGATGTGGACAGGGCCAAATAAGGGAATAAAAGCTGGCCACCCCAGCCAGCAGCTGCAACCCACTCAGGTCCCCTTCCACACTGTGGAAGCTTTGTCCTTTCACTCTTTGCAATAAATCTTGCTGCTGCTCACTCTTTGGGTCCGCACTACCTTTATGAGCTGTAACACTCACTGCTAAGGTCTGCAGCTTCACTCCTGAAGCCAGCAAGACAACAAACCCACCAGGAGGAACGAACAACTCAGGACGCACCACCTTTAAGAGCTGTAACACTCACTGTGAAAGTCTGCAGCTTCACTCCTGATGTCAGCGAGACCACAAACCCACTGGGAGGAATGAACAACTCCAGATGCACCACCTTTAAGAGCTGTAACACTCACAGCAAAGGTCTGCGGCTTCACTCCTGAAATCAGCAAGACCACGAACCCACCAGAAGGAAGAAACTTGGGATACATTTGAACATCTGAAGGAACAAACTCCGGACACACCATCTTTAAGAACTGTAACACTCACCACGAGGGTTCATGGCTTCATTTTTGAAGTCAGCGAGACCAAGAACCCACCGGAAGGAACCAATTCTGGACAGAATCTCATTCTTTTTATGGCTGCATAGTATTCCATGGTGTATATGTACCACGTTTCCTTTAACCAGTCCACTGTTGATGGGCATCTAGGTTGATTCAATGTCTTTGCTATTGTGAACAGTGCTGCAGTGAACATATGTGTGCATGTGTCTTTATGGTAGAATGGTTTATATCCCTTTAGGTATATACACAGTAATGGGATTGCTGAATCAAATGGTAATTTTCTTTTTAGTTCTTTGCACCCCACTGCTTTCCACAATGGCTGAACTAATTTACATTTCTATTAGCAGTGTATAAGCATTCTCTTTCCTTGCAACCTCACCAGCATCTGTTATTTTTTGACTTTTTAATAGTAGCCATTCACACTGGTATGAGATGGTATCTTATTGTGATTTTGACTTGCATATCTCTAATAATTAGTGCTGTTGAGAATTTTTTCCTATGTTTGTTGGCTGCATGTATGTCTTCTTTTGAAAAGTGTCTGTTCATGTCTGTTCATGCCCATATTTTAATGAGGTTGTTTGGTTTTTTTCTTGTAAATTTGTTTAAGTTCCTTATAGATTCTGGATATTAGACCTTTGTCAGATGCATAGTTTGCAAATATTTTCTGTTGCAGGTGAGCAATAACTATCTGGGCCAGTGGCGCCAGGGTAAAAGAATTTACCAAGACAGTTGTAGGTAGAAAAAAAAAGCAGATTTATTAGAGAAAGTAGGAAAATATGTTGCAAGGAGGCAACAGGCAGGCAGGCCAGCAGAAGAGAAGCTGACTGCACGGAAACAAAGGCTTGCAGGAGATTTTATAGGATGGTTCTTAGGCTGCAGAGTGCTATGTGCAGTAGCAACAATGCCAGGGTTGCAGTGAGCTAGTTTATAGATGTCTGATGATAGTTGGGCACGGGAAGACTGTGAGTTATTTGCACAGGAGGGCTGTGTGTTCTGGACCATGAGGAAAGACAGACTTACAGCTTATTTGTTTTACCTCTTTGCTTTCTTCTGGTCCCACCAGCCTGACTCCTTTTCCCGAATTAGGACTTGACATTTTCTCCATTCTCTAGGTTTTCTATTTACTCTGTCGATAGTTTCTTTTACTGCACAGAAGCTCTTAAGTTAAATTAGGTCCCATTTGTCAATTTTTGTTTTTGTTGTGATTGCTTTTGGTGTCTTTGCCATGAAATCTTTGCCAAGTCCTATGTTCAGAATGGTATATTCTAGGTTACTTTCCAGGGTTTTTATGATTTTAGGTTTTACATTTAAGTCATTAATTCATTTTAAGTTGATTTTTGTATATGGTGTAAGGTAGCAGTCCAGCTTCAGTCTTCTGCATATGGCTAGCCAGTTAGTACAGCACCGTTTATTGAATGAGGAGTCCTTTCCTCATTGCTTGTTTTTGTCATCTTTGTCAAAGATCAGATGGTTGGAGTTGTACAGCATTATTTCTGGACTCTCTATTCTGTTCCATTTGTCTGTGTGTCTGCTTTTGTACCAGTACCATGCTGTTTTGGTTACTGTGGCCTCATAGTATAGTTTGAAGTTGAGCAACATAGTAACTCTTACTTTATTCTTTTGCTTAGGATTGCCTTAGCTATTTAGGCTCTGTTTTGCTTCCATATGAATTTTAAAATAGTTTGTTCTAGTTCTGTGAAGACTGTCAGTGGTAGTTTAATGGGAATAGCATTGAATCTATAAATTACTTTGGGCAGTATGGCCATTTTAATGATATTGAGTCTTCCTATCCATGAGAATGATAATTTTTTCCATTTGTTTGTGTCATCTCTGATTTCTCTGAGCAGTGTTTTGTAGTTCTTCTTGTAGAGATCTTTCATCTCCATAGTTAGCTGTATTCTTAGGTAATATGTGTGTGTGTGGAAATTGTGAGTGGGATTATGTTCTTGATATGGGTCTCAGCTTGAGTGTTCTTTGTGTATAGGAATGCTGCTGATTTTTATATGTTGATTTTTTTTATCCTGAAACTTTGCTGAAGTTGTTTATCAGCTAAAGGAACTTTTGGGCCAAGATTTGGAGATTTAGGGTTTTCTAGACACAGGATCATATCATCTGCAAACAGGGATAGTTTGACTTCCACTCTTCCTCTTTGAATGCCCTTTATTTCTTTCTCTGGCCTGATGTTCTGGTCAGGACTTCCAATACTATCTTGAATAAGAATGGTGAGGGAGGGCCGGGCACAGTGGCTTACACCTGTAATCCCAGTGCTTTAGGAGGCTGAGGTGGGTGGATCACGAGGTGAGGATATCAACACCATCCTGGCTAACATGATGAAACCTGGTCTCTACTAAAAAAAAAAAAAAAAAAAAAAATGCCAGGCGTGGTGGCATGTGCCTGTAGTCCCAGCTACTTGGGAGGCTGAGGCAGGAGAATTGCTTCAACCTGGGAAGCGGAGATTGCAGTGAGCTGAGATCGCGCCACTGCACTACTCCAGCCTGGCAACAGAGCAAGACTCTGTCTCCAAAAAAAAAAAAAAAACAGTGGTGAGAGAGGGCATCCTTGTCTCCTGCTGATTTTCAAGAGTGATGCTTCCAGCTTTTGCCCATTCACTATGTTGTTGGCTGTGGCTTTGTCATTGATGGCTCTTATTATTTTGAAGTATGTTCCTCCAATGCCTAGTTTACTGAGGTTTTTTTTTTTTTTTAAGATGGAGTCTTTCTCTGTTGTCAGGCTGGAGTGCAGTGGCGGGATCTTGGCTCACTGCAACCTCCGCCTTCTGGGTTCAAGCGATTCTCCTGCTTCAGCCTCCTGAGTAGCTGCGACTACAGGCGCATGCCACCATGCCCAGCTAAGTTTTCATTTTTAGTAGAGACAAGGTTTCACCATGTTGGCCAGGATGGTCTCAATCTCCTGACCTTGTGATCTGCCCACCTCAGCCTCCCAAAGTGCTGGGATTACAGGCGTGAACTGAGCATTTTTAACATGAAGTGCTGTTGAATTTTATCAAAAGCCTTTTCCACATCTATTGAGATGATCAGGTGGTTGTTGCCTTTCATTCTGCTTTATGTGATGGATCACATTTGTTGATTTGTATATGTTGAACTAACCTTGCATCTCAGGGGTAAAATCTACTTGATCGTGGTACATTAGCTTTTGATGTGCTGCTTGATTTGGTTTGTTAGTATTTTGTTAAGGATATTTGCATCTATGTTCATCAAGAATATTGGCCTGAAATTTTCTTTTTTTGTTGTTTCTGCCCGGTTTTGGTATCAGGATGATGCTGGCCTCAGAATGAATTGGGGAGTAATCCCTTCTCCTCAATTTTTTTGGAATAATTTTAATAGGAATAGGACCAGGTCTTCTTTATCCATCTGGTAGAATTCAGCTGTGAATCCATCTGGTCCCAGGCTTTTTTTGGTTGGTAGGCTTTTTATTACTGACTCAATTTCAGAACTCATTATTGGTCTGTTTAGGAATTCAGTTTCTTCCTGGTTCAGTCTTGAGAGGGTGTATGTGTCCAGGAATTTATCCATTTCTTAAATATATATTCATTTATATTAGTCCATTATCATGCTGCTAATAAAGGCATACTTGAGATTGGGCAATTTACAAAAGAAGGAGGTTTAATGGACTCGCAGTTCCACATGGCTGGGGAGGCCTCACAATCATGGTGGAAGGTGAAAAGCACATCTCACATGGCAGCAGACAAGAGAAGAGGACTTGGGCAGGGAAACTCCCCTTCATAAAACCATCAAATCTCATGAGACTTATTCACTATCACAAGAATAGTACGGGAAAGACCTACCCCATGATTAAATTACCTCCCACCAGGTCCCTCCCACAACATGTGGGTATTATGGGACCTACAATTCAAGGTGAGATTTGGGTGGGGACAGGGCCAAACCATATCATTCCACCACCGGCCCCTCCCAAATCTCATGCCCTCATATTTCAAACCAATCATGCCTTCTCAAGAGTACCCCAAAGTCTTATTTCTACATTAACTCAAAATCCACAGTCCAAATTCTCATCTGAGACAAGGCAAGTCCCTTCTGCCTATGAGCCTGTAAAATCAAAAGCAAGCTAGTTACTTCTTAGACACAATGAGGGTACAGGCATTGAATAAATGTACCCATTCCAAATGGAAGAAACTGGCCAAAATGAAGGGACTTAAAGGCTCCATGCAACTCTGAAATCCAGCAGAGCACTTAAATCTTAAACTCCAAAAAATGACCTCCTTTGATTCCGTATCTCACATCCAGGTCACACTGATACAAGAGGTGGGTTCCCCTGGTCTTGAGCAGCTCCGCCCCTGTGGCTTTGCAGGATATAGCCTCCCTCCAAGCTGCTTTCATGGGCTGGCATTGAGTGTCTGCAGCTTTTCCAGTGCATGATGCAAGCTGTCAGTGGATCCATCACTCTGGAGTCTGGAGGATGGTGTTCCTCTTTTCAAAACTCCACTAGGCACTGCCCCATTGAGAACTCTGTGTGAGGGTGCCCACTCCACATTTCCCTTCTGCACTGCCCTAGCAGAGGTTCCACATGAGTGCCCTGCCCAGGCAGCAAACTTCTGCCTGGACATCCAGGCATTTCCATACATCCTCTGAAATCTAGGTGGAGGTTCCCAAACCTCAACTCTTGACTTCTGTGTACCTGTAGGCTCAACACCACATGGAAGCTGCCAAGGCTTGGGGCTTGCATCCTCTGAAGCCGTGGCCTGAGCTCTATGTTGGCCCCTTTTAGTCACAGCTGGAGCGGCTGAGACACAGGGCACCAAGTCCAAAGACCGCATACAGCACGGGGACACTGGGCCCAGCCCAAGAAACCACTCTTTCCTCCTAGGCCTCCAGGCCTGTGATGGGCAGGGCTGCCATCAAGACCTCTGACATGGCCAGGCATGGTGGCTCACGCCTGTAATCCCAGCACTTTGGGAGGCCGAGGTGGGTGGATCATGAGGTCAGGAGATCGAGACCATCCTGGCTAACATGGTGAAACCCCGTCTCTACTAAAAATACAAAAAATTAGCCAGGTGTGGTGGCGGATGCCTGTAGTCCCAGCTACTTGGAAGGCTGAGGCAGGAGAATGGCATGAACCCGGCAGGCAGAGCTTGCAGTGAACCGAGATCATGCCACTGCACTCCAGCCTGGGCGACAGAGCGAGACTCTGGAAAAAAAAAAAAAAAACCTCTGATATGCCTTGGAGACATTTTCCCCATTGTCTTAATAATTAACATTCAGCTCCTCGTTACCCATGAAATTTCTGCAGCCGGCTTGAATTTATCCTCAGAAAATTGGATTTTCTTTTCTATTGCATTGTCAGGCTGCAAATTTTCCAAACATTTATGCTCTGCTTCCCTTATAAAACTGAATGGCTTTAACAGCACGCAAGTAACCTCTTGAATGCTTTGCTGCTTAGAAATATCTTCTGCCAGATACCCTAAATCATCTCTCTCAAGTTCAAAGTTCCACAAATCTCTAGGACAGGGGCAAAATGTCACCAGTCTCTTTGCTAAAGCATAATGAGTCACCTTTGCTCCAGTTCCCAACAAGTTCCTCATTTCCATCTGAGACTACCTTAGCCTGGACGTTATTGTCCACATCACCATCAGCAATTTGGGCAAAGGCATTCAACAAGTCTCTAGGAAGTTCCAAAATTTCCCACATTTTCCTATCTTCTTCTGAGCCCTCCAAACTGTTCCAACCTCTGCCTGTTACCCAGTTCCAAAGTCACTTCCACATTTTCAGGTATCTTTTCAGCAGTGCTCCACTCTCCTCTATTAGTCTGTTATGCTGCTGACAAAGATATACCTGAGACTGGGCAATTTACAAAAGAAAGAAATTTAATGGACTGACAGTTCCACATGGCTAGGGATGCCTCACAATCATGATGGAAGGTGAAAATCACATCTCACATGGTGGCAGACAAGACAAGAGAACTTGTGCAGGGAAACTCCTCTTTATAAAACTATCAGATCTCATGAGACTTATTCACTATGATGAGAATAGCATGGGAAAGACCCGCCCCCATGATTCAATTACCTCCCACCAGGTGCCTCCCGTGGCATGTGAGAATTGGGGGAGCTACAATTCAAGGTGAGATTTGAATGGGAACACAGCCAAACCAGATCAGCACCCAACACAGGAACACCCAGATTCATAAAGCAAGTTCTTAGGGACCTTCAAAGAGACTTAGACTCCAACACAATAATACTTGGAGATGTTAACAACTCACTGATAATATTAGACAGATCATCGAGACAAAAAATTAACAAAGATATTCAGGACTTGAACTCAGCACTGAATCAAATGGACCTGATAGACATCTATAGAATTATCCACACCAAAACAACAGTATACACATTCTTCTCATCACCACATGGCATGTACTCTAAAATTGATCACATAATCGGAAGTCAAATACTCCTCAGCAAATGCAAAAGAACTGAAATCATAAAAAACAATCTTTCAGACAACAGTGCAATCAAATTAGAAATTAAGACTAAGAAATTCATTCAAAACCCTACAATTACATGGAAGTTGAACCGCCTGCTCCTGAATGACTTTTGTGTAAATAATGAAATTAAGGAAGAAATTGAGAAGTTCTTTAAAACTGATGAGAACAACGATACAACATACCAGAATCTCTGGGACACAGCTAAGGCAGTGTTAAGTGGGAAATTTATGCATCAAATACCCACATGAAAAAGTTAGAAAGACCTCAATTTAACAACCTAACATCACAACTAAAAGAACTGGTCAACCAGGTACAAACCAATATCAAGGCTAGCAGAAGACAAGAAATAACCAAAATCAGAGCTGAACTAAAGGAGATTGAGACAGAAAAAAAAACAACACTCAAAAGATCAATGAGTCCAGGAATTGGTTTCCTAAAAAAAAATTAATAAAAAAAAAGACCTCTAGTTAGACTAATAAAGAAGAAAAGAGAGAAGATTCAAATAATCACGCTCAGAAATTACAATGGGGATATTACCACTGACCCCACAGAAACACAAATAACCATCAGAGAATATTAAAAACACCTCTATGCACATAAACTAGGAAAACTAGAAGAAATTGATAAATTTCTGGACACGTACACCCTCCCAAGACAGAACCAGGAAGAAATTCAATCCCTGAACAGACTGATAATGATCTCAGAAATTAAATCAGTAATAAGTAGACTACCAAACAAAAAAAACCCCTAGGACTAGAATAATTCACAGCTGAATTCTGCCTGATGTACAAAGAAGAGCTGGTACCATTCCTGTTATAATTATTCCAAAAAATTGAGGAAGAGGGATACCTCTCTAACTCATTCTATGAGGCCAGCATCATCAGGATCAGCACCAAAACCTGGCAGACACACACACAAAAGAAAACTTCAGGCAAATATTATTGATGAAGATTGATGCAAAAATCCTCCACGAAATACTGGCAAACTGAATCCAGCAGTACATTAAAAAGCTAATCTACAATGATCAAGTATGCTTTATCTTGGTGATGCAAGGTTAGTTCAACATATGCAAATCAATAAATTTGATTCATTACATAAGCAGTACTAAAGACAGAAACCACATGATTAGCTCAATAGATGCAGGAATGGTTTTTGATAAAATTCAATATCCCTTCATGTTAAAAACTCTTAATAAACTGAGTAGTAAGTGAACATAACTTAAAATAATAAGAGCCTTCTGTGACAACCCCACAGCTAATACCATACTAAATGGGAAAAAGCTAGAAGCATTCCCCTTGAAAACCAGCGCAAGACAAGGATACCCTCTCTCACTACTCCTATCCAACATAGTATTGGAAGTCTTGGCCAGGGCAACAAGCAAGAAAAAGAATTAAAGGCATCCAAACAGGAAGAGAGGAAATTGAACTATGCCTATTTGCAGATGGCATGATCCTATATCAAGAAAACCCCATAGTCTCAGCCCAAAAGCTCTTTAAGCTAATGAACAACTTCAGCAAAGTCTTGGCATTCAAAATTAATGTGGAAAAATTACTAACATTCCTATACACCACAACAGTCAAGCTGAGAGCCAAATCAGGAACGTAATCCCATTCACGATTGCCACACACACACGAAATACCTAGGAATACAGCTAACTAGGGAGGAGAAAGATCTCTACAAGGAAAACTACAAACCACTGCTCAAAGAACTCAGAGATGACACAAATAAATGGAAAAAAATATCATGTTCATGGAAAAGGAAGAATCAATATTGTCTGGGCGCGGTGGCTCACATCTGTAATCCTAGCACTTCCGGAGGCCAAGGCAGGCAAATCACCTGAGGTCAGGAATTTGAGACCAACCTGGCCAACATGGTGAAACCCCATCTCTAGTAAAAATACAAAAAAATTATCCAGGCGTGATGGTGTGCACCTGTAATCCCAGCTACTAGGGAGGCTGAGGCAGGAGAATCACCTGAACCCAGGAGGCAGAGGTTTCAGTGAGCCGAAATCACGCCATTGCACTCCAGCCTGGGCGACAGAGCCAGACTCTATCGCAAAAAAAAAAAAAAAAAAAAAAAAAAAAAGGAAAAATCAATATGATGAAAGTGGCCATACTCCCACAAAGCAATTAGAGAATAGTTTATCGGTTTCTTTCTTTCTCTTTCTTTCTTTCTTTCCTTCCTTCTTTCTTTTTCTTTCTTCCTTCCTTCCTTCTTTCCTTCCTTCCTTTTTCTTTTTCTTTCTTTCCTTTCCTTCTTTCTTTCCTTTCCTTCTCTCTCTTTCTTTCTTTCTTTTTTCTTTCTCTTTCTCTCTTCCTTTTCTTTCTCCTTCCTTCCTTCTTTCCTTCCTTTCACCCTCCCTCCCTTCCTCCCTTCCCTCCCTCCTTCCCTTCTTCCTTCCTTCTTTTCCTTTCTCTTTCTCTCTTCCTTTTCTTTCTCCTTCCTTCCTTCTTTCCTTCCTTTCACCCTCCCTCCCTTCCTCCCTTCCCTCCCTCCTTCCCTTCTTCCTTCCTTCTTTTCCTTTCTCTTTCTCTCTTCCTTTTCTTTCTCCTTCCTTCCTTCTTTCCTTCCTTTCACCCTCCCTCCCTTCCTCCCTTCCCTCCCTCCTTCCCTTCTTCCTTCCTTCTTTTTCTTTCTCTTTCTCCTCCCTCCCTTCCTTCCTTTCTTCCATCTTTCCTTTCTTCCTTCCTCCCTCCCTCCCTTCTTTTTTCTCCTTCCTTCCTTCCTTCCTTCCTTGCTTCTTCCCTCCCTTCCTTCCTTTTGGAGACAGGATCTTGCTCTGTCAGATAGGCTGAAGTGCAGTGGCTCACTGCAGCCTCAAATTCCTGGGCTCAAGCAATCCTCCCACCTCAGCCTCCCAAGTAGCTGTGACTATAGGGGCATGCCACCTCATCCACCTGACAAAAAACAAAAAACAAAAACAAAACAAAACATTTGGCCGGGCACGGTGGCTCATGCCTGTAATCTCAGCACTTTGGGAGGCCAAGGCAAGCGGATCACGAGGTCATGAGGTCAAGACCATCCTGGCCAACATGGTGAAACCCTGTCTCTACTAAAAATACAAAAATTAATTGGGCGTGGTGGTGTGCACCTGTAGTCTCAGCTACTCGAGAGGCTGAGGCAGAAGAATTGCTTGAACCTGGGAGGCGGAGGTTGCAGTGAGCCGAGATCGCATGACGGCACTCCAGTCTGGCAACAGAGCGAGACTCTGTCTCAAAAAAAAAAAAAAAAAGTGTAGACGCTGGGGCTGGCCTCAAATTCCTGGCCTCAATTTATCCTTCCTCCTTGGCCTCCCAAAGTGCTGGGATTACAGGTATAAGCCATCATCATCATACTTGGCTAAGTTTGGCAGTTTCTTGAAAAACTAAACATATATTTCCATATGCCCATGAATTATATCCCAGACATTTATACCAGAGAAATGAAAACTCATGAACTCATGCTCATAGAAAAACCTTAAACACATGTTCAAAACAGCCTTATTTATAGTGACCCCAAACTAGAAACAGCCAAAATGTCCTTCAATAGGCAAATAGTTAAGCAAACTGTGCTGCATTTAGACCATGGAATACTACTTAGCAATAAAAAAAAAAAAAAGATTGTTGATATATGCAGCAGCTTGGATGGATCTCATGGGTATTATGCTAAGTGAAAAACACCAGTCACATACTGCATGATTCCATTTAACTAGTATTTTCAAAATGACACTATTCTAGAGATTAATAGCAAAGAAATTAGTGGTTTTAAGTTGTTAAGGTGATTGTGTGGGGGGAATTTGGCTATAAAGGGAAGCATGATGAAGATCTCTGTGATATGGAATAGCTCTGTGCTTGATTGTGGTGGTGGTTACATGAATCTACAAATGTGATAAGACATATGCATAAAACTATACATACACATTGTATCAAGGTATTTTCTTGGTTTTGCTACTGTGCTATAATTACTTAAAATATAAACATTTGGAGAAACTGGGTGAAGGCGTATGCAGAATGTCTCTATACTGTCTTTGCAATTTCCCCTGAATCTATAATTATTTTAAAATAAAAAAATATTAAAATGGCTTTCTTGCTTAAATCCCAAACCCCAGAATACCAAATGCTGGCAAGGATATAGAAAAACAGGGACTCTCATTCATTGCTGGTAGGAATGCAAAATGATACAGCCATTTTGGAAGATATTCTAGTTGTTTCTAACAAAGTTAAACATACTCTTACCATATGATCCAGCAATTGCACTTCTATGTATTTATCCAAAGTGGAAAACTTGTGTTTGCACAAACATCTGTTCATGGATGTTTATAGCAGCTTTATTCATAATTGCCAAAAATTAGAAGCAACCAAGATGTCCTTCAATAGATTAATGGGTAAATAAACCATAGTACATTTATACAATGGAGTATTATTTAACATTAAAGAAAAATAAGCTATCAAGCTATGACAATATACGCAGGAAACCTGTATGCATATGGCTAAGCAAAAGAATCTCATCTGAAAAAGCTCTATGCTGTATGATTACAAGTATGTGACATTCTGAAAAAGGCAAAACACTAGTAAATAGCTCAGAGAATGCCAATGGCTCAGAGGGAGGAAGGAAGGATGAGTAGATGGAGCCTGGGTCATTTTTAGATCAGTGAAGCTATTTTGTTTAATCCTGTAATGGTGGATATATGATATTATGTATTTGTCAGAACCCATATAACTGTGTAATACAGAGTGAACCCTCGTATAACTATGAATTTTAGTTAATAATAATTATTAGTATTGGTTCATCAATTGTAACAAGTGTACCACATTAATACAGGATGTTAAGCATTGTAGAAACTGGGGGTGGGGGAGCTCTGTATACAATTTCTGCAATTTTTCTGTTAGCTTAAAACAGCTCTAAAAATAAAAGTCTATTAAAATGGTTTTCCTTTTTTTTTTTTTTTTTTTCTTTTTTTTGAGATGGAGTCTCGCTCTGTCGCCCAGGCTGGAGTGCAGTGGTGTGATCTCGGCTTACTGCAAGCTCTGCCTCTTGGGTTCACGCCATTTTCCTGCCTCAACTTCTCGAGTAGCTGGGACTACAGGCACCCGCCACCACACCCGGCTAATTTTTTGTTTTTTTTTTTTTTAGTAGAGACGGGGTTTCACCATGTTAGCCAGGATGGTCTCGATCTCCTGACCTCGTGATCCGCCCGCCTCGGCCTCCCAAAGTGCTGGGATTACAGGCGTGAGCCACCGCACCTGGCCAAAAATGGTTTTCTTACATGGTAGTATATGGGTTTACTTTTTGCTTTCTTAATCCATGCTTGTCTAAGTTTTAGTGTATTCTCTGTGTTAAGCTATTTATTTTATAATAAAGTTTGTAGTCATGTAAGAAAGACACTCGTACCTATTCTACCATCAGTAGTCTCAAGATTCTGCTTTGATTCTCTGAACCAACAGTAGAGAAACTTTTTTTTTTTTTTTTTTTGAGACGGAGTCTCAGTCTGTTGCCAGGCAGGAGCGCAGTGGTGCGATCTCGGCTCACTGCAACCTCTGCCTCCCGGATTCAAGAGATTCTCCTGCCTCAACCTCCAGAGTAGCTGGGATTACAGGCGCCTATCACCACGCCTGGCTAATTTTTGTATTTTTAGTAGAGATGGGGTTTCACCATGTTGGCCAGGATGGTCTTGATTTCCTGACCTTGTGATCCGCCCACCTCGGCCTCCCAAAGTGCTGGATTACAGGCGTGAGCCACCGTGCCCAGCCGAGAAACTTCTTATTTATTAGTAAGGCTTAGAATGTCATGATGCTTTGGTTTATCCTTGTTTTGTTTAGCTTCTCTTAGATTTTTATCATCAGTCTATAGAAATTTTGAGAAAAACAACAGAATGTATAATTTTTTGCAATATTTTATTATCACTAAGCATGTATCTAATTACTTTGCTTGCGTTTTCCTTTTAATTCTGATATTAATTCAATGTAGTAAAAATTAACACCAGTATTTTCATGAGTAATGTGAGGCTAAGTTAAGTAAGATACCAGTGAAAACATAGCTAGTAAATGATACAGCCAAGATGAAACCCAAGCCTAACTCATTTCAACAGCATTTATTTGCAGTCTACCACACTATCATGAATAGTTTATCTTAGTGGTTTATGGCAGGTTCTAGAAACTATTTTAGAGATAAATATCAAGTCATAGTTTTATAGACAAATGAGCAACAGTTCATTGTGTTTCAAATATTCCTTCCTCTCATCTTAATGTCATATCTTTCTCCCCAACCCCAAATTTCACTCAGCTTTTCCACTCAAAGACACATCTTCAAATATAAGGTGGTTTCAAGAATCAGTCAGACTACTCTCTCGGTAATAAAATAGGCATCTGAGACTATGTCTAACAGAATGGGTAAGGCCAGTCTTCAGTGTCCAACCTCTTTGCTCATTAAATCTGGAATGAACGATGTTGATATGTAAATCCTGCAATGTTTATGGATTCTTCTGTCTTCCTTCTCCCCACTCTAACCCCATCTGCTCCCCTCTATCCCATGCATTCTGAGATCCATACCTTGGGGTTTCAGATTCACTCTACTGAAGACAGAGTTATATCATTGCTCAGTAGAGATCTCCCAACAAACCAACCCCACTTTAGGTTTTCCTGATGAGGACTAGACCACAACAAGAGGGTTGCCTGCAGATGCACAAAATGAGACCAAGCCCAAATGAACCGGGATATGTCTGATGAATTCTAGAATTTATAAGATAAATTCAACATTCAGATATTTTACCGGGAAAGGATCACATATATTCCCCAGGACCGACTCCCCACCCCCCACCGCCACCCAAAGAACTGGCTTAAACACCAAAAATTCCACCCAAGATCATCAAAATAGTTTATTGTGTTCAGAAAAATCACAGTTTGAGGAAACCTTAAACAATAAGTACACAAGAGATGCCCCATGGGGCATTCCATAGCAGAGACAGACTCCTGTATGTTTTATTCCAGAGGCATTGCATGGTGATAATAAAATGATAGGAAATAGAGGAAAATAGATACAGGAAAAGGCAATAGACAGGGAAGCCAGCTAGATGTTAGAGTACGGAGCAATCGAGGAGGCATAACCACACTTGGGGTGGCTATAGGGCTGGAAAACGCTGAAGATGACTGCTTTCACTGAGGTCAAGGATTGTAATATTGCCAGCTTTGTAAAGTCATTAAAGCAGAAGTTTCTTCAGTGATCTTCTCTCTAAGAAACACCATCACCTATAGCAAGACACACATAGTTACCAAGGAATTTAAGATCCGTTTTGAGCTCCTTGCTTCAGATTCCTTCCTCTTCTCTCTTAATCCTTTGACTTTGCAAAATTCTTTCAATGTTCATCTAACCTTTCCAACATGAACTAACTGTATACAGTTAGTTCCTACTCTCCAACTGAACATAATAAGCAACCATGCTTTACCTTTTTTTAGAGTTTCTCATACTACATTTGAGACTAAAGAAGCAAAAGCAGGCATTGGCCTCTAAGAGATTCCCATTTCATGCAATGAATTGACCCTAACCTGAAAGGAGCCAGGATCTGGAAATGCTTCTGAACTGATGACCTGCCCCAGGAAATACAAGCTAGGATGTGCCCAAATCTTGAGGCTTATTTTTCTAGATCCCTAGACTCAGTATTTTCTAGATCCCTAGACTCCATATTCTAATGTATTTTCTAGATCCCTAGACTCAGTATTCTAATGTGAAACAATGGTTTTAGGTACTGGAGATGATTTCTAAGACTGGAGCCGTGATCAAGGTGCCCGTCTATAGAAAGGGATGACAGACCCTGAAGCTTTGGGATACCAGATGATACCAATGTCTGATTCATTCTAGCAAAGAGAAATCAAGAGCCACATCTGTTCCTACCTTGTCTCTTAAATGCATTACATTTCCTTTCCCCACCCTGTTTTCCTCCCTCAGATATCTCCATATATGTCTTCCTCTGACCACACCTAACTCACCTCCATGTGCCTTACAGAGGCCCCCTGCGTTCTGCTGCATTGCTTTTGCGCACTCCCTTGATGATGAAGATGGTCCCAATAATGATGCCCACCAGACCCACAGTCAGGCCCAGGGCACACACCACGTTCTCTGTAGTCTCTGGGAGAGGGCTTGGAGCATCAAACTCTGGGGGGAGATAAGGCAGAGTACATGGTAATGAGTGTGGGAAGAAGTAACACTCAGAATCAAATGTAGGGTTCTTAATAAAGAGAAAAGTTATTCATAGATTAAAGAAGAGGAAGACAGAATGATGTATTGAGAGAATTACAGATTAAAAAAAGGAGGAAGCTGGATAGTAGGAGAAGACAGTTATATTAATTGTAGCAGATATTATGAAACAGTTAGAACACCGAGTTTCACACAAGCATCATAGGAGGAAACCTTGAAATAAAGGAGATTGAGTGTTGGTCCATACCCCAGTGCTTGAGAAGAGGCTCATCCAAGCCCCAGTGCTCCACCCTGCAGTCGTAAACGTCCTCAGTTGAGGGCAGGAAGGGGAGATAGTGGAACTTGCGGAAAAGGTGGTCTTCCCTGGGCAGGAAGACTGTCTCTGACACTCCTGTGGTGACAGGTTTTCCATTTCGAAGCCACGTGACATTGACCACTGGTGGGGTGAACTTGTCGATGAAACAGATGAGGACGTTGGGCTCTCTCAGTTCCACAGGGCTGTTCGTGAGCACAGTTACCTCTGGAGGTACTGGGGGACACATGACAGACGTGACAGAAATCAGCCATCACTGCTTAGGCTCACCCCTCTCCCTCCCATGCTCAATTGTGGTACAAACGTATCTAAAAACCCTAAAGCTGAAAAAGTAGTTGAAATTGTGCCCTGAGAAATCTATGTCACATCCTCAGATAACAATCTCTGACAGCACCCCCTCCCCAAGAAATTGAGCCAATATTGAGGTATAAGATATCCAAGGACTTCCCTTCTGGCTCCCCTAGCATGAACTTAGGGCAATGACTTCGTAGGAGACCATGGATGACAGAGACAAGACTTGAGCACAACAAGATAGGATCAAACCCATAAAGTTCTCAGACCTCTGGCATGAGAATTTGGGGCTTGTTAATGGCAAGGTTAGGCCCTTGGAGGGAAAATCAGTTACAATAATCTAACACAAAGAGCTGAAGCAACTACTTTCAAACTATGGATTCCCATGTCCAGGAGTGCAGCAGAGAGGGAGGTACCATTGGTGATCGGAGTATAGTTGGAGCGCTTTGTCATGATTTCCAGGTTGGCTTTGTCCACAGCTATGTTGGCCAATGCACCTTGAGCCTCAAAGCTGGCAAATCGTCCAAATTCTTCAAGCCGCCAGACCGTCTCCTTCTTTGCCATATCCACATGGAAAATCTCATCACCATCAAAGTCAAACATAAACTCGCCTGATTGGTCAGGATTCAGATAGAACTCGGCCTGGATGATCACATGTTCTTCTGAAAGGCAAGAAATGGAGAAAGAGAGTTGGGTGGGGGGAATCAAGAGAGGGAAATGAATAACCTACATACATGTAGGCAGGAAGTGGTGGAGAGAGATTGGGCCAAGAGGAATGAAAGAATGATGGCGAGTAGGGATGAGTGACAAGACAAGGTCTGGGTGAAGGGCATGCTGCTGAACAAAGCTGGGAGGGGAAAAACAAGAAGGACTGGTTATAAAGAGGGTGGATTGAAGGAGATGAGGGCTAAAGAACCCAGAGTCTTGTGAAGCTGTTGTTTGGCTCCATGTTACTAGCTGAGAAATTATTTTCTTTTTAGAAATCCAGCAGCAGCCCCTAAAGAGAAATGTTCTCTCACTTTCTTTACCCGGGCATTAAATACACTTAGGCCAGAATTCCAGAGGATCTCTTTCTCAGAACATTGTACTCTAAGAAGAAGGAAACACTGTTTGAAAGGTTGGGTTTTAAACTCTGGGATCAAAAACATCTTGAATTCTTATTCAGCAACTTACCTAGTGATCCTGAGCAGATTATTCTACCTATTTATGTATAGTTTTCCTATTATGTAGTCCTGCTGTGGTTTTGATCCTGTCAGGGGTTTGTTTTTAAGATTAAATGAGATAAGGTGAGTAATTTCTTAATATATCAACAAGACTGTAACAAGCACTGTTTACATTTTAGAGTCAGAAGCTTCTTTTTATTTAAGGGCCAAATCTATGGAAAATATACCTGGGGACTGAAGTACTCCAAAAATTAAGACTGAGACCTTGTAGCGTCATAGTCCCCCTGCTTCCCAGCATCCAAACCCACACGGTGGTTACCTCTATGAGAAGGTTCTCGTCTGGATTGACCTTGGCAATTCCACCTTTTATCTTAATGCTCCTTAAATTGGGACTGTTATTATGGAAGATGTTCTGTTACGATTGACATTGAGAATAACCAACACCAAGGGAATAATGAACATGAAAAGAGAAAGCTACACTGGGAGAGTATGCTGCCTCTGTGGAGTGTATCGATGAGTGGGAGATTTTTTTTTTCCTTAGTCTTCAAAGATAAGGTGAGATATTTTGTTTTGTTTTGGTTTGGTTGTTTGAGACGGAGTCTTGCTCTATCGCCAGGCTGGAGTGCAGTGGCACCATCTCAGCTCACTGCAACCTCCGCCTCCCGGGCTCAAGCAATCCTCCTGCCTCAGCCTCCCGAGTAGCTGGGACTACAGGCGTGTGCCACCATACCCAGCTAATTTTTTGTATTTTTAGTAGAGACGGGGTTTCACCATGTTGCCCAGGACGGTCTCGATCTCTTGACCTCGTGATCCGCCCGCCTCGGCCTCCCAAAGTGCTGGGATTACAGGCGTGAGCCACCGTGCCCAGCCAAGATGAGAGATTTTAATGTTTGACTGTGTATTGATAAACCTAGGAATTTATTTACCGTTTGCATCTATGCAAACACACACAAATATACTAGCTGCCTCTTCACAAACCAAGGGAAGATCCTCTGTCTTTCTAGGTAAGTATCCCTATGTATGGCTCTTTTGGGGCAATAGAAATCTACAATTGCCACTATGGGTATGGGAGCTGGGTTATTACTTTGCTTATTTCAAGTCTACCTGACACCTTCTGTGGGGGTCACGCTGGGTGAAGAATACTTTTCTACAGTACATCTTTACAACAGCACCAATGTTGCTCTGGAGATGAGAGACAATAATATCAGATTCCCCATTTCCTTACTTATTTTTCTACTCTCTTGGAAATATTACTAAGTTAACATGATATAAGATCTGCTGTACCATGGAGATGGGAAGGCAGGGAATGGCTATCACTGTCCCATGAGGCAACTCATATCAGCATGCCTTCCCTCCCCTTTTCCTGGGGTAAATTGTTGCTTTTTGATGACTTTTCCTTCTAGTAATCTTCAACACAATATATGTGCTCAATATATACCGACAGGATTTACACTCCAAAAAATAACTACTGTATCATGTATTCAGATAAGAACAGGGCTAATAACTTTTTTTTTCATTTAATTCTAGCAAAACTATGTGTGGTTTTTAGTTTTTAATTTTACTAATTTTCCAGAAAGAATAATTAAAGCCCAGAAATATAACTTGTTAATGCTTGCCAGAAAATATTCTTCCTCCCCCACCCCCACCCCCACCCCCAGTTTGGCTTGTAGCAGGACCGTGCTATTCATCAATACACAACTCAGTTTTGACCCTCTAAACCAAATTTGACTTACTTCAGTTTGTGGTGAGGGAAGAACTCCACCAAACCACAATTTGTTATACTTTCTGTCGAGACCACATAATACCTGTCACACTATTCTTTCACTCCACACATTATCTTCCAAATGTCCATAGGTCTTTTCTCCAATGCTTCGTAGTCTATCGTCCCAGATTTCATTCCCTCAGCACCTACCTTTGATAGCCCATGATTCCTGAGCGCTCATCAGCACAGCTATGATGAAAAATCCTAGCACAGGGACTCCACTTATGGCCATTTTCTTCTTGGGCGCTCTTTTGGGAGTCAGTAGAGCTCGGGAGTGAGGCAGAACAGACAAGAATAAAAGAAAAGAGAATGTGGGGTGTAATAGAGTCTGACCATTAAAATGCAAATCAATTACTCTTTGGCCAATCAGAAAAATATTTTGAGATGACGCATCTGTTGCTAGGGGAAGGGTTCTTGCAAAGGGTCCAGGACACAAGATACTCC